>NC_000014.9:60823834-61126864 GCF_000001405.40 Homo sapiens
GGCAACAAAGTGACACTCCATTTCAAACAAAAACATAAACAAGGCTGGGCGCGGTGGCTCATGCCTGTAATCCCAGCACTTTGGGAGGGTGAGGCGGGTGGATCACGAGATCAGGAGTTGAAGACCAGTGTGGCCAAGATGGTGAAACCCTATCTGTACTAAAAATACAAAAATTAGCTGGGCACGGTGGCAGGAACCTGTAATTCCAGCTATTTGGGAGGCTGAGGCAGAAGAATCGCTTGAACCAGGGCGGCAGAGGTTGCAGTAAGCTGAGCTCAAGCCACAGCACTCCAGCCTGGGCGACAGAGTGAGACTCCATCTCAAAAAAAAAATAATAAATCACCATTCTTATGAGATTGTGATAAATATAAAAATGCCAAGCTTTGATTTGTAATATATGAATATTTTTCTTTTCCTTTTATGTATCTATTCATTTTTCTCCCCAACTGCCCATCCAGCTACTTTCTTTGAATTTTAAAATTGCCTACCTTGTTTGTCATATGTGTACTAGCTATTAGGTTATAAACATCTTGAGGGCAGAGGCTTCATATTTTAACATAGTTTTATATGATTGTGGCTATGTAGGTACTTAAATAATATCAGATATTCATGATCAGTTTCAAACTTTCAAATGTTGGAAGTATTAACACATCTTGAAATAATGTAAAGACAAATACTACTCAATAAGGAACTACCAAAGTATTTGAATTAGGAGGCAATAAAGTATAGAAGAAAGAAAATGGGCATAACAGGATTAAATCCCAGATTTACCGTTATTAGATATGTTTCCATGGGTAAGATATTGCTTTACTCTTCTGAGTTTGTTTTCTCATTTGGGAAGATGAGAAATGTTAACTTCATATGATTGTTTAGAATATTGAAATCTATACATAAAATGCTAAAGCTGGTGCCCAATGTATGCTAGCCATGTGGTAAATAGTAATAATTAGCAACCATAATGTTACCATTAATGTTTGTTATTTTTCGTAGTTAGATATATAAATGAATTATTTTATAATGCCCTTGAACCAAATGCTGAATATTGTTATAAGTATTCTGTCACATACTTAAGTTATATTACTCTCAATGTGTGTTAAAATATTGGATCACTTACCCCCACCCCATTGGATCAATTCCAGATGGATAATAGAAAAGTAAAACAATAAAAACATCCTTAAGAGAGTGGGAAAAAAACAAGCCACAAAGTGACAAAAGTTATTTACAACATATGTAACTAATAAAAGGCTTAGATCCAGAAGGTATAAATAACTCATATATGTGATCTAGAGTCTGGAACAGGCATTTCTAAAAATAGGATAGCCAATCCTCAGCCTCATTAGTGACTGGTGAAAGAATATGTAGATTAAAATCACAACACAGCACTAAATACCCACTAGAATGGCTAAACTGGAAATAAAAATCACAGTTGGTTCAAGGGAAAGGTAAAATTTAGAATGGCATAGTATTTACATGAATTCATTAGTGTCAATTTTTTACTGAATGTGGAGACTGACACAGAATACAGATGAAAGTCTAAATGTTTATGAAGTTAAGTATTTTTATAGTCTTTAGAAAAATCAATCCTGAATGAAGGATGAAAAGTAACATTAAGCAACTATATCCCAGGGGTTGATTTTGTTGAACGCCTGCTATAAGCCAGCATAGTCTGGCTGCTGGATATGCAAGAATACAGACATTACTTAAGAATTTGTGACCTATGATAGTTCTTTTTTATAATAAGTATTACTTTCTGTTTTTATATCTTCATAAAATAGATGGTATTCCTATTTTTACAAATGTGAAAACTGAGTCTTTGAGAGGTTAGGTCACATTTAAAAGATGATGCTGAAACTCATTCTCTTTCTATTACATCTCATTTAATTAATGAAAATATTAATAAACTTACACATTCTGATTCAGGTGTCCTCTGAGAGCTAAGATTTGAACTCTTGTTTCTAATAGTGGGCTGATTGTATGACCTAGGTAATTTAAGGGGCAGGAGTCAGCATAATAACTTTCTTTTCCTGATCTGCTCTACTTAAAAAAAGTCAAAACACAAAATGAAGTCGGATGTGCTCAACTTGGAGAGGAACCAAGGAAGGATGTATAAATATGATTAAGGTTTCTGGAAATAGATCCTTTGAGATGTGACAGAAAAGACTGAATTTATTTGTTTAATAAACCTAGAGAAAGTTGAAGGGTTCAAAATGGGCATAAAATAATGACTAAGAAATGAGGATTTTATTATTATATATTCACATAGGTAGGGTTCAGTCAGTCAGTGAACATATTTTGATTAGGAATATTATGAAGGTTGTGCCGGATTTATTATTTGAAGTATATTTTCTAGGAATTAAACTGTCAGGGAGTGGAGTAATGTTAGGCATAGGGTCTTAGAGAAATTAATGTAATTTGTGACTTCAGAATTTAAGAAGGTTCTACTTATCACTATTTTATGCATGAATAGGAGAAATTTTTTTTTTTTTTTTTTTTTTTTTTTGAGATGGAGTCTCACTCTGTCCCCCAGGCTGGAGTGCAGTGATGTGATCTTGGCTCACTGCCACCTCTGCCTCCTGGGTTCAAGTGATTCTTCTGCCTCAGCCTCCTGCTTAGCTGGAACTACAGGTGCATGCCACCATGCCCGGCTAATTTTTTTTTGTATTTTCAGTAGAGACGGGGTTTCACCATACTGACCAGGCTGGTCTTGAATTCCTGACCTCATGATCCACCTGCCTCGGCCTCCCAAAGTGCTGGGATTATAGGCATGAGCCACCGCACCCGGACAGAAACTTCATTTTATAGATTATTGTGCCCTCTGTGTGGTGATAGCTTTTGAACTCTTAAAGTGAGAGCTACAACTTTGTTTCTTGGCCAGGTGTTAGTTATTTTGATCTATTTGGTTCAAATCCTGTCAATATAATTATGCAGCCTTCTATTTCTTTATCATTTTACAAATACTTCTAATTATTTTTACTTAGCTTATGGTTATGGTTACTATTCTTCATTACATCATTCTTAGTTGAACCAGTGAACAGACCTCAAAGTTTTTTTTTTCCCTGATTCATTACTAGATAATTTGTGTCAATAAATATCCATGCAAGTAAATCTTAGTCTTTTGGGAACAAGCGAAGGCACATTGGTCATCTCATAAATTAGGATTGAGATTCTACGGCTGAGGATCTGGTGCTTCTTCATTCTATTTTGCTTGTTTGCAAACTGAAAATAAAATGAGTCACAAAGATAACCTATGGATGTCAAAAGATAATTGTTTTTATGTCAAAAGATAATTGTTTTATGGATCACAAAGATAACCTATGGATGTCAAAAGATAAAAGTACTTAAAAACAAAAGAATTGTTTTTAAGTACTTTTGATAGTCTGTGGTTGGTTTGGGGAGTAGTATGGAGAAACATACCATGCATTAACAAAGGGGAAAACTTTTTAAGTATTTTAACCCTGATGTTTGAAGAGTTTAAAAAAATATTATCTATGGGTGAGCCAGAAGGGAGCAGAGTACTCATTTGTGATATAAATTGCCTTTTCTGAGTGCAACAGATAGTATTTAGCTGTTCGCTTTCAAGCATTGCATATTCCTCTGAACTCATTGGAAGATCTAACCTTGATAAAATATGTGAGTTATAGAAAATTAATACCCGTTCGTATCTGAAAAAGAAAATAAAAATTACATTGAGCAGTCAGTTATGTCCTGTAAAGCCATAAGTTTGTGCCAAACAGCTTAGGTGCTTTACCATTTTGCCAAAGAACAAAAAACAAAACTTGACCAGGTGTTATTAATTTATTCTATTTTTAATATATAATTTGCACTTAGGTAGTAAATCAAGTATAACAACTAAAGAAGTCATGTGCCCTTTCTCAAGTCTTGTGATATGCACATAGCATTAATTTGAATCTATAAAGGTATTTTGAAATGTAAATCAAATTAATAATAGTCTTATCAGATCTTATTATGGCATATAATTAACTAGGTGAGTATCAGGTGATTACTTTCTCTTAGCTTTTAAATGTCTCCAGTTATGTTATTTCACTAAAGTTAGCAGTATATTCTAATTTTCACATGGATATCCCTGAAGAGTTACATGTAAGTAAATAGAAATTTGGTTAATTCCATTCTATTTTAAAGAAAATGGAGGTTCTTAAAACTTAAGATAATCCTTGGTGAGTATTTTAATGTGACCTAAATAAAATTTTTATGAAATGAATAGCTTCATGATTAAAACTGTAAATTTGAATTTTGTTATTTCAGAATTGTTTAAAACAGGTCGTCCTTATTATATTATTAGAAGTTTGAATTGTGGCTTCTCTACTATATATACTAATTGTTTGGTCTTGGGCAAATCACTTTACCTCTTTAAGCCTTAATTACTCAACTCTTAAAAAAGAGATTATGCCTACATTATAGAGTTCCTGAGTATTTTGTGAAGTAATTTTATAAAACTCTCAGGATGCCTGGCTCGTTGTAAAGATACTAAGTATAAATAGGTATAGATACAAATAAAAACTATAATAGCCCAGTAAATTGTGATTGAAGGTAGAGTTTGTGACTTATAACTGTTAATTTTGTACCGTGTAGTTTTTACTAGTTATTTTATCTATAGACTCCTATATAGTAGGAAAAAAACAACTCATTTTCCCCTGCTGCACATATCCAGCACAGAACACTTTTGGTCACCAAAATGTGTTTTTTTTTTTTGGTTGTTATTTCGTTTTCTTTTCTGTACCACACCAACCATTTCTGCAGCAGACACCAATAGGATTTCCTACAGTTTAACCCAATTCTGACACTAACCGGAATTAGTGCAAACCCCACTGGGTAAGATCCCAGTACCACACAACTGCTCCCAACTTCAGACATCAATCGAAAGCTCCAGGTGGTAACCTGTACTGTTGACTAACTGGCTATAAATTGAAGGTTCCCACGATCCCTTCCTGTGGTTCAATTATTTGCTGGAGTGGCTCATGGAACTTTGGGAAACACTTATGTCTACTGATTTATTATAAAGAATATTACAAAGAATACAGATGGACAGCTAGATGGAAAAGATGCATAGGGCAAGGTATGTGGGAAGGGACGTGCATCTTCCATGCCCTCTCGGGGTGGGCTACCATCCTAGCACCTCCATGTGTTCAGCAACCTGGAGGCTCCATGAATCCTGTCCTTTTGGGTTTTTATGGGGGCTTCTTTCCTATAGCCAAGATTGATAAATGACTGGCCACTGGTGATTAACTCAACCTCCTGCCCCTCACCTCTTTCCAGAGGTTGGTGGAACTGAAAGTTCCCAACACACTAATTACAAAGTTGGTTCCCTTTGCAATAAGCCCCTGTTCTGAGGCTATCCAGGACCACCCAGCCATCTTATTAGCATACAAAAAGACACCATTTTGGAGACTACAAACGTTTTAGGAGATGAGTACCAGGAAATGGGATGAAAACCATTTGTATTTCTTATCATAAATCACAATATTACAAGCCCCAAATGCCTAGTAACTCTTTCTTATATATTCCTATATTTCTAGGTAACAATTCAATTGTTCTATGGATATTTAAATGAAAACACTGAAATATTTAGTGTCAATAGTTGGGAAAATTCACAAATAATGAATTATACTCTATGAGTTTTATGTAATATTCTTTCCTTTACCACGGTAAAGGAAAAATTGTTAATAGTCAAACTGTTGGCTTCAGAATTTATGGCAGTGGTTGAATTTATTCCAGAAAATTTGTCTCATGATCTGTCTAGACATGAGCATAGGCAGAAATAATGAGTCTGGATTTTCAGTTATATCAGTTACTTTGTAATGAGGACAAGGTAAAATCAGTATTCTATGAGTGGTGGGAAGCTTTGATTCCTTTAGTCCCACTGAGGGTAACATTAAAGGTGCTTGCAAATGCAGAAATATTCTTAGCCTAGGATGTAGAAATAATGGTTTTCTGCTTAATTTATGAAACAAACATTTTCCTACAAAGTATTCTACATACTGTATACTGCATTGCTTAATGTAATGAGGCAGATTTCAGCTTTATAGATAATTATATTGAGTGCCAATCTGCCTATCAGTAGAGTTTTATCAAGTTCCTATAACATTTGCAAAGCAGTGGTTGCTGTTGGTGTTGCGGATATAGTAATTTTACAAGAATTAGAATTAGGGAAAAAGAAGGAAGATGTGTTTCAATCAGTCTCTGAACATTAACTCACTTAATCGTGAAAACTATCCTGTAGGGTTGATAGTGGTATTCTCATTTATGAGGAGTGGAGTATGGAAGACTTAAATTAAACCTAGAGAAAAGTAGAGTTTCAGAAAAATGGAAAGGACGAAGGAATTTCACATTTAAAAATGAGTATGTGGAAGAATTGTTAGCAAAAGAATGGAGGGTATGAATTTAGCCAAGTTTATTCCATAGTTTTCAGTCAGGAATTTTCTTCTGATGAACTTGCACACTAATTTCAAAACACACATTCATTCTTTGGTTCCTAGAAGGTTATATGAAATTCAGATACATAGATTCACTTTGATGTGTTAGAGCTTTTTACTAGTTAGTGATCTGTTGAATAAGTTAAGGGACACTAAAATTTAGTATTTGTAAATGTTGAAATAAATTTTCTTTTTTTGGTGATTGTTTTAGAGCTATGATTCAGTATTTTCCTGAGAAGTCCGGCTGCCACAAATGTTTGGGAATCTTATAAGGCTCCATCTGCAAATGCTCATGACCAGATATTTCCTGCGATGATTTTTAATGTAATATTTTAATTTTTCAGCTAAGCAGACTTAGTTTTCCTTTGGAATTTTATCAATGCACCATCAGTATTGCCTTGAGTTAACTGTGGTTTTTGTGTTACTATTATGTAGGAAATAATATTAGGTTTTTCTTTGGTTGATCATTTTGTTATATAATTCCTATACAATTTTTATTGCTATTTATTTTGGTCCTCACCACTTCTTCTGCCTTTTTTTTTTTTTAAATCACAGATTGTTTATGTATCAGAATACAATTTGCCACAACTTCAGGGGCTGTGGTTAAGTTTGAAAACCAAGGATTACATTCAGTTATTTTTGCATACTCTCTAACTTTCTTAAACATACTCAACTGAATGGATACATTCCCATTCTGTCAGTGCCGTGCCTCCTGTTAACATTTTTCTACACTAGAAGCTCTTCCCATTTTTGCTGAGAGAGTGTCTGGCATCTTCTCCCAGCCTCCATTCCTAATGATGGCTAGAGCTAAGAATGTATTGCTGCTTTCTTTTGTTCCTTTTTTTTTTTTTTCAATACTTTTAAGTTCTGGGATACATGTGGAGGTTTGTTCTTGGGATACATGTGGAGGTACATGGAGATACATATGGGATACATGTGGAGGTAAGTTCTTGGGATACATGTGGAGGTTTGTTACATAGGTATACACGAGCCATGGTGGTTTGCTGTACCCATCAACCCATCATCTACATTAGGTATTTCTTCTAATGCTATCCCTCCCCTAGCTCCCTGCCCCCAGCAGGCCCTGGTGTGTGATGTTCCCCTCCCTGTGTCCATGTGTTCTCATTGTTCAACTCCCACTTATGAGTGAGAACATGTGGTGTTTAGTTTTCTGTTCCTGTGTTAGTTTGCTGAGAATGATGGTTTCCAGCTTCATCCACGTCCTTGCAAAGGACATGACCTCATCCTTTTTTATGGCTACATAGTATTCCATGGTGTATACGTGCCACATTTTCTTCATCCAGTCTATCATTGATGGGCATTTGGGTTGGTTCCAAGTCTTTGCTATTGTGAATAGTGCTGCAATAAACATATGTGTGCATGTGTCTTTATAGTAGAATGATTTATAATACTTTGGGTATATACTCAGTAATGGGATTGCTGGGTCAAATGGTATTTCTGATTCTAGATCCTTGAGGAATTGCCACACTGTCTTCCATAATGGTTGAATTAATTTACACTCCCACCAACAGTGTAAAAGCATTCCTATTTCTCCACACCCTCTCTAGCATCTATTGTTTCCTGACTTTTTAATGATCGCCATTCTAACTGGCATGAGATGGTATCTCATTGTGGTTTTGATTTGCATTTCTCTAATGACCAGTGATGATGAGCTTTTTTTCATGTGTTTGTTGGCTGCATAAATGTCTTGTTTTGAGAAGTGTCTGTTCATATCCTTTGCCCACTTTTTGATGGGATTGTTTGTTTTTTTTCTTGTAAATTTGTGTAAGTTCCTTGTGGATTCCAGATATTAGCCCTTTGTCAGATAGATAGATTGCAAAAATTTTCTCCCATTCTGTAGGTTGCCTATTCACTCTGATGACAGTTTCTTTTGCTGTGCAGAAGCTCTTTAGTTTGATTAGATCCCAATTTGTCAGTTTTGGCTGTTGCCATTACTTTTGGTGTTTTAGTCATGAAGTCTTTGCCCATGCCTATGTCCTAAATGATATTACCTAGGTTTTCTTTCAGGGTTTTTATGGTTTTAGGTCTTACGTTTAAGTCTTTAATCCTTCTTGAGTTAATTTTTGTATAAGTTGTAAGGAAGGGATCCAGTTTCAGTTTTCTGCATATGGCTAGCCAGTTTTCCTGGCACCATTTATTAAGTAGGGAATCCTTTCCCTATTGCTTGTTTTTGTCAGGTTTGTCAAAGATCAGATGGTTGTAGATGTGTGGCGTTATTTTTGAGGCCTCTTTTATGTTTCATTGGTCTATATATCTGTTTTGGTACCAGTACCATGTTGTTTTAGTTACTGTAGCCTTGTAGTATAGTTTGAAGTCAGGTAGCATGATGGCTCCAGCTTTGTTCTTTTTGCTTAGGATTGTCTTGGCTATACAGACTTTTTTTTTTGGTTCCATATGAAATGTAAGTAGTTTTTTCTAATTCTTTGAAGAAAGTTAATGGTACCTTGATAGGGATAGGATTGACTGTGAATTTCTTTGGGAAGTATGGCCTTTTTCATGACATTGACTCTTCCTATCCATGAGTATGGAATTTCTTTCCATTTGTTTGTGTCCTCTCTTATTTCCTTGAGCAGTGATTTGTAGTTCTCCTTGAAAAGGTCCTTCACATCCCTTGTAAGTTATATTCCTAGGTATTTTATTCTATTTGTAGCAATTGTGAATGGGAGTTCACTCATGATTTGGCTCTCTGCTTGTCTATTGTTGTTGTATAGGAATGCTTGTGACTTTTGCACATTGATTTTGTATCCTGAGACTTTGCTGAAGTTGCTTATCAGCTTAAGGAGTTTTTGGGCTGAGATGATGGGGTTTTCTAAATATACAATCGTGTCATCTGCAAACAGAGACAATTTGACTTCCTCTCTTCCTCTTTGAATACTCTTTATTTCTTTCTCTTGCCTGATTGTCCTGGCCAGAACTACCAGTACTATGTTGAATAGGAGTGGTGAGAGAGGGCATCCTTGTCTTATGCCAGTTTTCAAAGGGAATTCTTCCAGCTTTTGCCCATTCCGTATGATATTGGCTATGGGTTTGTCATAAATAGCTCTTGTTATTTTGAGATACATTCCGTCAATACCTAGTTTATTGAAAGTTTTTAGCATGAAGGGGTATTGAATTTTGTTGAAGGCCTTTTCTGCATCTATTGAGAAAATCATGTGTTTTTTGTCATTGGTTCTGTTTATGTGATTGATTATGTTTTTTGATTTGCATATGTTGAACCAACCTTGCATCCCAGGGATGAAGCTGACTGGATTGTGGTGGATAAGCTTTTGGATGTGCTGGTGGATTCAGTTTGCCAGTATTTTATTGAGAATTTTTGCATCAATGTTCATTGGGGATATTGGCCTGAAATTTTCTTTTTTTGTTGTGTCTCTGCCAGATTTTGGTGTCAGGATACTGGCCTCATAAAATGGGTTAGGGAGGAGTGCCTTATTTTCTATTGTTTGGTATAGTTTCAGGAGGAATGGTACCAGCTCCCCTTTGTACCTCTGGTAGTATTCAGCTGTGAATCTGTATGTTCCTGGGCTTTTTTTGGTTGGTAGGCTATTAATTACTGCCTCCATTTCAGAACTTGTTGTTGGTCTATTCAGGGAATTGACTTCTTCCTGGTTTAGTCTTGGGAGGATGTATGTGTCCAGGAATTTATCCATTTCTTGTAGACTTTCTAGTTTATCTTCGTAGAGGTGTTAATAGTGTTTTCTGATGGTAGTTTGTATTTCTGTGGGATCAGTGGTGACATTCTCTTCATCATTTTTTATTGTGTCTATTTGATTCTTCTCTCTTGTTTATTAGTCTGGATAATGGTCTATCTTTTTCGTTAATCTTTTCAAAAAACCAGCTCCTGTATTCATTGATTTTTTTGAAGTGTTTTTTGTGTCTCTATCTCCTTTAGTTCTGCTCTGATCTTAGTTATTTGCTGTCTTCTGCTAGCTTTTGAATTTCTTTGGTCTTTCTTCTCTAGTTCTTTTAATTGTGATGTTAGTGTGTCGATTTTAGATGTTTCCCACTTCGTACTGCCATAAATTTCCCTTTTAACATTGCTTTAGCTGTGTCCCAGAGATTCTAGTACGTTGTGTCTTTGTTCTCATTGGTTCAAAGAACTTCTTTATTTCTGTATTAATTTCATTATTTACCCAGTAGTCATTCAGGAGCAGGTTGTTCAATTTCCATGTAGTTTGGCAGTTTTGAGTGAGTTTCTTAATCCTGAGTTCTAATTTGATTGCACTGGTGTGTGAGAGACCATTTGTTATGATTTTTGTTCTTTTGCATTTGCTGAGGAGTGTTTAACTTCCAATTATGCAGTCAGTTTTAGAATAAGTGCTATGTGGCACTGAGAAGGATGTAGATTCTGTTGACTTGAGGTGGAGAGTTCTGTAGATGTCTGTTAGGTCCACTTTCTCTAGAGCTAGTTCAAGTCCTGTATATCCTTGTTAATTTTTTGTGTTTTTGATCAGTCTAAAATTGACAGTGGGGTGTTAAAGTCTCCCACTATTGGGAGGGAGTTTGTGTGGGAGTCTAAGTCTCTTTGTAGGTCTCTAAGAACTTGCTTTATGAATCTGGGTGCTCCTATATTGGGTGCATATATATTTAGGATAGTTAGCTCTTCTTGTTGCATTGATCCCTTTACCATTATGTAGTGCCCTTCCTTCCTTCCTTCCTTCCTTCCTTCCTTCCTTCCTTCCTTCCTTCCTTCCTACCTTGCTCCCGCCCTCCCTCCCTCCCTCCCTCTCTCTCTCATTCATTCGTTCATTCGTTCAAAGTCAGTTATATCAGAGTCTAAGATTTCAAGCCTGGCTTTTTTTTGCTTTCCATTTGCTTGGTAAATATTCCTCTATCCCTTTATTTTGAGCCTGTGTGTTTCTTTGCACGTGAGATGGATCTCCTGAATACAGCACACTGATGGTTCTTGACTCTTTATCCAATTTGCCAGCCTGTGTCTTTTAATTGGGGCATTTAGCCTGTTTACATTTACGATTAACATTGTTATGTGTGAATTTGATCCTGTCATGATGCTAGCTGGTTATTTTGCCCGTTAGTTGAGCAGTTTCTTCATAGTGTTGATGGTCTTTACAATTTGCCTTGTTTTTGCCTGTACCAGTGTTTTCTTTCCATATTTAGTGCTTCCTTCAGGAGCTCTTGTAAGGCAGGTTTGGTGATGACAAAATCTCTCAGCATTTGCTTCTCTGTAAAGGATTTTATTTCCTCTTTGCTTATGAAGCTTAGTTTGGCTGGATATAACATTCTGGGTTGAAATTTCTTTTCTTTAAGAATGTTGCATATTGGCCCCCACTCTCTTCTGGCTTGTAGGGTTTCTGCAGAGATCCACTGTTAGTCTGATGGGCTTCAAGGGTAACCTGACCTTTCTTTCTGGCTGCCCTTAGCATTTTTCCTTCATTTCAACCTTGGTGAATCTGATGATTATGTGTTTTGGGGTTGCTCTTTTCGAGGATTATCTTTGTGGTGGTCTCTGTATTTTCTGAATTTGAATGTTGGCCTGCCTTGCTAGGTTGGGGAAGTTCTCCTGAATAATATCCTGAGGAGTGTTTTCCAGCTTGGTTCCGTTCTTTCCGTCACTTTCAGGTACACCAGTCAAACGTAGGTTTGGTCTTTTCACATAGTCCCATATTTCTTGGAGGCTTTGTTCATTCCTTTTCATTATTTTTTTCTCTAATCTCGTCTTCACACTTTGTTTCATTAAATTGATCTTCTATCTCTGATATCCTTTCTTCCCCTTGATCGATTTGGTTATTGATACTTTTGTATGCCTCACGAAGTTCTTGTGCTGTGTTTTTCAGCTCCATCAGGTCATTTATGTTCTTCTTTAAACTGCTTATTCTGGTTAGCAATTCCTCTAACCTTTTTTCAAGGTTCTTAGCTTCCTTGCGTTGGGTTATATCATGCTCCTTTAGCTCAGAGGAGTTTGTTATTATCCACCTTGTGAAGCCTACTTCTGTCAGTTCATCAAACTCATTCTCTGTCCAGTTTGTTCCCTTGCTGGTGAGGAGTTGTGATCCTTTGGAGGAGAAGAGGTGTTATGCTTTTTGGAATTTTCAGCCTTTTTGCACTGGTTTTTCTTCATCTTTGTGGATTTGTCTACCTTTGGTCTTTGACGTTGGTGACCTTTGGATGGGGTTTTTGTGTGGACATCCTTTTTGTTGATGTTGATGCTATTCTTTTCTGTTTGTTAATTTTCCTTCTAACAGACAAACCCCTCTGCTGCAGGTCTGCTGGAGTTTGTTGGAGGTCCACTCCAGGCCCTGTTTGCCTGGGTATCCCCAGCGGAGGCTGCAGAACAGCAAAGATTGCCGGCTCTTCCTTCCTTTGGAAGCTTCGTCCCAGAGGGGCACTGGCTAGATGCCAGACAGAGCTCTCCTGTATGAGGTGTTGTTAAACCCCTGTTGGGAGGTGTCTCCCAATCAGGAGGCACGGAGGTCAGGGACCCACTTGAGGAGGCAGTCTGTTCCTTAGTAGAGCTTGAGTGTTGTGCCAGGAGATCTGCTGCTCTCTTCAGAGCTGGCAGGCAGGAACGTTTATGTCTGCTGAAGCTGCACCCATAGACTCCCCTTCCCCAAGGTGCTCTGTCCTAGGGAGATGGGAGTTTTACCTATAAGCCCCTTACTGGGGCTGCTGCCTTTCTTTCAGAGATACCCTGCCAAGAGAGGAGGAATCTAGAGAGGCAGTCAGGCTACAGCAGCTTTGTGGCACTGCCAAACTTCCCTGATGCTTTGTTTACACTGTGAGGGGAAAATCACCTACTCAAGCCTAAGTAATGATGGATGCCCCTACCCCCACCAAGCTCAAGTGTCCCAGTTCGACTTCAGACTGTTGTGCTGGCAGTGAGAATTTCAAGCCAGTGTTTCTTAGCTTGCTGGGCTCCGTGGGGGTGGGATCCGCTGGGCTAGACCACTTGGCTCCCTGGCTTCAGCCCCCTTTCCAGGGGAGTGAATGGTTCTGTCTCTCTGTCATTCCAGGCACCACTGGGTTATGAAAAAAGAAACTGCAGCTAGCTCAGTGTCTGCCCAAATGGCTGCCCAGTTTTGTGCTTGAAACCCAGGGCCCTGGTGGCTAGGCACCTGAGGGAATCTCTTGGTCTGTGGGTTGCAAAGACCGTGGGGAAAGCATAGTATCTTGGCTGGAGGGCACCGTTCCTCACGGTGCAGTCCCTCATGGCTTCCTTTGGCTAGGGAAGGGAGTTCCCTGACCCCATGCGCTTCCTGGGTGAGGCGATGCCCCATCCTGCTTTGGCTCACCCTCCATGGGCTGCACTCACTGTCTAACCAGGCCCAGTGAGATGAACCAGGTACCTCAGTTGGAAATACAGAAATCACCCGCCTTCTGCATTGATCTTGCTGCAAGCTGCAGACAGGAGCTGTTCCTATTTGGCCATCTTGCCCTCTTTTGTTACTTTTAATCAGAGCCTCTCCTAGATGCTGCCATGGTAGTTTGGAGCCTCCACTGAGTCCCTACTTTGCTGTCTGTTTCCTTTTGGTCTCAGAGTGGTCTAGGACTTATGACTCTTAGGATATTTAGCTCAGAGGTGTTAAATATTCTTAAAAGGAGCAAGAGCTTTTAGCTATACTATTTAAGATTCTGTGGGTTAACAAAGCATTATAAGACGGTTCTTAAGATTGAGAATTTTTAGTAATAGGCTTCTAATGAACACATGAAAGACCTGTAGCCTTTGTAAGTTGGGAAATTCCTATAGGAATCTCTAGTAATGCTTCTCTTTTATTCCTGATATTAGTAATTTATGACCTCTCACTTTTTTTTCCCTCTGATCAGCCTGGCTAGAGGTTTATCAGTTTTCTTGATCTGTTCAGAGAACCAGTTTCCAGTTTTTGCTTTCATTGATTTTTTTTTTCTTTTTTTTAGGCAGTATCTCACTTTGTCACCCAGGCTGGAAGGCAGTGGGGGCGATCACTGCTCAATGCAGGTTCTACTTCCTGGGCTCAAGCAGTTACCCTGCCTCAGCCTCCTGAGTTGCTGGGACTACAGGAGGGCACCACCACACCTGGCGAATTTTTTTTTGTTTTTAGGAGAGACAGGATCTCCTTATGTTGCTCAGGCTAGTCTCGAACTCCTGAGATCAAGCAATCTTCCCACCTGGCAAAGTGCTGGGATTACAGGCATAAGCCACTACACTGAGCCCTGATTTTTTTTTCCTATTAGTCTGTTTTCCATTCCATTGATATTTGGTTTTTATTATTTCTTTTCTTCTCTTTAATTAAGATTTAATTTGCTTTATTTTTCTAGTTTCTAAAGGTGGAAGGGATGGCAGCAGCAGTCACTGCAAAGACACCAGCTGCAGTGGGGAAGGTATGGCTGGCGCTGCCCTGTACATGGAGCCAGTGGGAGCTGGGAACAGGTGGGAGTCCCGCCCCATTCTGAGATGGTGGGGCAGGAGCCCTGTGCTCCTGCTGGCAGCTGCAGCTGCCCACCTGTGGTTGTGGATCTGGGCATCCCTGCACTCTCGGGGGTCTGGGAAGCCCCACTGCCCCTCCAGGCTTGGAAGCGCCTGCTCCTGCTGCCTGGCCTTTTCCTGCTCCCTGAGCCTGTTCCAGGGTAGAGCAAGTTGGGCCAAGCCTGGGTGTGGTGGCAGCCCAGTGGGGTGTGCCCATGCTTGGGGCAGCACTGACCTGCCAGCCCCCTGTCACCTCAGCCCCCTCTGGACTTTGGGGAATGAGGAGCATGAGAGGGAGGCCGATGGGTCCCTCTGTGTGACCTTGCAGGTGCCCCTCCCACAAGCAGAGTGGGTACCCTGGACAACATGATTGATTGTGGCAGGAGGCAGATGGGCTTCTGGGTGGAAAGGGGTGAGTCCCTGATGAAATCCTACATTCAAGCCAGGAACAGTCTGAAGCCTGGGGCCTGGCCTGTCAGTTCTGAGTGGAATCAGCAGCCCCAGAGTGAGAACTTACTGTGCTCTTTATGAGCCTGCCCGTGGCCACCCATGGACCAATTAGCATGCACTTACTTCCTTTTGAGCCCATAAAAATCCCAGACCCAGCCAGACTCACACAGACGTTGGGACTACCAGCTGTGGAAAGGAGCTATCCACTCTGCTGAGAGCTGGACACTTGTCTAGATGACCTGCAGAGAGGAGCTACCCCCTTCCAGTCTCCTCAGAGCTGTTCTTTTGTTCAGTAAAGCTCCTCTCTGCCTTGCTCACCTTCCAGTTGTCCACATACCTCATTCTTCCTAGATGTGGGATAAAAACTCTGGACCAGGTGAATGGCGGGACTGAAAGAGCTGTAACACAAACAGGACTGAAATACGTCCCCCTGCTCACCATGTTTGGGGGTGATGAGAAGGAGAGAAGAGCTGCAGCTCTGCAGGAAACCCAGACCTAGGAGCTCCCAGAGCCAGAGCTATGACACCCTCTTTGGGGCTCTGTGGTTTCTGTTATCTCCAAGCTTTCCAGTGTCACCATGTTCCTCTTGTCCAGACGTGGGTGCCTGCAGTGGAAGCCACTTGCGGTGCATCTGATCCAGCCTCAGGCTTGCATGGAGAAAGTGCCTGGAGCTGCCCACCCTGCTGCAGCAGCTGGCATGCCTGGCTGTGCGCTCTTGCCAGACCCTGCACTCACTCATGCACCCGTCACTGCTCTGTGCCAGACTCGCCTTTGGCAGGTGTGGGATCTGGGCTGATGGCATGAGCCGTGCACAGCGTATCAGGCCGAGGGGGTGGAATGAGCCCAGCGGGCCCAAGAAAACTTGCACAAAAGGTGCCACCAGCCACAGAGGTTTCCAGCTGGAAAAGCGGCATCCTGCGGATCCCTAGAAAGAAACTTAGATTATTGATTTGAGGTTTTTCCAAGTTTTAAATTACAGATATTAAATGTTATACATTTTCTTTTACGTGTTTCTTTAGTTACATCTGCAAAATTTTGACATCTTGCAACAGTTTGAGTCCTCTGAGAAGCAGATGCCAACATGGGTTTAAATGTGCAAAAAATCTATTAGGGAAAAATGCCTGTGTGAGAAAATGAAAAGGGAGCTGTAGGAGACTAAGAGAGTCATCAGACTCTGATGTAGGTTTGACCCCAAGTTAAGAAAGAACGAGGGTGGGTAAAAGCATCTCATACTACAGTGTATTTCTAAGGAAAGTGGTAAGTTGACTGGGGAGTTCTTGTGCCAGAGTTTTCTGTCAGAGAAGTCTCATATCACCCAACCAGGGAACTACATTAGTATTCCTGCCTTACTCAGTCATTGGCTGGAAGCAGCCCATGGGAATCATGGCCTTGGTGTAAATGCAGAGATGGATTGCAGAGTGCAGCAGCTGGGGCCCTTGATCCCAGTCCTTATACTCCATCATAGTTGTTATTGAGTTCTAGTTACTATAGTCAAAGAACATATGTTAAAGGATTTCAAAAATCTTTTATTAAGATTTTTTTTTTGAGTCAGAGTTTCATTCTTGTTGCCCAGGCTGGAGTGCAAATGGCATGATCTCTGCTCACCACAACCTCTGCCTCCTGGGTTCAAGCGATTCTCCTGCCTCAGCCTCACGAGTAGCTGGGATTACAGGCATGTGCCACCATACCCGGCTAATTCTTTGTATTTTTAGTAGAGACGGGATTTCACTGTATTAGCCAGGATGGTTTTGATTTCCTGACCTCAGGTGATCCGCCCACCTCAGTCTCCCAAGGTGCTGGGATTACAGGCATGAGCCACCGCACTTGGCCCAGATTTTTAAAAATTGCTCAGAGTGTGGTCTGTCTTGGTGAATATTGTTTTGTGAACTTGAAGATAATTTCTATTTGGCTCTTAGGCAGAATGTTTTGTAAATGTCAGTTAGGTCAAGTTACTTGATGTTAAAATTTCCTGTTTTCTTACTGATTCTCTCTCTCTCTCTTTCTCTCTCTCCCTCTCTCCCTTTCCATTTCCTTTTCCCTTTCCCTCCCTTTGTATCTCCCCTTTCTGTCCTCCCTCTCTCACACCTTTCTCTCTCACTCTCTGTCTCTCCTTTGTCTATTATTTTTCTAGTCTATATTTTATGTGTGTACTTTAGGTGGCTGCTATTATTAAGCCTTCAATTTCAGTGATCTTCTGTAGTGTCTAAGCTGTTATTTATCTTATTTGTTATGTTTTTCATTTTAAAATTGTGTGTGTTTTTAACACATACAACACATAAAGTTGTGTGTGTTTTTAACACATACAACACATAAAGTTGTGTGTGTTTTTAATCTTTAGATGTTCTGTTTGGGTCTTTTTTGCACCTTTGATTTCTCTCATCATTCATATTTCTTCTCTACCTTCATGAACATGTGGAATATATTTATGCTAGCTGTATTAATATCCTTGTCCTGCTAATTTCACATTTCTGTCCTTTCTGAGTCTGCTTCTATTGACTGATTTTTTTTTCCTGAAGTGCGTTACATATTTCTGTCTTTTTGGAATACCTGGTAATTTTTGGTATTCCATTAAATATTATAAGACTTTGGGGATGCAGTTAAGTTAGCTATAATCTATTATATCCTTGCAAATCTTGCTTTTAAGCATTGTTAGCATGTACAAGAACAGATTTTAATGTTAGGCTAATTTAGCTCCACTTTCATGGTGATACTATTCTGAAGACCCTATCTGATGCCATATGTATTTATTGAGAGGTCTTTTTACCTTGTTTATTGGGAATATATGAACTGTTTCTGTATGAGCTTTGAGAATTGTTTAATACGTTGCTTTCCAGGTTCATTTCTTGGTGTTCAGTAATTTCCACTCATGTGCAGCTCAAAACCCAGACAAAAGTTGAGGACATCACTGTGAAATTCTCTAGAGCAGAGGTGGACAAACGGCAGCTAACTGACTAAATCCCACCTGCTACTTGTTACTGTAATTAAAGTTTTATTGTAACATAGCCATTCTCATTCATTTACATATATTTTTCTGCTTTTACATTATAATAGCATCATTGGATAGTTATGATGCAGATCATATGGCCTGCAAAGCCTAAAATACTTATCTGCTCCTTACAGAAAATATTTGTTAACTCCCACTTTAGAGTTTTTTCTCTGTGTGGCATTTTCCTCTCTGGTAATCTGCCCTGCAAATTATAGCTGCCCTGGGATCCCTGAAGTCTGATTTTCGTCTCCTTGATTCCTAGGCTCTGTTTGGGTTACTTCTCTATGTATTATAGCCTGGAAATGGCCCCCATGCAGGAAGCCAGGGCAATCAAAGGGTTCATTTCATTTGTTTTTCTTCCCTTGGGGCTCACAGTTCTGTACTGGCTGTTACTCAATTTCTGGAAACCATTGATTCTTATTTTGTTCAGTTTTCTAGTTGCTTAAGTGGGGAATGGTCAATCTGGTCTTGTTATTGTATAATGGTCATATGCAGGAGAAGCAGCAGAATATTTTGAGACTTGTTTTTGTTGTTTTGTATATCAAGAATTAGTTGCTTTATATTGCTATGTAATATTCCATTTGTTTGAATATAAATGCTCCTCAATTTATTTGATGGGGCATGTCTAGATAAACCCATCATAAGTTGAAAATACCATAAGTCAAAAATTCATTTAATATACCTAACCTGCTGAACATCATAATTTAGTATAGGCTTCCTTAATACAAGTACTCAGAACACTTACATTAGCCCAGCATCATGAGAGAGCATCCTATTGCATGTTGCTAGCCCAGGAAAAGATCAAAATTCGAATTACAGTTTCTACTGAATGCCTGTTGATTTTGCGTCATCATGAAGTCAAAAACTTGTAAGTCAAACCGTCATAAGTCAGGGAATGTGTGTATATCTGTTTAGCAATTCTCTTGTTGGGGAATACCTGAGCTGTTTATAGTTTTTGACTATTACTAGTAAAGCAGCTGGCTGGGCACAGTGGCTCATGCCTGTAATCCTAGCACTTTCAGTCATATTTAATGTTGTCAATCTTTTTAATTTTAGTTATTTTGGTGATGATTGATAGTATCTCATTGTAATTTAGATTTTTATTTCCTGGAGAACTAATGGTTTTCAGCATTTTTTATTCATTCGTTTGCCTTTTTTCTTTTCTTTTGGGATGGAGTCTCGCTCTGTCGCCCAGGCTGGAGTACAGTGGCGCGACCTCAGCTCACTGCAAGCTCCGCCTCCCGGGTTCACGCTATTCTCCTGCCTCAGCCTCCCAAGCTGCTGGGATTACAGGCACCCACCACCATGCCCGGCTAATTTTTGGTATTTTTAGTAGAGACGGGGTTTCACCGTGTTGGCCAGGCTGGTCTCAATCTCCTGACCTCGTGATCCGCCTGTCTCGGCCTCCCAAAGTGCTGGGATTACAGGCATGAGCCACTGCGTCCGGCCTCGTTTGCCTTTTTTATATCTCTTTTTGTGATGACTCTATTAAAATCTTATGTCCATTAAAAAAATTGAGTTGTTTGTGCTTTTACTATTGATTTGTAAAATGTTTTACAATGTGTTGAACATAAGTCCTTTGTCAGACATCTGTTTTATGAATAATTTCTCTTGTCTGTGGCTCACTTTTTCTTTTTCTTAGTAATGTTTTTTGATGAACTGAAGTTATAAATTTTGATGAAGTCAGATTTATGAATGTTTTTCTTTTAAGGTAATTTTTGTGTCCTATCTAAGGAACCTTTTCCTTCCCCCAAGTCACAACGATAATTCTCCTGTTTAGAAACTTTGTAGTTTTTGCATTTATAGTTGGGTTCCTGATCCATCTTGTATTAATTTTTATGTATGGTATACAGTACCTGTTTGGGTTTCTTTTTTGCATGTGAACATTTAGTTGTATTTGTAGAGAATACTTTTCTTCATTGGATTGCTTTCACATATTTGGTGCCTTTGTTGAAAATCAATTGACTGCATATAAGTTTAGGTCTATTTCTGTTTTCCTTATTCTGTTTCAATAACTTATCTTGATTACTATAGTAATTCTTGAATTAAGGTAGTATAAGTGTTCCAATTCTTTTTCTTTTTCAAGATTGCTTTTTGCATATCCTTAACATTTTAGATTCAGTTTGTCAGTTTTTACAAAAATTCTTGGTAAAAGTATAATTGATATTCTGATTGGATCTATAGATCAATGTGGGGAGAATTAAGATCTAAAATACTGAGTCTTCCACTACATGTACATGGTATGCTTCATTTATTTAGGGCCTCTTTATCTCAGCAATGTTTTGTAGTTTTCAGTGGTTTGTGTTAGACTTATTGTCATTTTTTTCCCTAAGTATTTTATGTGTGGGATGCTCTTTTCAAGGAAATAGTTATTTCAAATCTCATTTTCTATTGCTTAATCCTGGTATGTATATTTTTACATTGGGCTTGCGTGCGATGAGCTTTTCTATTTTACTTATTGAGTAGTCGTTTTTAGATTTTTTAGGATTGTTTATATAAACAATTGTGTTAACTGCATTTAGAGACAGTTTTACTTCTCTGCCTTTTATTTCTGTTACTTGCCCTATTGCAGTGCCTTATTCCCCACCTAAGAGAGAAATCATTTAGTCTTTTGACATTATATGTCATACTAGCTGTAGAATTTTCATGAATGTCTTTCATCAGATTGAGGAAAGTTCCTTCCATTTCTAGAGTACTGAAATTTTTGAAAAGTTATGAGTAGATGTTGAATTCTGTCAAGTGCTTTTTCTGTGTTTATTAAATATCATTTTTCTTCTTTATACTGTTAGTGATTTAAATTGATTCATTTTTATATATTAACTTTGCATTCTTGTGATAAATTCTACATGGTTATGATATATGTGAATTCAATTTGATAATATTTTTATTAAGGATTTTTGTGTCTGTATTCATCAGGGATATGGCTCTATACTTTTCCTGTAGATGTCTTTGTTTAGCTTTGGAGTAATATAATGTTTTTATCAGTAATGCTAGCAATGGTTTTGTTAGCGTCATTGGCTTCACTTGAAAGTGGGGTCTACTACCTTATGTTTGAAAGAGTTTGTATGAAATTAATGTTTTTTTTTTATGTGTTTCTATAGGGTTCAGTAGTGAAACCATCTGGGACTCTAATTTGTTTGTATATAGGTTTTTTATAAACTCAGTTAAAAAATCTACTCAGCTTTTCTCTATTTTTTTTAGTAAGTTGTATTTTTCAAAGAATTTGAGAATTTCATCTAAAGTGTATTTGTTGACATAAAGTTGTTTATAATATTTTCTTAATTCTTTAAATGCCTATAAGAGTTACACTGCTAATTTTTAGCAAATTCCCAGCACTCTGCCTTTAATCTTGATTAGTCTAGGTAGATGTTGTTGATCTAGTCACTGAACCGGTTTTTTCTTAAACAGTTATTGAAGTATAATTTACATACAATAAAATCCACTCACATTAAGCATATGATTTAATAATTTTTTAGTAATATTAAAGAGATCTGCAACCATAATCTTGTTTTAGAATAGTTTATCACCTGCAGAAGATGCCTTGTGATAGTTGATAGTTACTTCTGCTTTCACTCCGAGCCCTAGGCAACCACTTCTCTACTTTCTGTTTCTGTATAGTTATCTTTTTTGACATTTTCTATAAATAGAATAATACAAAATGTAGTCTTTTGAGCCTAGCTTCTTTGACTTAGTGTAAAGTTTTTGTGCTTCATCCTTGTTTTAGTGTGGCTTTGTTAGACTTTAGTATGAGGATAATATTGACCCCATAAAATGTTTTGGAAAATATTCCCTTGTCCTCTGCTTTCTAGAAGAGTTTCTGAACCATTGGTATTATTTTTTCTTGAAATATTTGATGGAATTTACCAGTGAACCATCTGGTTTTGGCTTTTATTAATGAGAGGATTTCCAAATACTGTTTCAATTTCTTTACTAATAATAAGCCTATTCACACTTCCTTTTTCTATCCCCGTTTCTTTTTCCTTCCTCTCTTTTCCCTCCCTCTCTTCCTTTCCTCCCCTTGCCTCCCCTTCCCCATTCTCCTATTCCTTTTTCTTTTTCCTTCATTCCTTGTCTTGATATTTTGAGTATTCCTAGAAATTGGTCAGTTTCTTCTAAGTTGAATTTCTGTAGGGTCAGGATCACGTTCACTCTTTTATTTCTTATTTTGGTAGTTTTGTTCCTTCTCTTTTTTTTCCCTTGGCACATCAACCTAGCGGTGTGACAGTCTTGTTGATCTTTTCAAAGAATCAACCTTGGTTTTAAGAATTTTTAAAAAATTTTTTTTGATTTCCATTTCATTGATCTCCATTCTAATATTTATGGTTGTCCTTCTGCTTATAAGCTTTGCTCTTCTTTTCCTAATTTCTTAAGGTGGAAACTTGGGTTATTTATTTGAGGTCTTTCTTCTTTTCTAAAAATAGGCATTTAAAGCTATAATACCTCTACATACTGCTTTTGCTACAATAATATGTTGTATTTTCATATTCATACAATTGGATACATTTTTAAATTTTTTCTTGTGATTTCTTGTTTGACCATGGATTATTTAGAGGTTGTTGTTCTAATTTAATTCCACTTTGGTTTGAGGGCATGCTTTGTATGATCCCAATTTTTAAAATTTACCGTTACTTATGTTATGGCCAAATATATTTTTTATTGTGGAGAATGTTCCACAAGTACTTGAAATTTTATTCTATATTTGGGAAGAATGTGTTAGATGTTAGTTACATCATGTTGCTTGATGGTTATGTTGAAGTCTTCTGTGTCCTTACAGATTTTCTGTCTAGTTTGTCTATCAATTATTGAGTGGAGTTTTGAAATCTCTGACTATTATTGTTGAATTGTTTATTTCTCTCTCAATTCTGTCCAGCGTTGCTTCATGTATTTTGAGACTCCTTTTGTATGTTTATAATTTTTATATCTTCATGATATTGACCCTTTTATCATTATGAAATGCTTTTGTCTCTAGTAACAGTTTTTGTCTTAAAGACTTGTTTTATTTGCCGGGCACGGTGGCTCACACCTGTAATCCCCAGCACTTTGGGAGGCCGAGGCGGGCGGATCATGAGGACAGGAGATCGAGACCATCCTGGCTAACACGGTGAAACCCCGTCTCTACTAAAAATACAAAAAATTAGCTGGGTGTGTTGGCGGGCACCTGTAGTTCCAGCTACTCAGGAGGCTGAGGCAGGAGAATGGCATGAACCCAGGAGGCGGAGGTTGCAGTGAGCCAAGATCGCACCACTGCAGTCTGGCCTGGGTGAAAGAGTGAGACAACGTCTCAAAAAAAAAAAAAAAAAGACTTGTTTTATTTTAGTACAGCTACTTCAGCTCTCTTATGGTTATTGTTTACATTGTTTATCTTGTTTCACACTTTTGCTTTCAACCTATTTTATATCTTTGATTCTAATGTGTGCTGGATGTTTTTCATTTGGATAGTCTTTGTTTTTATAGTGTTCAAGCTATTTACGTTTAATGTTTGTTTTGTATATTTCTCATGGTGCTTTTTGTTCTTCTCTTCCTCATTTATTGCTCTTTTTTGTGTTAAATAGATATTTTCTTGTGCACATTTAAATTATTTTCTTTTTACTATGCATATTTTTAAGTGTTTTTATATTGGTTGACCTAGGGTTACAATATGCATATTGACTTATTACAATTGACTTCATATTAATACTAATTCAGTGTTAGTAATATGTAGAATATTTAATTCTGTATAGCTTCATTCCTTTTCCTCTCCTGGAGAGTGCCATTGTCATATGTATTATATTTTATATGCTGTAAGATTAACCATACAGTTTTACAGGTTTTTTTTTGTAGCTGTTTTGTAAATTTGTTAAGAGGAATAAAGAGAGAAAAGTTTTTATTCAGTCTTTTAGATTTGTCTATGTAATTACCTCTTGAGTATTCTTCATTTCTTTGTGAGAATTTGAGTTACTGCTTGGTATCATTTCCTTTTAGCCTGCAGGACATCTTTACTATTTTTACAGATTCCTCAGTCTTTACCTGGGAATGTCTTTATTCTGCCTCAGTTTTGTAGGGTAGTTTATTTGGATAAAGAATTCTTGGTTTAGTGTTTTTCTTTTAGCCGTTTGAATATATCGTTCCACTACCTTCTGACTTCTATGGTTTCTGATGCTAAGTCAGCTGTTAGTCTCATTGAGGGTCCATTGTGTGTGATAAGTATTTTCTCTTTTGCTGCTTTTAAGATTTTCTCTTTGTGTTCATCTTTCTGTATTTTTAGGGCCCAGCAGGGCTTTAACTTTACTAATTTTGTCACCCTTTTTGGGCTTTAGCATGAACTGGTAGTTTAGATTTTCATTGTGTTTTAAAAATAGTTACAGCCTGAATTTATTTTTATATGATTCCCTCAAGTTTTATATAATTTTCCTCAAGCTTTTATTGCCATGTAATTCAATAATACCTCTCTGAGGAATGACTACTTAAGCATCTTTGTTATAAGAAATGGTGATACCGTGTTAATTTTTTTGTTTTACTTCATGTTGTGGCGTTATGTACTGTTGCTTTCAGATTTTTTTCTTGCTTCATGGGATTTCATAAACATATCCCCTATAGATGTATTTACTCTATATATGTCACATAAAAACACATATAAAAATAAGGCTTATAATAATTAAAGTATTGACTTTTCTGGAGGACTATATAATCTTAATAAGATGTTTTCCTTTTGATAAATATTGAATGATAATCTTTAAGACTAGGTAAAAGATACCATAGTATATTTAGTATTTGCATTGAGACATGTATTAGTCTCTTTAAGAGTTAATGTCTATAAATATTTAACTCTGGACTATGTCACTGTCAAGTAATATTTTGGGCTAGAGTTCCCCACTGAGTATCTAATTTTGTTGCCTTATTCTTTTAGAAGTGTTACTGTGAGCAATAGCCAGGCAACTGAAAGAAAGAAGGTGAGTGGGACCCAAAAAGAAGGACAAAAACAGATGGAAAGGAAATAAAATAATAAGAAATTTCTTAAACAGTGTTTGTTTTGGATAGTTTTCTTGTTAAGCACATGGAAATACTTTGCACATTTGAGAATCACTGACTTACATGCTATTTTGGAGAAACAGCAAATCACTCATGTAATATAAACACAATTATAGATTTCTTTGCTGTAATTTTTTCATTTCTGGGGCTTACTTTTCCGTAAGATACAAAACGTTCCTTCTTACAGATCATTGCTTAACAATATATTTGGAGGATTGCAAATTTAAATTGAATGGTACAATTAATGCAATAAATGATAGATATTCAAAATTTCTGAATCCTGATAGTCTTGTTGAGTTATAGTCTGCTCTAAAGATGAATGTTACTAATGAGAATGGACTTTTTAGTATACGCCTAAAGTCAATATAATGAAGTGTTTTGAACTGCCTGTGGTCCTAGATTTCTAATATGTCTGTTATTATACTAATAAGATCTTAAGACTGAAGAGCATTTTATAGTATTCAGTGAACTTGCATGTAAATATGCACTGTGGATATTATTAATTCCCTTCTTTTTTTTACAGATATGATCACTAAGCACAGGTGGACAGTGGAAATCAGAGTGAGAGTATATGGCTGTAGATTCTATAATTCTTTTTCCATTGTACCACCAGTAAGGAATTTGATACAGAAAATAATGTTAGATACTGAACAAATAATTTTTTCTTCGGTAGGAGGTCCTATATTGCTGTTGTGTATCCTTAGTTTCTTTCTTTCTTTTTTTTTTTAAATGGGGTGTCACTCTGTCACCCAGTGTGGAGTGAAGTGGCATGATCTCAGCTCACTGCAACCTCCCCATCTCACGTTCAAGTGGTTCTCCCGCCTCAGCCTCCTGAGTGGCTGGGATTACAGGTGCCTGGCACCACACCAGGCTAGTTGTTGTATTTTTAGTAGAGATGGGATTTCACCATTTTGACCATGCTGGTATCAAACTCCTGACCTCAGGTGATGCACCTGCCTCAGCCTCCCAAAGTACTGGAATTATAGGTGTGGGCCACCTCACCTGGCCTTATTTAGTTTCTTTAATGAAGATTATTGATATGATATGGCTGTGTAAAATAGTCTTTTTATTTCTGTATTATTGATTTTCATTTTAGAAATTAGATCCACAAATGTAATTACTTCTGATGCATGGCCTTTTATCCTTGAAATGGTAAATAACACATACTTTTTCATTGCTGTTACCCATTCTAGCAAAGTTTCACTGTTTTATCAAAGGTATTCAAGTTATTTTCCATGTTCTGCATAGTAGTAACATGTACTTTTCCACTAGGAGCATTTGAGTTGAGAATGAGAACTAATGGGGAATAATTGTAGCCTCCTGTTACTATGTTTCATGGCACAACCAAGAGACTTTTTTCCTTGCCTTTATACAGAAGATAGGCAGAATAGCAGTGAGATAGGTGTTGGGTTTTAATGTTTGAGAGCTTCAAATTCTGGCTCTGTGAGTTATGCTTTTGGGACTTGGGCAAATAACCTTATTCATGCTTGGAATAACCTTACAGTGTATTGTTTGTGAGAATAAGATAATATAATGAAATGCTCAATCTTTGAGCAGCCTTCTTAGATGTTGTCAAATGCAAAGATGAGTTCCTCCATGGATAACATGGTAGATTAACTTAAAAACAAGCAAATAAAAAGAAACCAAGAACAGCAACAAAGTAAAAAGAAAGAGAGTGATTAGGTGACTGGCTCCAAATATAAGATAAACATTTCTTAAATCTGGATGTAGAATCTGCCAAAATGTTAAGTTGTCAAAAAACAAAGGGAAAATGATCTGTTTTAAGCCATAAATAGGCTAATCAGAAATAATGACATGGTCTGGTAAGAAATATTAATGACTTTTAAAGTCATTAAAGGATTACTTAAAGGATAATTGCATTTTCCAGATAACAGGGAACCTAAAACTAACTTTATTCTTTTTTGGGTTCATACTTTATGGGAATTTCTATTAAGCAGATTATCATCTAGTGAATACATGAAAAGACAAACATTGGTCTGGTCATCAAGTAGAATTACTGGGAGCAGTAAACAAGAATGTAAAGTAAGTCAAAGCCTTGGATGAACTCATCCAAGTTAAGAAACAATCTGGTGAGATCTTGATTAAAATTCTGCTGTTAAAGAAGCTGCTTAAGTACTTATGAATTTGTACTTCTTTGTACTACCATGGTGATTAATGTCAATGCATTTTTCTCGGCAAGGATACACAGGCATATCTGGTTTTCTTTTGCTTTTCTTTATTGTGCTCTGCAGATACTGCGTTTTTAAACAAATTGAAGGTTTCTGGCAATCCTGTATGGGGCAAGTTTATCAGCCACCATTTTTCCAACAGCATATTCTCACTTTGTGTCTCTGTGTCACACTTTGGTAATTCTCACAATATTTCCAACTTTTAAATTATTATTATTAATATTTTTATTTTACTTTAAGTTCCGGCATACATTTACAGAACAATTGCAGGTTTGTTACGTAGGTACACATGTGCCGTGGTGGTTTGCTGCACCTATCAACCAATCATCTAGGTTTTAAGCTCTGCATGCATTAGGTATATGTCTTAATGCTCTCCTTCCCCTTGCCTGCCACCCACCAACAGGCCCTGGTGTGTGATGTTCCCCTCCCTGTGTCCATGTGTTTTCACTGTTCCGCTCCCACTTATGAGTGAGAACATGCGGTGATTGGTTTTCTGATCCTGTGTTAGTTTGCTGAGAATGATGGCTTTCAGCTTCATCCATGTCCCTGCAAAGGACATGAACTCTTTCTTTTTTATGGCTGCGTAGTATTCCATGGTGTATATGTGCCACATTTTCTTTATCCAGTCTATCATTAGTGCGCATTTGGGTTGGTTCCAAGTCTTTGCTGTTGTGAATAGTGCTGCAATAAACATACGTGTGCATGTGTCTTTATAGTAGAAGGATTTATAATCCTTTGGGATTGCTGGGTCAAATGGTATTTCTGGTTCTAGTTTCTTGAGGAATTGCCACACTGTCTTCCACAATGGTTAAGCTAATTTACACTCCTACCAACAGTGTAAAAGTGTTCCTATTTCTCCACATCCTCTGCAGCATCTATTGTTTCCTGACTTTTTAATGATTGCCATTCTCACTGGTGTGAGATGGTATCTCATTGTGGTTTTGATTTGCATTTCTCTAATGACCAGTGATAATGAGCCTTTTTTAATGTTTGTTGGCTGCATAAATGTCTTGTTTTGAGAAGTGTCTTTCATATCCTTTGCCCACTTTTTGATGGGGTTTTTTTTGTTGTTGTTGCTGTTTTTTTCTTGTAAATTTGTTTAAGTTCCTTATAGATTCTGGATATTAGACCTTTGTCAGATGGGTAGATTACAGAAATTTTCTCCCATTCTGTAGGTTACCTGTTCATTCTGATGATAGTTTCTTTTGCCATGCAGAAGCTCTTTAGCTTGGTTAGATCCCATTTGTCAGTTTTGGCTTTTGTTGCCATTGCTTTTGGTGTTTTAGTCATAAAGTCTTTGCCTATGCCTATATGATGAATGGTATTACCTAGGTTTTCTTCTAGGGTTTTTATGGTTTTGGGTTTTACCTTTAAGTGTTTAATCCATCTTGAGTTAATTTTTGTATAAGGTGTAAGGAAGGGGTCCAGTTTCAGTTTTCTGCATATGGCTAGCCAGTTTTCCCAACACCATTTATTAAATAGGGAATCCTTTCCCCATTTCTTGTTTTTGTCAGGTTTGTCAAAGATCAGATGGTTGTAGATGTGTGGTGCTACTTCTGAGGTCTCTGTTGTGTTCCATTGGTCTATATATCTGTTTTGTTAACAGTATCATGCTGTTTTGGTTACTGTAGCCTTGTAGTATAGTTTGAAGTCAGGTAGCATGATGGCCCCAGCTTTGTTCTTTTTGCTTAGGATTGTCTTGGCTATACAGGCTCTTTTTTGGTTCCATATGAAATTTAAGTAGTGTTTTCTAACTCTGGGAAGAAAGTCACTGGTAGCTCGATGGGAATAGCATTGACTCTATGAATTTCTTTGGGCAATATGGCCTTTTTCATGATATTGACTCTTCCTATCCATGAGCATGGAATTTCTTTCCATTTGTTTGTGTCCTCTCTTATTTCCTTGAGCAGTGATTTGTAGTTCTCTTTGAAGAGGTCCTTCACGTCCCCCTTAAGTTATATTCCTAGGTATTTTATTCTATTTGTAGCAATTGTGAATGGGAGTTCACTCATGATTTGGTTCTCTGCTTGTCTATTGTTGCTGTGTAGGAATACTTGTGATTTTTGCTCATTGATTTTGTATCCTGAGACTTTGCTGAAGTTGCTTATCAGCTTAAGGAGTTTTTGGGGTGAGATGATGGGATTTTTTAAATATACAATCATGTCATCTGCAAACAGAGACAATTTGACTTCCTCTCTTCCTATTCAAATACTCTTTATTTCTTTCTCTTGCCTGATTGTCCTGGCCAGAACTACCAGTACTATGTTGAATAGGAGTGGTGAGAGAGGGCATCCTTGTCTTATGCCAGTTTTCAAAGGGAATGCTTCCAGCTTTTGCCCATTCAGTATGATATTGGCTATGGGTTTGTCATAAATAGCTCTTGTTATTTTGAGATACATTCCACCAATACCTAGTTTATTGAAAGTTTTTAGCATGAAGGGGTATTGAATTTTGTTGAAGGCCTTTTCTGCATCTATTGAGAAAATCATGTGTTTTTTGTCATTGGTTCTGTTTATGTGATTGATTACATTTTTTGATTTGTGTATGTTGAACCAGCCTTGCATCCCAGGGATGAAGCCAACTTGATCATGGTGGATAAGCTTTTGGATGTGCTTTTGAATCTGTATATTCCTGGGCTTTTTTCACATAGTCCCATGTGTCTTTGAGGCTTTGTTTGTTTCTTTTCATTCTTTTTTTCTAATCTTGTCTTCATGCCTCATTTCAGTAAGTTGATCCTCAATCTCTGATACCGTTTCTTCCACTTTACAGATTCAGCTATTGATACTTGTGTATGCTTCACGAAGTTCTCGTGCTGTGTTTTTCAGCTCCATCATGTCATTTATATTCCTCTCTAAACTGGGTATTCTAGTTAGCAGTTCTTGTAACTTTTTGTCAAGGTTTTTAACTTTCTTGCATTGAGTTAGAACGTGCTCCTTTAGCTCAGAGGAGTTTGTTATTTCCCAGCTTCTGAAGCCTACTTCTGTCAGTTCATCAATCTCATTCTCCATCCAGTTTTGTGCCCTTGCTTGAGAGGAGTTGTAATCATTTGGAGAAGAAGAGGCATTCTGGTTTTTGGAATTTTCAGCATTTTTACGCAGGTTTTTCCTCATCGTCGTGGATTTATCTACCTTTGATCTTTGAAGCTGATGACCTTTGGATGGGGTTTTTGTGTGTGGGTCCTTTATGTTGATGTTGATGTTGTTGCTTTCTATTTGTTAGTGCTTCTAACAGTCAGTCCCTTCTTCGGCAGGTCTGCTGCAGTTTGCTGGAGGTCCACTCCAGACCCTGTTCACTTGGGTATCACCAGTGAAGCCCGCAGAATAGCAAAGATTGCTGCCTGCTCCTTCCTCTGGAAGCTTTGTCCCAGAGGGGCACCGACCTGATGCCAGCCTGAGCTCTCCTGTATGACGTGTCTGTTGACCTCTGTTGGGAGGTGTCTCCCAGTCAGGAGGCACGGGGGTCAGGGACCCACTTGAGCAGGCAGTCTGTCCCTTAGCAGAGCTGGTGCACTGTGCTGGGAGAATTCCTCTTGTCAGGATCAGCTGCCCTCTTCAGAGCTGGCAGGCAGGAACAATTCAATCTGATGAAGCTGGGCCCATGGTCACCCCTTCCATCAGGTGCTCTGTCCCAGAGAGACGGGGGTTTTGTCTGTAAGCCCCTGACTGGGCTGTTACCTTTCTTTCATATATGCCCTGCTCAGTGAAGAGGAATGTAGAGAAGCAGTCTGGCCACAGCTGTTTTGCTGTGCTGTGGTGAATTCTGCGCAGTTCAGACCTCCCAGTCTCCTTAACACTGTCAGGGAAAACCACCTACTAAAGCCACAGTAATGGCAGATACCTCTCCCCGCACCAAGCTCGACTGACCTAGGTTGACTTCACACTGCTGTGCTGGCAGCGAGAATTTCAAGCCAGTGGTTCTTAGCTTCCTAGGCTCTGTGGGAGTGGGACTTGCTGAATGAGACCACTTGGCTCTCTGGCTTCAGCCCCCTTTCCAGGGGAGTGAATGGTTCTGTCTTGGTGGGGTTCCAGGTGCCACTGGGTTATAAAAAAAACCTCCTGCAGCTAGGTTGGTGTCTGTCTGCTCAAACAGCTGCCCCATTTTGTGTCTGAAACCCAGGGCCCTGGTGGTGTAGGCACATGAAGGAATCTCCTGATTTGCACATTGCAAAAACCGTGGGAAAAGTGTAGTATCTGGGCTGGATAGCACAGTCTCTCACAGCTTCCCTTGGCTGCGGGAGGGAGGTCCCCCAGCTCCTTGCACTTCCTGGGTGGAGCGATGCCCCACCCTTGCTTCTGTTCACCCTCCATGGGTTGGACCCACTGCCTAACCAGTCCCAGTGAGATGAACTGGGTACCTCAGTTGGAAATGCAGAAATTACCTTCCTTCTGCGTTGGTCTCACTGAGAGATGCAGACTGTAGCTGTTCCTGTTCAGCCATCTTGGCCCCTCCCCCCAACTTTTTTATTATTATCATATCTGTTGTGCTGAAATATGATCAATGATCTTTGATGTTACCATTGTAATTGTTTTAGGCTGCCAGGAACCACACCCATATAAGATAGGAAACTTAATCGATAAATGTTGCGTGTGTTCTACTCCACCAATTGCCCCATCTCTCATCTCTCTCCTTCTCCTCAGGCCTCCCTATTCCTTTAGACACAACAATATTTAAAATAGGCCAATTAACAACCCTACAGTGTCCTCTAAGTGTTCAAGTGAAGAGAACAGTCACATATGTCTGACTTTAAATCAAAAGCTAGAAACGATTAAGCTTCCTAAGGAAGGCTTGTGGAAAGCCAAGATAGCCAAAAGCTAGTCTTCTTGTGCTGAACACTGAGACAAATTGTGAATGCAAAGGAAAAGTTAAAAGTGCTACTCCAAAAGAAACGTTCTTGAAGGAAATTAAAAGTGCTGCTCTAGTGAACACATGAATGATAAGAAAATGAAACATGCTCATTGTTCATATGGAGAAAGTTTCAGTGGTCTGGGTAAAAGAGCAAACCAGTCATACCATATTCCCTTAAGTCAAAGTCTAATCCAGGTTGTAATCCCTAACTCTCTTCAGTCCTATGAAGACTGAGAGAGGTGAGAAAGCTGCAGGAGAAAAGTCTGAAGCTAGCAGAAGTTAATTCATGGAATTTAAGGAAAGATGCCATTTCTATAACATAAAAGTTGCTACCCGGAACAACATATTTTTCAGTGTAGATTAAACATCCTTCTACTGAAAGATGATGCCATCTAGGATTTTTGTAGCTAAAGAGAAGAAGTCAATGCCCGGTTTCAAAGTTTCAAAAGGCAAGGCTGCTGACTCTCTTTTTAGAGGCTAATGCAGCTGGTGACTTTAAGTTGAAGCCAGTGCTCATTCGCTTTTTTTTTTTTTTTTGAGATGGAGTCTCACTCTGTCACCAGGCTGGAGTGCAGTGGCACGATCTCAGCTCGTGGCAACCTCCGCCTCCTGGTTTCAAGCGTTTCCTCTGCCTCAGCCTCCTGAGTAGCTGGGACTACAGGCGCTCACCACCACGCCCAGCTAATTTTTTGTATTTTAGTAGAGATGGGGTTTCACCATATTGGCCAGGCTGGTCTCGAACTCCTCACCTCGTGATCCGCCCGCCTCGGCCTCCCAAAGTGCTGAGATTACAGGCATGAGCCACTGTGCCCGGCCTCATTTGCCATTTTGAAAATCCTAGGGTCTTTAAGAATTTTGCTAAATTTACTCCACCTGTGCTCTAAAATGGGCGCAACCAAGTCTAGGTGACAGCGTATCTGCTTACAGCATGGCTTGCTGAATATTTGAAGCCCAGTGTTGAGACCTACTCTTCAGAAAAGATTTCTTTCAAAATATTACTGTTCATTGACAATGCATCTGATCACTCAAGAGCTCTGACAGATGTACGAGGAGATGAAGGTTGTTTTCAAAATGTCAACATTACTAGTTGATATTTTGGAAGTTTCGGAAGAAGTTAATTCCAACCCCCATGGAAGGACTTTGAGCAGTTCAAGACTTAAGCGGAAGAGGTAACTGCAGATGTGGTAGAAACAATAAGAGAACTAGAATTAGCAGTAGAGCCTGATGGTGTAACTGAATTGCTGCAATCTCATGATAAAACTTGAATGGATGAGGAGTTGCTTCCTAGGGATGAGCAAAGAAAGTGGTTTCTTGAGATAGAATCTACTCATGGTAAAGATGCTTTGATTATTTTTAAAATTACAACAAAGGGTTTAGAATATTATATAAACTTAGTTGATAAAGCAGTGGCAGTTTTTTTTTATTATTATACTTTAAGTTCTGCGGTACATTTGTACAATGTGCAGGTTTGTTACATAGGTATACATGTGCCATGTTGGTTTGCTGTCCCCATCAACTTGTCATTTACATTAGTTATTTCTCCTAATGCTATCCCTCCCCCAGCCCCCCATCCCCTGACAGGCCCCGGTGTGTGATGTTCCCCTCCCTGTGTCCATGTGTTCGCATTGTTCAACTCTCACTTATGAGTGAGAACATGCGGTGTTTGGTTTTCTGTCCTTGTGATAGTTTGCTGAGAATGATGGTTTCCAGCTTCATCTACATCCCTGCAAAGGATATGAACTCATCATTTTTTATGGCTGCATAGTATTCCATGGTGTATATGTGCCACATTTTCTTTATCTAGTCTATTATTGATGGATGTTTGGGTTGGTTCCAAGTCTTTGCTATTGTGAATAGTGCCTCAGTAAACATACGTGTGCATGTGTCTTTATAGCAGCATGATTTATAATCCTTTTGGTATATACCCAGTAATGGGATTGCTGGGTCAAATGGTATTTCTAGTTCTAGATCCTAAAGGAATCACCACTCTGTCTTCCACAATGGTTAAACTAATTTACACTCCTACCAACAGTGTAAAAGCATTCCTATTTCTCCACATCTTCTCCAGCATCTGTTGTTTCCTGACTTTTTAATGATTGCCATTCTCACTGGCATGAGATGGTATCTCATTGTGGTTTTGATTTGCATTTCTCTAATGACCAGTGATGATGAGCTTTTTTTCATGTGTTTGTTGGCTGCATAAATGTCTTGTTTTGAGAAGTGTCTGTTCTTATCCTTTGCCCACTTTTTGATGGGGTTTTTTTTTTTTTTATAAATTTGTTTAAGTTCTTTGTAGATTCTGGATATTAGCCCTTTGTCAGATGGATAGATTGCATAACTTTTCTCCCATTCTGTAGGTTGCCTGTTCACTCTGCAGTGGTAGTATTTGAGAGAATTGACTCCAATTTTGAAAGAAGTTCTGTGCGTTAAATGCTTTCAAACAGCATCATGTGCTACAGAGAACTCTTTCATGAAAGGAAGAGTAAATCAATGTGGCAGACTTCATTGTTGTGCCATTTTAAGAAACTGCCACAGCTAGTCCAATCTTTAGCAACCACCACCCTGATCAGTCAGCAGCCATCAACATCCAGACAAGACCTTCCACCAGCAAAAAGATGCAATTTGCTGAAGGTTCAAATGGTTAACATTTTTTAGTAATAATGTATTTTACATTAAGATATGTGCACTGTGTTTTAGACATAATGCTATTGCACACTTACTAGACTATAGTAGAGTATAAACATAGCTTTTACATGCATTAGGAAATAAAAAATGTGTGTGACTCACTTTATGGCAAGGGTCTACAACCGAACCTGCAATATCTCCGAAGTATGCCCATATCTGCCTTTCGTAAGAATTGTGTATACTAGAAAGTCTTAAGGGACAAGGAATCTGTAGAGAAGTAAAGTTCTGGTTAAGCTTTTGTGAGATTATTACTGTGTTTGTGTGCATTAATAGATACATTGAATTTTGTCCTTGTCACATATATTTCATCTGTCATTCATGTAAGGTGTATACTTCAGTGGATTTATTTGGAGACCCAGGCATATCTCTTGCCTATTTTGGTGCTTTGGACTATCTTGGTAGGTCTTGAGATGTCTAGCCATAGGTAAGGATATTGGCATGGGGATTTAAAAATTCAGTGGTTGGTAGGATTGGAGATGATCTTTAATATTATGTCTACTTCTGAGATTCCATGAATTTCATTATTTATAGACATTCACATTACCCAGGTTTTCTGTGCCTTTCCAAGTCCTCATGGAATTCCTCATGCTACTCTAATTTGAGTCATTGTGAAAGATGTTAGTGACTTTTGAGAATCAGATTTTTACATTGGGAAATATGAAGATGAAAAAAATTGGCCCAGATAATCTCTGTTGACACTTACTAAAAATTTAAAAACATTAATCAAGACAAAAAATGAGAAGTGAATGGTTCTTAACTCATTTCTTTAAACGCACTACTGTTTTTTATTTTGTTCAAGAAAAAAAGTTTCACAATTTTTTTTAAGCAATAGTATAATCAGAACCAGAGGTCTGCTGAGTAAAATCATGCAGTTCAGTCTCTTTCCTCTTGACACCTTACTGATACCAGGAAGTTTTGATTGTGTTATATGTAGGTTGGTGACTTAAGATCAGGCATCACTCTTAAAACTCATAGTAGGTTTGAGTGGAGTGTTTTCAATTAAGAGCTTATTGATACTATGTTATGGGAATATATAACGCCTGGGAAAGTTACTAAGTGCTGGGTAAGAATGCAAAAGACAAAATGCGAAAAAGCTATAATTTAAGAAATTTTAAATTTTTGCCCAAGGCTAGGCTTAACTTTAAGAAAGATCAAGTTTTCTCTCCTGAATTGTTCCCAGGGCCTGAGACTAAATTTATGATAATTAATGTGTTTTGTATATTGTCAGTCTTAAACTGTAACATCATTTGTAACATTGTTTCTGCAGGAAGATGCCTTGAGTTCTAACTTTCAGGCTTTTGGAAGTTAGTGATTTTATCTTGTAATATTAAACAACAGTCTGTAGAGATGTGCAAAATATTCCCTCTCTTCCTGCTTCTCTTCCTGTTGATGATGATGATGAAGTAATAATAGTGGGTAGCATTTTGTAGACAGTTCTTTTATATCCTTTAAATTTATTTATTTAATTCTTTACAAGTAAAACTGAGACTTTTTTCTTTTTCTTTTCTTTTTTTTTTTTTTTTGAGACAGAGTCTTACTCTGTCGCCTAGGCTGGAGTGCAGTGGCGCGATCTCTGCTCACTGCAAGCTCCCCATCCCAGGTTCACGCCATTCTCTTGTCTCAGCCTTCTGAGTAGCTGGGACTACAGGCACCCACCACCACACCTGGCTAATTTTTTGTGTTTTTTAGTAGAGACGGGGTTTGACCTTGTTAGCCAGGATGGTCTCCATCTCCTGACCTCGTGATCCGCCCGCCTCAGCCTCCAAAGTGCTGGGATTACAGGCGTGAGCCACCATGCCCAGCTGAGACTTTTTTTTAAAGTTATTTTTGCTCAAGGTAGAGCTAGGATTTGACTGTTCAGAACTCTAAAGCCCCATGCTTTTAACATTGTGTTGGTCTAAGGGCACATTTAATATGGGGAGTCATAGGCTGATAGTGTATATGCTTGTGTTCTTGCTGGTGAGAAGATATATAGATGGGAAAGCTGTTGTGGTATGAAGAAACAAAATAAATATAGAATAAGATTGTTCTTTAAGTTATTTGTTGGTTAACCTGTAGTTAACTCATTACTTCACCAAGAATAGTTTTGGGTATTATGGAAATCTTGAAGCACATGTATTTCAAAATGAGTTAGAGGCCTTAGGCATTTAAAAAATACCACCAGTGCTGACATAATATGAGAACATAGTGTAGGATCTTGAGGCTTTTTTTTACATATTTAATGAATCTTTTATAGATATTATCAATTTTTATCTTGTCTCATGTAGTGCAGATTAATATTATGAATATAGTTGGTTAGTAATTTCCATGCTAATTTATATCTATTTGAAGATATAACACTTGAAAAACACTTAAAAGTAATTGCTTTTTTCCAAAAGATTGTATATTTCCAGAAAAAATGTTTTCTGTTTTAGTAATAAATGTAAAAACGTTCAAACTCATGAACATTTACATGAATTCATTGGATATAGGGAGACTGTATTAAGGATATAAATTATTTAAAACATCTTCCTTAGAACTGGAACAATAAGGTTATGTTGTTCAAAATGTTAAAGTTTAAAGAAAGAAATTTCTTTGTTAAGGGAAGACAAAGCATATTTGGCACTATGTATGAACATGCCTGTTTTGCTCACTGTGGAGCTCCCAATGCCTAAAATCATGTCATTAGGTTTTTTTCACCATTAAAAAAAATCAGTTTAATATTGAATTATTTTTTTAAAAAAATTTGAAAAGGTCTACAGGCATCTTAAAAATTGTCTGTACACTTGCTATTAATGAAAAAATTAGAAGAATTTCGAGCAAGAAAATATTCACCTGAATCAACATATTTTAGTGTCCTTAATGTTGAGCAATTAGCTGATAAGCTAGTTTGAACCTGACTTTCAGGATAGAATACTTTTGAGGTTGTATTTGTTTTTTTGCTTTCAACAAGGCAAGTCTTGATGCTAGATCAATTAGCAAATCTTGAAGAATTAACTTAAATGGTGTGGTAATTCCTGTTATTAGAGATATTTCTTAGAACTCATGAAATTCCTCCCTCCCACATGATATCAGATGTGTTGAGTTGAGAAAGTTGCTGGGCAGCAGTCTTGTATATCAGAGTCCAGTTCAAAGTTGTTAGAATGAGAAGTGTTTTTAAAATGTTATGGGAATGCCCGAATTACAATTGAACTTTGAAATTAAAAAGAAAACACAAGACAGTATAAAAATAAAGACCTATGAGAGTGTTGTAGCAAGTTGGGCTTTTTGTAACCTACCGTTTAAAATACAGATCTTTGAAGGCAGGTTTTTACTAATTATTTTATTACTTTGCTCTTGCTAAAGACAGCAAGGCAAGTAATTATCCTCAGATCTGAAGATTAAAAGTCTTATGATTTTTAAATAAATATTAAGCAAGGAGAGTAATTTTTATAACTGTTAGCACATATGCTTTGTGTGCTAGCTTTTTCCTAATGTAAAATAAATCTGAATATGCCATACGATTGGTGACAAATAAAAAACTCTTTGTGCAATTAAGAGAAAATCTGTTTATTTAAGAGCTCTCAAAGGTTGTAAAAGATTATACTTGGCTGTATGTGAAGGATAAATGTTGTGAAATAATGCCCCTTAGTTCCCCTTTTATAATAAATCTCAGCTGTGTGTTCAGCACAAGGGCTCAGTGCCAAAAAGAACAGGTTCAACTTGTCCGTGAGGATTTGCACCACAGTAAAGTGCACAACTGCTTTTGTAGAGGTCATTGTGGAGGTCAGGGCATGTACAGTTGAATGAAAGCAACTTTAGAAACATGGTAGATCATAGAGTTACTTGAGATTCAAAAATCAATGTTAACTTAAAACATTAAAAAGATGGAAAATCATAAGAACCTTCAAATATATTTTTATCTTTATCTACATATGTTAATATGTTTTCATACAGATTAAAAATAATTTCTTTGGCATCTTGTGCTAGTATAGTTTTAAGGATCTTCAGGATATTTTATAATTGCCAAGATTTGGAAGCGTTGACTATTTTAATATTTGTTAAATTCTTTAGAGTGTTCACATAATGAAGGTAGGATATGATGGTGGTAGAACAAAGTGTGCAGGGATATGTGCATGGTGGGAGTAAAGGCAGGGGAGTGTGGATGAGTTTTAATAAAAATATGGGTGTAATCTGGAAAATGTCTCTACAAGTCATATTTATCTTGAGTTTGTGATCGAAAGATTCGAAATTTAACAACAACAACAACAACAACAAAGAAAATGCAGTCTTATACAGTATGATTCTTTTTCCTAAATATCTCAAAAATACTTTTATACATTTGTGATAAATAGAAATAAATGAGAAATAGAATGTGGAGAGGCTGTAAGATCCCAGGACTCCAGCCAGTGCATTGAGTTTCATATAAAGAATACCTGAAAAGATATAACTAAGTAGATGCATAGCTTACCTGGGGTTATATTTTATCTAGAGCTGTACTTCATGACTCTTTTCTCGTTTCTTTTTGGTGACTATTTTTTAAAAAATGGTGATCATAGCAAAATGACAGGCAACCATTGGTTTCAGTGTGGGGATTAATTAGTAATCTTTAGAATGTGCTTCAGCAAATGCAGCTGATTGGCAGTAGCATCTGTCTCAACAACTGACGGAATGTTAGTACTTTTATCAAGTAATTTTCAGAAGGGCTCCAAAGCTGTTTTACTAAACTCTCTCATATGAACTGCTTTCTTTGTCCTCTAGGGCATTGTTTTACTAAATATACCTATCCATGAATTAACTAATTAGTGAAAGGAGGGCTATAAAATTGTTATTTTTTTAATTTTAAAAAATGGACACAAATGTGATAGTCTGTGTATTCTTGTATTTGTGGGACCACCACTATGCTCACTGATCACACACCTATGTTCTCAGATGAAAAATTTATAAAGGATTGTGATTTTGCTGTATTGTTTTTGTAGTTCGTCTCATAAAACATGTCTCTTAATTATGAAGAGTGATTTGTTAAAGTACAATAAACTGTGATTTAAAGGATTGATTAGTATAGTCAGCTTTCTAGAAAGGCAATTTACTTCTGCATTGCCAGGAATTACTCTTCTTAGTTGAAATAGCCTTTTTACTAAACTGGTTCATATTTCAAAGGATATGCAGTTTAACATTCATTAACAGACAAGCCATCAATTTTATATTGTTTGAAGAAAATATTATTTTTGCTTGTTATAAAAACAAGACAACTTCTAAGTGAGTATCTAATGAGGTTGTAGCACATCTCAGTAAAGATGAAATTTGCCTTAATCTGAATGTGTTATGGAAAAATTGAGTGTAAATATTTTCTAAAAATGAATTGATATGCTTTAATGAACTAGAGTAGCTTTCATTTAAAAAGTACTTATATACTAATGTTTTTTTAAACAAATGAGCACATTATATTTAAAAATGTTTAATAAATATAATATATTTTAAATGAAAATTTAAATAGATACTGTTAAATGCTTGAAAATAGGGACAGTTGTGGTGGTATACTTTCTGCTATATCTTCACAGTGCCTAACATCTACCAAATGTTTAATAAATAAATTTTCATATTTTAGTTCTATAATAGAGAAGTGCTTTGTGGATTTTAGCAGGATAGGGTTTAAAATCTGAGTAGGTTACTTGGTCTTGGAGAGCTTCAGTTTCTTTTCCTGTAAAACAGGTAAAACATACTTACCTCAAATGTGTATGTAATGCCTAACACAGTGCTTGGCACATAGTAGATGTTCAGTAAATATTTCTGTATCATTTTAGTGCAATTGCACTGTTAGTAATCCATTCCATATCTGCCTGACTTTAATAAAAGACAATTTATGTGAAATTTCAGGTGAGAAGGGTATCAAGTCAGTGTCTTAAATATTCTGTTCTTTTCTGCATTTTAGAGTAGATTTAATTGCATGGTGGTTTTATGAGTGTGATAGCGGTGGTGGTGGTGTTTGTGTGTATGTGCATTTGGTTTGGGGAAGTTAGATTGGGATGGTTAGAGTATTCATAGTGTTTGTTGTTTCTTTTTAGGACAGAAGAAAGGTAAAATCAGTGACAGTCTGGCTTAGGTCTTCACTTATTTTCTACAATGGGAATGGCAAAACAACTACTCCTTCTGTTGTTAAATGACCTCAAATAGAACGAGGACATTTGTTATGTAGGTTTTTTTGGAGATAGGGTAGATGATTAGAGGGATCATTTTAAAACATTTCTTCATTCATGAAACAAATATTCCTGATACATACCAACTACTGTACTAGGCACAGAAGAGTCAAATCTAAATAAAATGTGGTCTCTTAAATTATTCAGTCTCTATAATGGCGTAAAGAAACTTCTATCTTTTCACGGAAAAATATTTCTGCTTTAGAAGACTACTAATCTTACATGGTATTTTTGTTTTGCTTATGTAATAGTAGTAGTATTTGTAGATAATTTTATATAAAGCCATTTCTATATTACATTAGGAAATTTGGACTTATGTATAAGTTGTCATTGTTGGATAAAGTTCACTTATAGTGCCAAGTTAGGAATTCTTGGAAATTATTTTTGAAATTAGTAAAAGAAAGTGAGCTAAAATGCTCTATGCCTGAAAGTTTTTACAGAAAATTTCTTGCGAATACTGTTTTTCTTAAAATTAATGCAGACTCTTTTAAAGGAGGCAGGTTTTGTCTAATCAGATAGTCTCCTTGATGTTTTTCTTTTCTGATCTTTTTATAGAAACAGATATGGTTTGCTGGACACTATGTCCTCTTGGCAACAAATGGTAGTTTGGTAATAAGACAAGCATCAGAGAAATAATGTAAAAATAATACTTTTCAACATTGTATCACATTTATCAGTGCCCAAGGAAAAAATAAAACCTATAACAACAAAAACAAACAAAATAAACAAAATATTTTTCTTGTATTTTGCTTTTCCTTTAAGCTACTGGCATATTTCCCTATTTTCATTTGTCTTATAAGTTAATGAAAATAATGTTTGCCTAGTGTTTCTTCTTCCTTCCATTCCCTCTTTGTATTCTGGCTTCTGTTTTCACCACTGTACTGAAGCTCCTCTGGGTATTGAAATTCCGTTCACTGGGAACGCTCTTTCTTCCCCTCCATTTCAGGGCTGTTTCAGCCTTCAGAGGTTCTCCCAAATTTCATTTCTTCCATGAACTCTGCTGAATGAAAATTCAAATGCTTGTCATATTCAGTAGAATCATATCGTACATGCATTTAATTTGCTTGAATTCAACTAAAGTTGAAAACAACAAAAGTAGCAAAAATGCCTCTCTTCTCCAAGGTAAAGAAAAATTTTGAAACAGCATAGATGCCAAATGTAAGCCACCTACTTAGGTGATCTGTTCCAATGCTAGAGGAGAAACTAGCTGAGTTAGATTTACATAAAGAGATTAAAATATGCACAGAACAATGTACAGTATACTTTATAGGCAATTTGAGGGATTTTTGAGGGGTTATTTTGACCTTTTTTTTTTTTTTTTTTTGCCTTAATCTAACTTTAGAACGGAATCCTTGTGCATGTCACAGTATAGCTGTGTTGAACTAAGTCAGTCATATAATTTAGGACCCTTCTAGGTAACACTTTGATCTTTCTCAAATGTTTCACATGTGGAACTAACTGAGGGAAAATGACTAGCTTAGTTCCTTTCCTATTTTTATTTTTGCATTTTTCAGGGAGGGAAAAATTTGTACGAATGAAATTATAGTCAAAACAGTTTAAAGCAGAGGGAGACAATGCTGTTCCTTTTATGTTTTGTGTTCTCCTGTAGTTTTGAGACTCATGCCTTTCTCAAAAGTAATTGCATGTGACCACAAATATATCACTGTAGTTAGTGTCTATATGAGCCTTATTAGTTCTAAGCCAATACAAGGAATTTATAGGAATGCTTATTAAATATCCAGAGTTTAGTTGTAATTATATATTATTTGAGGATCTTTAATGATACTAACCTTTTACTAGTGATCTTTTAATGGAAGATACTATTTCCTAATTTTTTTCCAACCTTTTCAAAATTGGTTACTTTTCATTTTTGAAGTTCTTAAGGAAAAATTTATATTGATATAATAAGAATTCTAAAATTAGAGTTGAAATATTATTAAAGGACATTTTTCTGTGTGGAACACTAATTAGAGTATGTGTTTAAGGAGGAGATTACAAATGAATTTGGCTAACAAATCTTTAAGGAATTTCACTGTAGTAAACAGATTTTGATGAGTTTCCAGGGCTAATTTGCTAGAAACATTTTCAGAGACTTGGCTTGCCAAGTGAAGATGTATTTAGAGCCATTTTATTTCTAATGTTGAGCAAGAAACTTAAGCCCTTAGCTAGATAGTTATAGAAATTTGTCTTTGATGTTTTCAAGCATATCATGTGTATTTGAGTAGAACTGAACGTTGCTGAAGAGCTAGAAAAATATGGTGCTGTGTCTGCAGGATGAAACCTCTTTTTTTATTTTGAAGAAGCCAGTTTTAGAAGAAAATTTTTGTGAAAATTGGTAATCTAACTATTAGGCATCACATTTTAAAAGACAAAGAGTGCTCTTAAAGGCTGATTTGTGCAAGTATGTCACCATTAGAATGCTTAAAAGAGCCTACCATATATGTATCTTTTTTACCGTTATATTCTGCTTATTCCCAAACATACATTCAGAAAAAGAATGTAGTCTGATGATTCTAATAGAGTTGGGAATCTGGGTCTTAGTCTTGTGCATTTTTTTCTACTGGCTGTTTCTTTAGTATATGTAGAATCAAATTACTTTACATTAAATTTGAGGGAAATTTTATGTATTTTTATGATACATTGTGAGTCAGTGGCTTATTTCCACTTAGTGGTCATGAAATGATAGCAAGTTAGACTTACTGTTTCAGTCTCCTCACTTATACACTCCCCCCTTCCTCATTGCACATGGTGAAAATGAAACATAGAGAAATTAAATGTTGCACCTCAGTTCATTCTAGTTTAGAGACAGTGCCAGGAGAAGTACATAGTTACATCTCAGCCTGTAGGCCCTGTCCCTCATTTGTCTTTTTACTGTTTACTTTACATTTTGAAAGAAATTAGAGAAAAATCATTTATATGGGGAAAAATGAATTATACTTGCCATGAAATTGTGTGCTACCAGGAAGTTATTACCATGCAGCTGCTGCAGTGATGACAGGCTGACATCACCCTATAATGACCAGAACAGCATAGTATAAAAATCTCTCTGCTTGCTTCTAAAATAAATTGAAAACAACTGAATTACCAAAGAAATGTTACTCAGAATGAACAGCTTATAGACAGTGCCAGGTATATTCTTTAAGTACTCTATCCCATTGCAAAAATATGTGTAGGCACACACACTATTAGAAAATATATTCACATCCATATACATATGTACAAATAGACATATATGTATGTGTATATACATGCATACACAGCACACATGTCCACACATATTTAAATTATTAGAACATTACCAAAACAGAAATAGTCATTCAGAATTACTTCAATTGATTTTCTAAAAGGCTGCTTGGAGATACTTTCTTTGGAAATAGTCACTAGAATTACAGTAGTTTAAAGCTACCAGAATGAAATATTCTGGTTTCTGATTCCACTTAGTAAGGTAACATATTCTGTAGAATTTGACAGATTTAACATTGTGAGAGGACTCAGTTCATGAAACAAACACTACCATCTTTTTTGTTGTTGTTGTAATTAAATGACCCTAAGAAATAAAAGTGGAATGCACAGTCTCACTGTAATGTGATTTACTAGGATATGAGCTCCCTGAGGGCAGGGGCTTGATCTGTTTTGTTTCCTGATGTTCTTTTCAGTAGGTGGTTATATTTGTTGTATGAATGGATGATGAATGCCACAGAGTAAGCACAATGTTTTGTTATTTGAAATTTTGTTAAAATAACTACTAAGATGTCTGGAAAACACATTCACAGCCTAGGATGAAAAGCATCCATTGACTGTAATGAATAAGTGAAAAGAAAAAAATAATCAAAGTCTAGAGAAGGTAGAAATTTATTTCTTATGTACTCTCATAGTACACAAGACTATGTAACAAAATTCCAATTGTTTACGCTTAGTAAGAGCATTTTAAAATTTATGGAAACGTGATCATCTTGCAGTTGCCTTAGTGTTCATACTATTACATCACATGACAACTTTTTTATATTGTGTTATTTTATACATATATATATATATATATTTTTTTTTTTTTTTTTGAGACGGAGTCTCGCTCTGTTGCCAGGCTGGAGTGCAGTGGCATGATCTCGGCTCACTGCAACCTCCACCTCCCGGGTTCAAGCAATTCTCCTGCCTGAGTAATTGGGACTACAGGCACACACTGCCATGCCCAGCTAATTTTTTTTTTTTTTTTGGTATTTTAATAGAGACGGGGTTTCACCATGTTGCCCAGGCTGGTCTCAAACTGCTGAGCTCAAGCAATCCGCCTGCCTCGGCCTCCCAAAGTGCTAGGATTACAGGCGTGAGCCACTGCACCTGGCCTATATTGTTATATTTTTATATTATTCGTTAATTCAACAAAATATTGAGCAGCTTTTTGGTGCCAAGCTGCTCAGTGAGGTACCTATGACAGTGAGCATGAGCATAGGGCCTTACACTCTAATGGGAGACAGATTCAAAACAGACAATTACACAGAGTTTAACAGGCTTACAGGGCTTATTGGCAAATATGTTGAAGATGAGGGTAGTTTGATGGATAAATGTCATTAAGCAAGATAGATCAATTAAAAGAGTTCTGAATTTAAAATTGTGTTAAAGGATTTGCAGAATCATTTAACCTATCGGCCTAAATTGTCAGCACTTTGTAATTACAACCTCTTCTATGGTACTTAACAGAAAACCATATACTGATTGGTATAGAACTGGATTTTCATGTTTAGTATTTTTATTATTGTTTATCTCAACAATCTATATACTAATTGATTATTTTTATTGCCATTTTCATTAAATAATAATGTATTTTCTTTAATAGTGTTATTCTAAATGGTTTGTTGCATTCTAAATGTGTGTTTCTATTTTAACATAGTATGTGTTTAGAGTTAACACAAAAGATACTCTGCTCTTTATTTGGTGAGAAAGCATAATGATAATATTTGTAGTGTATAGATTAACAGACAAATCTTAGTAAATTATAAACAATTTTTTGTAGTAGCTTTTAAACTTTCTAAGAAAAGTTAAATAATACATTTCAGATTATTAAAAATACAGATTATTAAAAATACTGCCATGTATAACTACCCGTGTCAGCATTTGCATTGTTCTTCCAATGTTCCTATGTTGCTCTATATGGAAATGAGCTGAATTTTAGAAAACCTTTTTTCTCATAAGCTTATATTTTTTGACTAGCAAATGATGGAAATATAGGGCTCTAAGCTATATTTTAGAAAAGAAACAGGTTCCATTTTGTTACATTGTAGAGGAATAAAAACACTAATTATATATACTACTGAATGTACAGTTTGCATGCGTTTCCCCCCAGGTATGGGTATTACCTAAAGTTGCATGGTTTTCTGTGGTTCTTCTCACTACATTTTTACTTTTAAAGCCTTATTTCTTTATCAATTATATGACAACAGTAACAAAAACAGAAAGGGCTTTAGTTTTGTGCCGTACTTTTCAAAGTCAGGAAAATGTACCTGAATTACTTAATGGTATTTTTCAAGACTCAGTGCTAAGACCTCACTCTTTATATATTCCCCCACACCCATTTCTTATTCTTGTGACCTTGCCTGTCATTTTGATGCTGATAGCAAAATTTCTTTTGAGTTTATTTTATATTTCTAGCTGCCTTTACTGAACATTTCTACTTGGATATTTTATAGGCAGCAATGGTGGATTGATTTAAACCACCATCTTAAACTCTTTATTTTTAATAGCTTTATCAAGATATAATTTACTTACCATAAGAATTACTTATTTAAAATATACAATGTATTGATTGTTAGTAAATTTACAGAATTTTGTAACCATTTCAGTAATCCAATTTTAGGATGTTTTCATCACTCCAAAGAGGTCTCTGATACTCATTTGCAGACACAACACATTCACACTTCTAGCCCACAGCAATTGTTAATCTACTTTCTGTCTCTGTAATTTTGCCCTTTCTGGACATTTCCTAGAAGTGGAATCATGTAATATATTGGTCCTTCACATCTGGCTTCTTGTAGCATAACGTTTTTGATGTTCATCCATGTTGTAGCATGTACCAATATTTCATTCATTTTTATTGTTGAATAGTAATAAAATTCAGCATATTGTGTGAATGTTTAATAAAGGAATTCATATTCATACTATATGAATGTACCACCCCATTTTATTTATCCATTCACAATTGGTGGACATTTAGATTGTTTCCACTATTTGGCTGCTATTAATAGCTGCTATGAACATTCATGTACAAGTCTTTGTGTGGTCATATGTTTTCATTTCTCCTGGGTAGATACTTATAAGTGGAATTAACTAAGTCATAAAGTAAATTTACTTGTCACTTTAAGAAAAACTACTGAACTAATTTTCAAAGTGGCTGCATCATTGTATACTCTCATCTGCAGTGTCCATGGGTTCCAGTTTCTTCACCTCTGCACTAACACTTTTTATTGTCTGTCAGTTTGGTTGTTGTCATTCAAGTGAGTGTGCATTTAGTGTGCATTTTTCTGAATATTATTGATGTTGAGCATCTTTTCATGTTCTTATTAGCCATCTGGTCTTTTAAAATCTTTTGCCACTTTTAATTGGGTCATTTTGTCTTTTTATTAGTCAATTCTAGGATTTTTTTTTTTTTGACACAGAGTTTCACTCTTGTTGCCCAGGATGGAGTGCAATGGTGCGATCTCGGCTCATTGTAACCTCTGTCTCCCAGGTTCAAGCAATTCTCCTGCCTCAGCCTCCCGAGTAGCTGGGATTACAGGCGCCGGCTACCACGCCCAGCTAATTTTTTTATTTTTAGTAGAGATGGGGTTTCACCATGTCGGCCAGGCTGGTCTTGAACTCCTGACCTCAGGTGATCCACCCGCCTCGGCCTCCCAAAGTGCTGGGATTACAGGCTTGAGCCACTGCACCCAGTCTCTAAGAATTCTTTATAGGTAGTATTCTGAATTTGATCGAATTATAAAATATGTGGCTTGCAAGTATTTTCTTCTGGTCTGCATTTTGTCTTTTTAAAATTTTCTCTTTTTATTAGTATGTTTTGCATTGCTATGAAGGAATACCTGAGACTGGATAATTCATTAAGGAAAGATGTTTATTTGGCTCATGGTTCTGCAGGCTGTATGAGGAAGCTTTTACTCATGGTGGATGGCACAGGGGGAGCAGGCACACGTGGCAAGAGAGGGAGCAAGAGAGAAGGAAGTACCTCTTAAAAACCAGCTCTCACGTGAACTAATAGAGAATTTGCTTATTGCTAAGGAAGGACACAAAGCCATTCATGAAGGCTCCAGTCCCATGACCCAAACACCTCCCACTAGGCCTCACCTTCAACATGAGGATTACATTTCAACATGAAATTTGGAAGGGACATGCATCCATCCTACATTACTCTTCCACCTTTCCCTTTCCTAGTTTTCCTGCCTCTGTTAATCAGCTCTCTCTGGTTTTCACATTTTGCTTCCCACCTCAGCTATAGCAGATTGCTACCGATTCTTGCAGTTTTAATTATAATTATTATTCTTTTTTCTCTTCCCCCCCATTATTACTCAGATCTAGACCATATTACTTTAACCTTAATCACTAAAATAGCTACCGACTTGACCTACTTGATTCTAGGCTCTTCTTTCTTTGGTGCTATTATATTTTTCTTTGCTGTAAATACATAGCCATTTTTTTTTTCAAAACTAACAAATATTCCATGATCTATTTTAAACATTTTATAATGAAAAATTTCAAAAATAGCAAAGTTGGAAAATAAGACAATGAATACTCACATGCCTAATACCTAGATTCAATAATCTGTAATATTTTGGTATTACATCACACACACATACACACACACACACACACACACACACACACACACATATATATATGCACTTTTTTTCCCCTGAACCGTTCTAAAGTAAATTACAATTTCCATGAAATTTTACTTTTAAATTCTTCATCTGGCATCTCTCACTGACCTTTTCCTGCATAGGACATTCTCATACATAACCATAATGCCATAATCACACCGAACAATTAACAGAAATTCTCTAATATAGCTTAATACCCAGTCTATATTCAGATTTCCCCAATTGTTGCCAAAATGTTTCATGGCTGTTTTTTCCCTTCCAAATTAGTACTGAGCCAGTGACTCTCACTATGTTTATTAAACATCTTAATTCTGTCTTAATCTTGAATAGCTCCCATCCACTTTATACTTTGTCATCTTTATTGTTGTTGTTTCTCGTGACATTGACCTACTGAAGAAACCAGGCCACTTGTCTTGCAGTATGTTTTTTTCTGATTTTTTCTCTGTGGCATTGTTCAATAGTAGTTTTTTTATAGCCATAAATATAAAACATACCCATTTTATACCCATTTTGGACAATTCAGAAAATAGTGCAACAAAGATAAATAATTTCATCACCTAGGGATAGTTTTTCTTTAGTTTTCTTTTGCAGTTGCAGATTTACTTTATTTTATTATGTTTTATTTGAGACAAGATCTTGCTCTGACACTCATGCTGGAGTACAGTGGCACAATCACAGCTCACTGCAGCCTTGATCTCCTGGGCTCAAGTGATCCTCCTGCTTCAGCCTCCTGAGGAGCTGGGACTACAGGTGAACACCACCATGCCTGGCTAATTTTTTTTTTTTTTTTTTTGTAGAGATGGCTCACTATGTTGCCCAGGCTGGTCTCAAGCACCTGGGCTCAAACTATCATCCCACCTTGATCTTTCAAAATGTTAAGACTACAGGCATAAGCCACTGTGCCTGGCTCTTAGGCAGATTTTAAAAATAGTTTAGAGCATAATGATCATGTACTTAACATTTTACTAATTTCTCTTTAAACATGATTTTAAATGGCTGCACACTGTTTTATGTTATAATTGAACTGATGTTTACTTAAACTGATGTTTACTTATTGATTGAACATTTAGTTTCCTTTTAGTTTTTGACAATATAAACTGTGATGAACAGACATGAATAAGAATTTGATTATATTTCTCATTGCTTTCTTATAAATTATTACAGATGGTATTACTAGGTCAAAATATGTGAAGATTTTAAAGGTTTACTAAATTGCTTTTCATCCAGAAAGCAATTCCATAATTTGCTCTCTTACCAGCAGTGTATTCACGCTCTCTTTTCATATTAAACATTATTTATTTATCATTTATTTAGTAATATGCTGGAGATAAAACATTCTGACATTGTTTTGACAGTTCTGATTTCTTACCCATTTGAGTTCAAATTAGCCTTGGAGTATTTTCTAGCTGTAATTTAAGCTATCTATACTGATTCATTCTCTGCCCACCCTTCTTTCTCCATATTCCTGTCTCTGCTCAGGTTTACTTATTGTCTCAGGACACAACATACTGCTCTGGTAATATCGCTGTCCTCCCCATTGCCTTGCTTTTGTAGACTTTGTCCTCTGAGGTCTGGCACAAGTTGCACTGTTTCATTCTTCCATCTTTTATTGATTCTTCCTCTCAATATTCTTCCTCTCAATATTCTTTTTCTTCCTATTCTATCTTTTTCTCCCCCTTGATATTCTATCTTTTTTTCTGTTCTGTCTTTTTCATTCTTCCATCTTTTATTGATTCTTCCTCTCAATACTCTATAGCACTTAAGTCTATACCATACCATTTGGCACCCAACCAAATTTAATTCAAATATAACTTATAATTAGTATATCATGCACTTTGAGTTCTTTAATTTGAATCCTCCTTTTTCTGATAATTTAGAATAATATCTATCACCCTTACTGTTTGGGTGGAAATATCACCAATAAGCACTTTTCATCTAAAAAACTTTTAAACACCCTTTTCCTCCCAGTCACTTAAAACCCTTAATACTTTCTCATGTGACCTGTTAAGCCATTATCTGCTCTGTTGGTGATTTTAAAAATTTAAAAAACATATCAATGAGTGTAAGTCATTGTTCTCTAAGTTCTGCCCCAGCTTTAGGCTTGAGAACCATGGCATCTATCTCATGAGTTTTTTCCGAGGGAAAGATAGATGGAATGTTGGAAGGGCAGTTTGTGTGTCATTTATGAACTTTGTCTTATCGTACTTATGGCAAACAGAACTACCACTGAGTAATGTTTATTTCTCTCTAAATGTTATAGTTTTAAAAAATACTCCTTTTTGAGCCTATGGTATTTTATGTACCTGAGCTACTAGAATTTATATAAAAAATTGGTTTAAACCACCTAGGATTTACTTACGGCCATTAAAACTTTTAAATTGAACAACCATGATTATATTATTTAAAAATAGGATATTAAAAGGCAGTGTGTGGAACCCACACTGGGCAGTAATTGAGAGATCTAACTCTATGTGACCTTAGAAAAATTTACATTTTGAGGATAATAGCTTCCATATCCACAAAATGAAGGTGTTAGGGGAAAAAAGCACAGGCTTTACAATCTGACAGACTTGGCTTTTAATCATCAAACTGCCATTAACTACAGTATGATCTTGCTCAGTCACAATATCTAACCCCCATTTCCTCATTCATAAAGTATGATTAAGTACCATTAATAGTACTTAATCGTACTTTATTAAATAGTAACGTTTCATGAAATTATTGTGGATGCTGAGATATACATACAAAACCCTTTAGCATAGTGCCTAGCACAGAATAAATAATGTTAACTATTCTTATTCAGTGACCTTTTTGGCTATTGTAAATGATGTCCCCACAAACTTCAGAGAAGACTTTGAATTATAAGACATCATAACTTTAGTAATTTGGGTATTGTTGCTAATGTTTAGGTAATGATTAGTTTTAGTATGTTGTTTTCCAGTGCAATTACTTAAGAAAGCTTGTCTTCCTTAAGTATTATCTTCCTTGGAAGGTAATCCAGCTCTTGAAAATACCCATTCTGTGTGAGCCTTTCTGGACCTTGCTGTCTAATTTCTGAAATGCACACGGAGTGTTGGTGAGACTGTAAATGTACTTCTTTAATTGTCACAGTATTTTTCCTTTCCCTCACTTACCCTCCTCTCTTTTACTCCTCTCCCCTCCCTTTTACCCCCATAGCTAAAACATGTGACACCAATGCTGGACATTTTTTATCAAATGGCAGGAGAATTTAGTGTCTGACAATTTATGAAGAAGACACTTTGAAATAGGGATGTCAGAACAAGTCTCAAAATATCCCACTCAGGCACTGTCTTCTTAACCTATGCAATGCTCTCTGAATCATTGGTCTGAAATTGGATTATTCTATGATAGTATAAGATTTAGCTTAACAGTTTCATGTTTATTTAGAAAGGCTGTGGAACATGGAGGTTAGGGGTTAAAATACTATGAATGAAATTTCTGACATTACACTTTTTTTCTCTTTTTCCTGTGTATTTTAATTCTAGCAAAGCAAATGAGGAAATTAGAATATCCAAAACTCATTTAAAAAAATTGTGGTAAAATACATGTAACATAAAAGTTCATGTAATCCCTTTTAACTGTACATTTCTGTGACATTAAGTACATCCAAATTGTTCTGCATCTATCACCACCGTTCATTTCCAAAAATTTCTCATCTTCCTCAACTCAACCTGTACCCATGAAACACTAACTGCTCTTTCCCATGTTCCTAGTCTATGGTAACCACTGATCTACTTTCTGTCTCCATGAATTTGACTACTTTGGAACCTTCTATTAGTGGAGTCATATACTTTTTGTCCTTTTATGCCTGGCTTATTTCATTTATCATAATATCTTCAGGTCCATCCATGTTGTCATATGTCAAAATTTCCTTCCTTTCAAAGACTGAATAATACTCTATTGTATTTATGTGTATATACACACCACATATTGTTTATTCATTTATTCCTTGATGGACACTGCGTTGCTTCCACATTTTTGCTACTGAAAATAATGCTGCTGTAAATATGCATTGGTGTACAAATATTTCTTTGAGACCCTGCTTTCACTTTCGGGTATATACCCAGAATCCATCCAATTGTTGGATCATGTGGTAATTCTGTTTTTAATTTTTTGAGGACGTGCCATACCGTTTTCCACAGCAGCTATACCGTTTTACATTCCCACTAGCAATGCACAAGAGTTCAGTTTCTCTATATCTTCACAAACATTTAGCATTTTCTGTTTTTCTTTTTAATAATAGCCATCTTAAATAGCCATGGGTGTGAAGTGGTATCTCACTGTGCTTTGACTTGCATTGCCCTAATGACTAGTGATATTGAGCATCTTTTCATATACCTATTGGCAATATGTATATCTTATGTGGTGAAATCTCTGTTCAAATCCTTCGCCTGTTTTTGGTGAAGTACTTTTGACATTACAGTGTCAGAGGTGCCTATTACAACGTGCCTGTAAACTAGCTAGGATGATGCTACATACTATTGAACTTGTTGAAGAGAGAAACTGTAATCCAGATGCAAGGATCTTCGATGGTTGTTTCTCACTGCTACAATTGTATTTTATGACTTTTAAGTCATGACTTTTACCTTTTTTAAAATAATAAAATAGATAATGTGTACTGTGCATCCAACTTAGTAATTTAGGGGAAAAAGGAAACTAAGGGATGTAGCAACAAAAAAATTTATAAACTAGAAATTGGAGGAATTAATAACTGCAAGAATGGTTTATAAAAAGTTATGAAATAGAGAAATTGATAGAACTATACCAAGAAAAACAAGAGAACTAGGGTTAAAATCAGCAAACACAGACTATATAAAATGTAGGTATTTTTATAAATTAGAATTCTATGCCCACGTGGATGATAGATATGTAAATCTCAATGTAATGATATATACCTGAGTGGCACTTTATTTTGCTCAAATATGATCTGTAGGGTCTTTGTATTTTAGTTATCCAGTAGTTCTTTCTTCTCAGAAAAATAGAGTGGATGTTTTCATCCAATTTAGTTTTCAGCATAAAATTTTCTTATTTTATTTGTATATGTGTGTGTGATGTGAAATAAATACACATTTGGTAAGTTAGTTTGATATCATGTAAAGACTTCAGAGAATAGATATTTATGTGGCACAACTTTGCAGAGAATAATTTTATTAGCTTTCTTCCCTAATTTGAGCTTTCAAAAAAAACAAAAACAAAAACACTGATTACCGAAAATGTCAAAGTTGTTTAGTAAAAATAGAAAAATGTGAGGATAGACTATGCTTGTACACAAGGGAACTTTAAAAAGTTTGTGGAAAATGGAATTAAAAGATAAATATAAAAAATATAAACTTTAGTTCTCAATATAAGCTCCATCAGGAACAAGACACTTTTGTAAGCAATGATACCAGGCATTTAGTTCATCCCTAAATAACTGAGGGTCCTAGGAATTTAACTATGTCAGCGAAATCTTTTTTTATTATTATTACTGAAGAAAAATGGGTTCCTTTTACAAATTTTTTGAGGTTAGGAAACAAAAAGAAGTAAGAAGGAGCCAAGTCAGGACTGTAAGGTGGATACCTAATGATTTCCCATGGAAACTCTTGCAAAATTGCCCTTGTTTGTTGAGAGGAAATGAGCAGGAGCATTGTTGTGGTGGGGAAAGGACTCTGGTGAAGCTTTCCTAGGTATTTTTCTGCTAAAGCTTTAGCTAACTTTCTCATAATAATAAGCAGATGGTATTGTATTTTGGCCCTCCAGAAACTCAATAAGCAAAATGCCATGAGTATTTTGAATTGTGAATTTTTTGAATTGTTGCTATGACCTTTACTTGTAACCAGTCCACTTTTGCTTTGACTGGACTACTTCCACCTCTTAGTAGACATTGCTTTGATTGTTTTTGTCTTCAGTACTGGTAAAGGCATGTTTCATCTCCTGTTCTTTGAAGAAAGGCTTCAGGATCTTGATCACAGTTGCTTAAAATTTCCACTGAATGCACTGCTCTTGTCTGCAGCTGATCTGGGTGCAACAGTTTTGGCACCCATTGAGTGGAAAGTTTGCCCAACTTTAATTTTTCAGTCAGAATTGTGTAAGCTGAACCAGCTGAGATGTCTATGGTGTTGCCTATTGTTTCTGCTGTTAATCATCAGTCCTTTTCAATTAGGGCATGAACAAGTTTTTTTTTTTTTCCTCACAAATTGATGCAGATGGTCTGCCACTGAGGGCTTCATCTTCAACATTTTCTTGCTCCTTCTCAAAATGAGTTATCCATTTGTAAACTGCTGATTTCTTTGGGGCATTGTCCCCATAAACTTTTTGTAATGATTTTGCCATTCTTCCATCCAGTCTTCACCATAGATGTTTGTTCTTTTTTCAATTTAGTAGAATTCACATTGCTCTGATAGGAGCTTTTTTCAAATGGTCTTATGCTTCTTTGTGCTTCCAACTAGGTGCTGTTCAGACATGTTATAACAAGTTAATACAAGTTTGTTTTGGTGCAAATGTTTTTAAAATCCATGCATAGTTTTTAAATAATATGTATTTTTCATAAACTTTTTGAAGTCTCTTGTATTTGATGACTTCTACCATGGACATTGAACAACTATACTGTTTAACGCTAAATCTGAATTTAATGATGGATTTGGTTTTCCTCTTTTAAATCATGTGTAAATGACTATTAATTCTATTATGTGGGTTTTGGTTATGCTGCAATGCATTGTACCCATGGAACAGCACAACTAATGGCTAATACTTCTAATGTGAGGAATTTAATTCATCTTTAAAATGATTATAAATAAGTAGCAATATGAAAATAATAATAAGAGGTATTAAGTTCCTTCATTTTTCTAACAGGGTCAACATATTTCACTGGCACCTATTCACAAGCTTGAAGAAGCTCTGTATGAATACCAGCCACTGCAGATAGAGACATATGGACCACATGTTCCTGAGCTTGAGATGCTAGGAAGACTTGGGTATGTGTCCTAAAGAACTTTACATTGAGGAGCTGATATGTGGGACTTATTGCTGTTCTTAACTGACATGTTAACATTCTTAGATTTTCAGTTTATAGAACTTTACTGTTTTGTGAAAAATGAACAGTACTCAATACCAAATTGTTTTATTTAGTACATTAATTTTTCTGTGGACTTGTTAGGTCTCTTGAGATTGAGCCTGGAATACATTCGTTCTTTTAGAAGTCTGTCCTTGGCAGCCATATTGAAATGGCGTTTATTTTCAGTCATGAGTGTTTTTTTCTTTTTTAAAGAAATTGGGGCTTAATTTAGTTAGTAGTAAGCCAATAAAAATATGAATTGGGCTCCTTGCCATGAAAAAGGGTAGATTTACTCATTGTGCACTGTCTACAGTGAAACTACATTTATGAGCCATGAGCCATGAAATATATTTTGTTGAAAGGTATAATGTAAGGCTGGCCCTGTGGTTCAACAGTCATATTATATATATCCATTCTGGAAATGAACCTGGGATCCTGGCTTTTGTGAGGGATGGAGAGATGGTTATAGTCTCTCTCATGGGAGCAAGTGGGTATTTGTATACTTGAAAAGCGCAGGCACAGATGTTGCTAGATGGAGCAAATCATTTCTTGGTCTGATTTTAAAATGTGAACTATTGAATGAAAGGCTGATCCAGAAACTGTTGTTGCTTAACAAAAGAAAATAGTGGAAAGAATATACTGTGAAAAAAAAGTGGGTAAATCGAGTCCAAGAAACTAAAAAGCAATAGAAAAAGTCAGAGACCCCAAGAACAAAAACAAGAAAGATGAAACAAATAATAAAACCTACATGCATCTTCAAAAACAAAACCAAAATCTGGAACATGTTGCATAATATTTTACATGTGAACATCAAGGCTCCAAGGTAAAGTTACATTTAAATGATATTTAATATCTTAAGGCTAAATTTTATTCAGTTCTTTATTCTCTTAAAGTCCTACAGCCTGCAAGCATGAAGCCAACAGGATGTAAAACAACCTAAAACCCCCTTTGAGATAACAGATTTATTAAACAATTGTCTTAAATGCTAAAATTGAAGTTTGAAGAGATAGACAATATTGCGTTTTATAATGTAAAAAGTTATACATGATGTAGACATTTATTTCTTATCTCTTACAAAGAGCCAGAATCGTGTATCTTTAAAATAAATTTACTTCAAAATCTTTACTTTTAATGTCCGTGAAGTTCACGTGTTTAAAATAGTACTCCTCTGTTACTAGGTTTTGCATTTTCCAATAATTTTGTCAAAATTTTTCATATACAGATTTTCTTATGTCCGGGTAGCTTTCTTCTGTTCCTAGAATGTTGAATTATTATTATTTTTTTCTTGAGACAGAGTCTCACTTTGTCACCCAGGCTGGAGTGCAGTGGTGCAATCTTGGCTCACTGCAACCTCTGCCTCCTGGGTTCAAGTGATTCTCATGCCTCAGCCTCCCGAGTAGCTGAGGCTGCAGGCATGCACCACCATGCCTGGCTAATTATTGTATTTTTTGTAGAGACAGGGTTTCACCATGTTGGCCAGGCTGGTCTCGAACTCCTGGCCTCAAGTGATCTGCCCACCTTGGCCCCCCAAAAGTGCTGGGATTACAAGTGTGAACCACTGCGCCCGGCCCATCTTTTAATATACTGAATTCAGTTTGCTGGTGTTTTGTCAGGGATTCTTGCATTAGTGTTCATAAAGGATATTGGCTCATAGTGTTTTCTAGCTTTATTAAGATATAATTAAAAAAGAAAAATTATATATATTTAAGATAGAGAAGATTTTTTTAAGTATTAATTTTTGTGGGCACATAGTAGGTATATATACAGTGGGCTATGGGAGATATTTTGATACAAGCATGTAATGTGTAATAATCACATTAAGGTAGATGGTATATCCATTACCTCAACATTTATTCTTTGTGTTACAAAGAATCCAATTATATTATTTTAGTTATTTTCGAATGTACAATTAAATTATGATTGACTATAGTCACCCTGTTGTTCTATCAAATACTAGTTCTTGGCCAGGCGCAGTGGCTCATGCCTGTAATCCCAGCTCTTTGGGAGGCTGAGGTGGGCAGATCACTTGAGGTCAGGAGTTTGAGGCAAGCCTGGCCAACATGATGAAACCCCGACTCTACTAAAAATACAAAATAATAGCTGGGTATGGTGGTATGCACCTTTAATCACAGCTACTTGGGAGGCTGAGGCAGGAGAATCACTTGAACCTGGGAGGCAGAGGTTGCAGTGAGCCAAGATTGTGCCACTGCACTCTAGCCTGGGTGACAAAAACAAAAACAAACAAAACAAAACCAAAAACTGGTTCCTATTCATTCTAACTATTTTTTTTTCTACCCATTAACCATCCCCACATCCTCTCCCACCTCCTCACTACCCTTCACAACCTCTGGTGACCTTCCTTCTACTCCCTATCAGTTCAATTTTTAGCTTCCACAAATAAGTGGGAACATGCTAAGTTTGTCTTTCTGTGCCTGGCTTATTTCACTTAACATAATGACCACCAGTTCCATGTATGTTGTTTCAAATGACAGGATCGCATACCTTTTTTATGGCTGAATAATACTCCACTGTGTATATGTACCACATTTTCTTTATTCAGTCATCTGTTGATGGACATGTAGATTGCTTCCAAATCTTGGCTATTGTGAACAGTCCTGTAACAAACATGGGAGTGCAGATGTCATTTTGAAATACTAATTCCCTTTCTTTTGGGTATATACCCAGCAGTGGGATTGCTGGATCATATAGTAGCTCTATTTTTGTTTTTTGACAAACCTCGAAACTGTTCTCCATACTGGTTGTACTAATTTACATATCCACCAACAGTGTACAAGATTTTCTTTTTTCCACATCCTCTCCAGTACTCGTTACTGCTTGTCTTTGGATAAAAGCCATTTAAACTGGGATGAGATTCTATCTCATTGTAGTTTTGATTTGCATTTCTCTGATGATTACTGGTGATGTTGAGCATTTTTACATATGACTGTTTGCCATTTGTATATCTTCCTTTGAGAAATGTATGTTCAAATCTTTTGCCCATTTTTAAGTTGGATTATTACATTTTTTCCTGTTGAGTTGTTTGAGTTCCTTACATATTCTGGTTAATAATGCCTTGTCAGATGGGTAGTTTGAAAATATTTTCTCCCATTCTATAGGTTGTCTCTTTGTTCATCGATTTCTTCGCTTTGCAGAAGCTTTTTAACTTGATGTGGTCCTACTTACCTATTTTTGCTTTAGTTGCCTGTGCTTGTGGGGGTGTTCCTCAAAAATCTTTGCCCACTCCAATATCCTGGAGCGTTTCCCCAATGTTTAATTTTAGTAGGTTAAATAGTTTGAGGTCTTAGATTTAAGTGTTTCATCCTGATTTGATTTTTGTATGTGGTGAGAGTTAGGGGTCTAGTTTCATTCTTATGCATATGGATATCCAGTTTTCCCAGTACCATATTTTGAAGAGATTTTCTTTTCCCAAATGTATGGTCTTGGCACTTTTGTCAAAAATGAGTTCACTGTAGATGCATGGATTTGTTTTGAGATTCTCTATTTTGTTCCATTGGTCTCTGTGTCCATTTTTATGCCAGTACCATGCTATTTTAGTTACTATAGCTCTGTAGTATTTGAAGTCAGGTAATATAATTCCTGAAGTTTTATATCTTTAAAGTTTCTTTAAAGATAGCTTTGGCTATTCTGGGTCTTTTGTGATTCCATATAAATTTTAGGAATTTTTTAATTTCTGTGAAGAATGTCATTGGTATTTTGATAGAGATTGCATTTAATCTGTAGATTGCTTTGGGTACTATGGCCATTTTAACATTATTGATTCTTCCAATCCATGAACATGGAATATCTTTTGTGTGTGTGTGTCCTCTTCAATTTTTTGCGTCAGTATTTTATAGTTTTCATAGTAGAGATCTTTCACTTATTTGGTTAATTCCTAGGTATTTTATTCTAGCTATTGTAAATGGGATTACTTTCTTGATTTCTTTTTTAGATTGTTCACTCTTGGCATATAGAAATGCTGCTGATTTTTGTGTGCTGATTTTGTATTCTGCAACTTTACTCAATTTGTTTATCAGTTCTAATAGTTTTTTTGTGAAGTCTTTAGGTTTTTCCAAATATAAGATCATATCATCTGTAAACAAAAATAATTTGACTTACTCCTTTCTGCTTTGGATGTCCTTTATTTCTTTCTCCTGTCTGATTGCTCTAGCTAGGACTGCCAGTTCTGTGTTGAATAGCAGTGGTGATAGTGGGCATTCTTGCTGTATTCCAGATCTTAGAAGAAAGACTTTCAGTTTTCCCCCATTCAGTATACTAGCTGCAGGTCTGTTATATATGGCTTTCATTATGTTGAGGTAAATTCCTTTTATACCCAGGTTTTTGAGGGTTTTTACCATGAAAGAATGTTGAATTTTATTAAATGCTTACTCAGCATCAGTTGAAGTGATCATATGGTTTGGTCCTCACTCTGTTGATATGATATATCATATTGATTGATTTGCATATGTTGAACCATCCTTGTATTCCTGGGATAAATCACATGTGGTCATGATGAGTGAATGATCTTTTTAACATGTTGTTGAATTCAGCTTGCTAGTATTTTGTTGAGGCTTGCAAACACTATCTTATAACCCATTATTTTAAGCTGATGACAACTTAAGGTTGATAGCATAAACAAACAAACAAACAAATAAGCAAAATCAAAACTAGTAAAAACTCTACACTTTAACTTTGTCCCCTTGCTTTTTAACTTTTTGTTGTTCTATTTATATCTTATTGTACTACGTCTTGAAAAGTTGTAGTTATTATGTTTAATTGATTTATCTTTTAGTTTTCCTACTTAAGAGTAGTTTATCTACCATGATTACAGTGTGGGAATATTCTGTGTTTTTCTGTGTACTTACCATTACCAGTGAATTTTGTACCTTCAGGTGACTTCATATTGCTCATTAATGTTCTTTTCTTTCTAATTGAAGAACCCCCTTTAGCATTTCTTGTAAGACAGGTCTGGTGTTGATAAAAACCTTCAGCTTTTGTTTGTCCGGGAAAGTCTTTATTTGTTTCTCCTTCATGTTTGCAGAACATTTTCACCGGATATACTATTCTAGGGCAAAAGCTTTTTCCTTCATGCCAGTCTCTTCTGGCCTATAAGGTTTCCACTGAAGAGTTCGCTGCCAGACATATTGGACCTCCATTCTATGTTATTTGTATATTTTGTCTTTCTGCTTGTAGAATTCTTTATCCTTGACCTTTGGGAGTTTGAGTGTTAAATGCTTTGAGGTATTCTTTTTTGAGTTGAATCTGCTTGGTGTTCTGTAACCTTCTTGTACTTGAATAGTTGAATATTGATATATTTCTCTAGATTTGGGAAATGTTCTGTTATTCTCCTTATGAATAAACGTTCTACCCTCATCTCTCTCTCTGTCTCCTATTTAGGCCCCATAACTCTTAGATTTGCACTTTTGAGGCTATTTTCTAGATCTTTTAGGCATGCTTCATTGTTTTTTATTGTTAATTTTGTTTTGTTTTCTTTGACTGTATTTTCAAATAGCTTATATTCAAGTTCACTCTTCTGCTTAATCAATTCTGCTATTAAGAGACTCTGGTTTTTGTTTGTATTTTCTTGATGATTAGTGATGTTGAGCAGCTTTTCATACACCTTTTGGCCATTCATATGTTATCTTTGGGGAAATGACTATTCAGGTCCTTTGCCCATTTTTAAGTTGAGTTATTTGGTTTTGTTTGCCTTTGAGCTATTCAAGTTCTTTATATAATTTGGGTATTAACCCTTTATTGGATGTATAGTTTGTATAGTTTGCAAATATATTTTCCCAATGTGTAGGTTGGTTTTTCATTTTGTTGTTTATTTCCTTTGTTGTCTAGAGCTTTTTAGTTTGATGTAGCTCTATTTGTTTATTTTCAGTTTTGTTGCGTATTTGGTGTCTTATCCAGAAAACCATTGCCAAAGTTAACATCAAGGATCTTTCTCACTATGTTTTCTCTTAAGAATTTTATGGTTTCAGGTTTTATTTTTAAGTCTTTAGTCCATTTTGAGTTGATGTTTTTTAATATGGTGTATGATAAGGGCCAGTTTCATTCACTTGTATGTGTATAGTTCTCTCAGTGCCATTGACTAAAAATATTAGCCTTTTTCCATTGTATGTTTTCATGCCCTTATCAAAAATTAGTTGACTGCAGATGTTTGGGTTTATTTCTGGGCTCCCTATTCTGTTCCAATGTGTATATGTTTGTTTTTGTGTCAATACCATACTATAGCTTTGTAATATTATCTGATATCAGCAAATTTGGTGTTTCCAACTTTGTTCTTCCTTTTCAAGGCTGTTTTGTTTTTTGTGGGTATTTTGTGGTTTCATGTGAACTTTATAATTTTTTTCTGTTTGTATTGAAAATGCCATGAGAATGTTGATAGGGATTTTGTTGAATCTGTATACTGCTTTTGGTAGTATGGACATTTTAACAATATTCCTCTATTCTTACGGACATGGGATTTGTTGCCGTTTATTTATGTTGTCTTCAGTGTTTCATATTTTTCAGTGTGTACAGCTTTGACCTCCTTTGTTAAATTTGTTCTTAAGTATCTTAATCTTTTTGATTAATCTTTTGATTAGCCTTTGAAAAAGGCTAATGTAATGTTTTGATTACATTACATTAAAGGCTAATGTAATGTTTTGATTTTTTTCAGATATATCAATATTAGTATAAAGAAATATAGCTGATTTTTGCATGTCTGTTTTGATTACAAAAAAGCTAATGTAATGTTTTGATTTTTTTTTCAGATACTTCACTATTAGTATAAAGAAATATAGCTGATTTTTGCATGTCTGTTTTCTATCTTGCTACTTTATTGAATTCATTTTCTAATTCTAACTTTTTGGTCTAATCTTTATGATTTTGTACATATAGGATCATGTCATATGCAGAGAGGCATAATTTTACTTCTTGATTTCCTATTTGGATGTATTTTATTTTTCTTGTCTAATTGCTCTTTATAATACTTCCAATTCTATGTTGAATGTAATTGATGAAAGTGGACGTCCTTGTCTTGGGGTCAGGCAAAAACTGAAAACTTTTCCTCTGTTGATTATAATGTTAGGCATAGGCCTTTCATAAATGACCTCAATTTTGTTCAGGACATTTTATTCTAAACTTATTTTGTTGACAGTTGTTATGAAAAGATTTTGAACTTTGTCAAATGCTTTCCCTGCATATATATTGAGATGATCATGTGGTTTTTATTTTTCATTCTATTGATGAGTTGTATAACATTGATTTGCATTTTTTTTGTTGTTGTTGTTACATATCAGAGCTGTTTTTTTTTCTTGTTTTTGTTTGTTTTTTGTTTTTATTTTATTTTATTATTATGCTTTAAGTTTTAGGGTACATGTGCACAATGTGCAGGTTAGTTACATATGCATACATGTGCCATGCTGGTGTGCTGTACCCATTAACTCGTCATTGAGCATTAGGTATATCTCCTAATGCTATCCCTCCCCCCTCCCCCCACCCCACAACAGTCCCCAGAGTGTGATGTTCCCCTTCCTGTGTCCATGTGTTCTCATTGTTCCCACCTGTGAGTGAGAACATGTGGTGTTTGGTTTTTGTCCTTGCGATAGTTTACTGAGAATGATGATTTCCAGTTTCATCCATGTCCCTACAAAGGACATGAACTCATCATTTTTCATGGCTGCATAGTATTCCATGGTGTAGCAGAACTGCAGGAAATAGAGACACAAAAAACCCTTCAAAAAATTAATGTATCCAGGAGCTGGTTTTTTGAAAGGATCCACAAAATTGATAGACCGCTAGCAAGACTAATAAAGAACAAAAGAGAGAAGAATCAAATAGATGCAATAAAAAATGATAAAGGGGATATCACCACCAATCCCACAGAAATACAAACTACCATCAGAGAATACTACAAACACCTCTATGCAAATAAACTAGAAAATCTAGAAGAAATGGATAAATTCCTCGACACACACACCCTCCCAAGACTAAACCAGGAAGAAGTTGAATCTCTGAATAGACCAATAACAGGCTCTGAAATTGTGGCAATAATCAATAGCTTACCAACCAAAAAGAGTCCAGGACCAGATGGATTCACAGCTGAATTCTACCAGAGGTACAAGGAGGAACTGGTACCATTCCTTCTGAAACTATTCCAATCAATAGAAAAAGAGGGAATCCTCCCTAACTCATTGTATGAGGCCAGCATCATCCTGATACCAAAGCTGGGCAGAGACACAACCAAAAAAGAGAATTTTAGACCAATATCCTTGATGAACATTGATGCAAAAATCCTCAATAAAATATTGGCAAACCGAATCCAGCAGCACATCAAAAAGCTTATCCACCATGATCAAGTGGGCTTCATCCCTGGGATGCAAGGCTGGTTCAACATACACAAATCAATAATCATAATCCAGCATATTAACAGAACCAAAGACAAAAACCACATGATTATCTCAATAGATGCAGAAAAGCCTTTGACAAAATTCAACAACGCTTCATGCTAGAAACTCTCAATAAATTAGGTATTGATGGGACATATCTCAAAATAATAAGAGCTATCTATGACAAACCCATAGCCAATATCATACAGAATGGACAAAAAATGGAAGCATTCCCTTTGAAAACTGGCACAAGACAGGGATGCCCTCTCTCACCACTCCTATTCAACATAGTGTTGGAAGTTCTGGCCAGGGCAATCAGGCAGGAGAAGGAAATAAAGGGCATTCAATTAGGAAAAGAGGAAGTCAAATTGTCCCTGTTTGCAGATGACATGATTGTATATCTAGAAAACCCCATCGTCTCAGCCCAAAATCTCCTTAAGCTGATAAGCAACTTCAGCAAAGTCTCAGGATACAAAATCAAGGTACAAAAATCACAAGCATTCTTATACACCAACAACAGACAAACAGAGAGCCAAATCATGAGTGAACTCCCATTCACAATTGCTTCAAAGAGAATAAAATACCTAGGAATCCAACTTAGAAGGGATGTGAAGGACCTCTTCAAGGAGAACTACAAACCACTGCTCAATGAAATAAAAGAGGATACAAACAAATGGAAGAACATTCCATGCTCATGGGTAGGAAGAATCAATATTGTGAAAATGGCCATACTGCCCAAGGTAATTTATAGATTCAATGCCATCCCCATCAAGCTACCAATGACTTTCTTCACAGAATTGGAAAAAACTTACTTTAAAGTTCATATGGAACCAAAAAAGAGCCCGCATCGCTGAGTCAATTGTAAGCCAAAAGAACAAAGCTGGAGGCATCACACTACCTGACTTCAAACTATACTACAAGGCTACAGTAACCAAAACGGCATGGCACTGGTACCAAAACAGAGATATAGATCAATGGAACAGAACAGAGCCCTCAGAAATAATGCTGCATTATCTACAACTATCTGATCTTTGACAAACCTGAGAAAAACAAGCAATGGGGAAAGGATTCCCTATTTAATAAATGGTGCTGGGAAAACTGGCTAGCCATATGTAGAAAGCTGAAACTGGATCCCTTCCTTACACCTTATACAAAAATTAATTCAAGATGGATTAAAGACTTAAACGTTAGATCTAAAACCATAAAAACCCTAGAAGAAAACCTAGGCAATACCATTGAGGACATAGGCATGGGCAAGGACTTCATGTCTAAAACACCAAAAAAAATGGCAACAAAAGCCAAAATTGACAAATGGGATCTAATTAAACTAAAGAGCTTCTTCACAGCAAAAGAAACTACCATCAGAGTGAACAGGCAACCTACAAAATGGGAGAAAATTTTCACAACCTACTCATCTGGCAAAGAGCTAATATCCAGAATCTACAATGAACTCAAACAAATTTGCAAGAAAAAACAAACAACCCCATCAAAAAGTGGGCAAAGGATATGAACAGACACTTCTCAAAAGAAGACGTTTATGCAGCCAAAAAACACATGAAAAAATGCTCACCATCACTGGTCATCAGAGAAATGCAAATCAAAACCACAATGAGATACCATTTCACACCAATTAGAATGGCAATCATTAAAAAGTCAGGAAACAACAGGTGCTGGAGAGGATGTGGAGAAATAGGAACACTTTTACACTGTTGGTGGGACTGTAAACCAGTTCAACCATTGTGGAAGTCAGTGTGGTGATTCCTCAGGGATCTAGAAGTAGAAATACCATTTGACCCAGCCATCCCATTACTGGGTATATACCCAAAGGACTATAAATCATGCTGCTATAAAGACACATGCACACATATGTTTATTGCGGCACTATTCACAATAGCAAAGACTTGGAACCAAGCCAAATGTCCAACAATGATAGAGCGGATTAAGAAAATGTGGCACATATACACCATGATTTGCATTTGTTAAACCAACCTTGCATCCCAGGCATAAATTTACGTACTCATGATGTAAAATCTTCTTGGTATGTTGTTGATTGCATCTCTTCATCTGAGATACTGGCTTTTAGTTTTCTTGTAGTCTCTGTCTGGCTTTTATATCAGAATGTATAGTCAGGGTTCTCTAGAGGGACAGAACTAATAGATAGATGTATATATGAAGGGGAGTTTATTACGGAGTATTGACTCACACGATCACAAGGTGAAGCCCCACTATACACCATCTGCAAGCTAAGGAGCAAGGGAGGAAGCCAGTCCGAGTCCCAAAATCTCAAAAGTAGGGAAGCCGACAGAGCAGCCTTCAGTCTGTGGCCGAAGGCTTGAGTGCCCCTGGCAAACCACTGGTTTAAGTCCAAGAGTCCACAAGCCGAAGAACTTGGAGTCCAATGTTTGAGGACAGAAAGCATCCAGCATGGGAGAAAGATGAAGTCTGGAAGACTCAGCAAGTCTGCTCTTTCCACCTTCTTTTGCCTGCTTTATTCTAGCCACACTGGCAGCTGATTAGGTGGTGCCCACCCAGATTGAGAATGCGTCTGCCTCTCCCGGCTCACTGACTCTTGTTAGTCTCCTTTGGCAACACCCTCACAGACACACCCAGGAACAATACTTTGCATCCTTCCATCCAATCAAGTTGACATTCACTATTAACCATCACACAGAGTATAGAATGAGTTAGGGAGTGTTTCTTCCTCTTCACTTTTTTAGAAACATTTGAGAAGGATTGGTGATAGTTCTTCTTTAAATGTTTCATCTAGGTTACCCAGTTTGCTCATAGTTCTCTCATATAATCCTATAATCCTTTTAATTTCTTTAGAATTGGTAATAATGGCTCCACTTTCATTTCTGATTTTAGTAATTTAAGTCTTCTCTCCTTTTTCCTTAGTCTATTTAGCATTTCTGATTTTACTAATTTAAGTCTTCTCTCGTTTTTTCTTAGTCTGTTTAGCTAAAGATCTGGTAATTTTGTTGATCTTTTTGACAGAATCACCTCAATTTATTTATTTTTCTCTTTTTTCTATTCTCTATTTTGTTTATTTCTGCTTTAATCTTCATTATTTTCTTTTTTCTGCTAGTTTTAGGTTTAGTTTGTTCTTCTCTTTCTAGTTCCTTAAGTGTAATGTTAGATTGTTGATTTAAGACTTTTCTTGTTTTGTTTGTTTTTTTTTTGAGACAAAGTCTTGCTGCTCTGTTGCCCACGCCAGAGTGCAGTGGCATGATTCAGCTAACTGCAACCTCCGCCTCCCATATTCAAGTGCTTCTCCTGCTTCAGCCTCCTGAGTAGCTGGAATTTACAAGCGTGCACCACCATTCCTGGCTAATTTTTTGTAGTTTTAGTAGAGACCGGGTTTTACCACGTTGGCCAGGCTGGTCTCGAACTCCTGACTTCAAGTGATCTGCCCACCTTGGCCTCCCAAAGTGCTGGGATTACAGGTGTGAGACACTGTGCTTGGTCAGATTTTTCTTGTTTTTTAATGTTAGCACTCATAGCTATAAATTTTCCTCTTAGTACTCTTTTGCTGTGTCCCATACGTTTTGGTATGGCTTGTTCTTGTTTTTATTCATTTCCAACTATTTTCTAATTTTCCTTGCGATTTTTTTTGAAACATTGGTTATTTAATAGTGTATTGTACGATTTCTACAAATTTGTGAATTTTCTAGTTTTTCTTCCATTATTGGTTGCTAACCTCATCCTGTTATGATTGGGGAAGATACTTTGTATGATACCAATTTTTTAAAAATTTATTAACACTTAAATTATGGCCTAAAATATGGCCTGTCCTGGAAAATGTTCCATGTGCACTTTAGAGGAATGTGTAGTGTATTTTCTTGTAGTTGAGTATAGTGTTCCATATATGTTTTTTCAGTCCAGTTGGTTTATTCTATTGTTCAAGTCCTCTGTTTTATTTATCTTTTGTCTAGTTTTTCTATCTATTATTGAGAGGGGAGTATTGAAGGCTTTAACTATTATTGTAAAACTCTCCCTTTGGTTCATATGTTTTGATGGTCTGTTATTAGGTAAGTAAATATTTTAACTAATATGTTATGTTCTTTTGTCTTATGAACACTTAAAGTTGAAAATCTGTTTTGCCTCATATTAGTATTTACCTCTGTTCTGTTTTTGTTACTATTCGCATGGAATAGCCTTTTTCATTCTTTTACTTTTAACCTATTTGTGATTTTGAATCCAAAGTTAGTTTCTTGTAGATAACATATAGTTGGATCATGGTTTTATTTATTTTTTATGTATTCTACCAATTTCTATCTTTTGATTGGAGGGTTTAATTAAGCCACATTTAAAGTTATTACTGATAAGGATGGTCTTCCATCATTTTTTATTTGTTTTACATGTGCCTTATAGCTTTTTCTCCCTTATTTCCTATATAACTGTTTTCTTTGTGTTTATTTTTTAGTGCCACATTGAAATTCTTTGCTTATCCTCTATTGTGTATATTCTTGAGCTATTCTTTTGTCATTATGATGATTACATTTATTATCCTAAGTTGTAGCACTCTGAATTTATACAAGCTTAACTTCAGTAACATGCAGAAACTCTGCTTTTAAACAGTTCTGTCCTCACCCCTTTTAGTTGACAGCACCACAGAATTACATCTTTATATATTGTGTGTCCAAGATTATTAATAAATTATTTTTTTAAATGTGTTAGTTTCTTAAATTATGTAGAAAACAAAATGTGAGTTATAAAACTTAGTAATAATACTGGCTTTTAGACTAATTTTTTTAAAAAAGATATTAGTCTCTTAAATCTTACAATGTTATACCTTTTGATTATCTTTTTTACTTACACCTCTTGTATGCTCTATTTTGTGCTTTTTAATTTTTTAAAAAAGTTTGTTTTAAAAGTTAGGATAATTTCTCTTGTCCCATCTTCAAGTTCACTTATTCTTCTATTTTGCCCATTCTGCTGATAAGGCCATCAAAGGAATTCTTTTTAATATTGCAATTTTTATATCTAGTATTTTCATTCACTTTTTAAAAATGATTTTCACTTCTTAAATTCCCTACCTGTTCATACATATTATCCACCTTTTCCATTAGATCCTTTAAGTTATTAATCATAGTATTTTCTTAACTCCTCCTCTTATCTTTGGGTTTGATTCTGTTGACTGTTTTGTGTCCTCATGATACATTTGTTTTCCTGTTTGTTTTAGTTATTATTTGAATATTGGACATTCTGTATGACAGAATAGTAGATTCTGAGATAAATAATATTTATGCACAGAAATATTTACATGCCTTTTTCTGCTAGGCCATTAGTGTCAAGAGCTGAGTATTCTGTATTTTGATCTTGGTTTTGGTTTTTTGTTGCTCCAGTTCCTATCAATGTACCACAGGCTTCAAATTCATCTAGTCACAATTTATTGCCACCTTGCTTTTAGTGTGAGGCCTGGAGTGCTGGAAGGAGTTTTCTAGGTTTTCTTGTTCTACCCTCTAGTTTTCAACAGGCTCTGTAAGCCTGAGCCACAGAGGGCTTCTCTCTTGGTGTTGCTCCCCTATAGTAGATTGCCCTTGCTTTTTACTTAGAATAAGTCTTATGGTGGGAAGAAGGTTTTTCTTGCTTCTCCTTTTCCAACGTTAGTCATAGGAGGACCTGTGTGCCTGAGGATCAGGATGGTGCTTTCTTAGTGTTCCTACTTCTTTCCCAGAGGCCAACAATTTGTATCTGTTACTTCAGGGTACAGGTGGCTTTTCTGTCCCTCCCCAGACTCGCAACTGAAGTTTGTCTTGTTTTGTTGCAGGTGGGGAATCTTGGGCACAGGGCTGTTTCCTGCCTCTCCCCTAGACTTATGCTTTGCATCAGTGTAGGACCCTAGGTGTGAGTTGGTTTCCTGCCTTTCCTCAGTGGTTGGTTTCTCTTTCCTGTTTCAATGTAGGACTAGGAATGCGGGCAGTAGGTTTTCTACCCCTCCTCCATTGGCACCCAATCTTTGCTCCTCCGTAGCAGTGGAGGCTTGGATGTTTTTTTTTTTTAAAATAATTTATTTCCTCTTGCATTTAGTGCTTCATTATTGCTGATTTTATTGGGTCTGTTTCATGGAATATCCTCCTCATCTTTCTTTTTTAGTCTTCTATGGTGGTGGTACTTCTTAGAACATGAAGATTTAAATAAGGGTTAGAATTCCCTGTAAAGTAGGTTTAGCCTGATTGTCTATTTTTTCCCAGTAAGTTATTAAATTAAATAAACTTGGGCAACACTTTGTTTGGAGCCCTTTTTGTGTTTCTTTCTGCCTTTACCTCTATGGGTTGGAGTTTTAAATGTAGGATGTGTCCTTTAGATAAGGTATAACCTTAGTGTTCTTACTTTTCCCAAGTTTTTCATACTTAACATCTGATTTGAAGGGAGGGAGGAGCACTTTTTGTGTGTTTGTGTGTGTGTCTGTTGGTGGTGGTGGTGGTGGTAGGGCCTTCATCAAGCATTGAATATTTATAATACAATTAGTTCCAAGATCCTAGAAGTAGACTTTTGTCTTTGTCCATAAAGACTGTACATACATTTTATATCTACAACAGTTAAAAAGGCAAATTGTTACGATTACAAATAAACATGTATACACTTCAAGCAGTAAATCTTGGCCGTAACAGTTTCTTTTAGCCATCTGTGGCTAAATAGTGAAGGAATTTAGATAATTAGTAGTGATATCAGAATTGCTAAATAATTTGTTTTTTTTGGTCCAGGAACTATTTATCTACCAAAATAGAATGTGTAACTCATACTTCCCTTCTCTTCAGTCTTCTACCTTGACAAAGGGATTACATTCTATACAGAGGACTTTAGTTATTAGAGCCAGGATTAGCTCAAGCTTTCTCTTTGTTGATATATTGTGGCCTTATACTTAGATATGTGCCAAAGTAAATCCTAAATTGAGTTCTTGTATCAGAAGTTAACTTTCTTTTCTGGAATTATTATCTGAAGCTATCTGCTTTCTTATTGTTTTTCTTATTACTGTAGACCTAAAAATATATTTTTACCTAACTAAATTTTTAGAAACATTTAGAAAGGAACTGAAGAAGTTGCTTTGTGAAGTGACTTTTCAAAGAATGATTTGAGGTGCTGTTCATAAGGTATGAGGATAAGGTATCAGTTTTGTAAAGCTGTAATATTTTCACATTCATCCTAACAGTTGTCCATGTCGTTGCTAGAAGATTACATCTAATAAGCTCCAGTTATCCCTTTACAATGGTCTTTCCCCCAACCCAAAACTTCTAGCCTCTAGTGCTCTCTCCTTTCCTTTCCTTATTGTAACAAAATTTCCATTTTATATTCTGTTTTCCTACAAAGGGAACTAGTTTAATTTCTCTAGAGGCAAATAGAGAATACATCAATTATCTCAGCCATGTGTGGTAGCTCATGCCTATAATCCTAGCACTTTGGGAGGCTGAGTTGGAAGGATTGCTTGACACCAGGAGTTCAAGACCAGCCTGGTCAACATAGTGAGACTCTGTCTCAACAAAACAAAACAAAACAAAACAAAAGAAATCATCTCGTTTCCGTTTTCCAATATCTGCGTTGAAACTATGTGACATGGTGAAGTTAAGAGTAGTACAGTTTTTTTGTAGCTACACCTTATTTGTTTCTAAAATGTGGACACAGGCACTTTCAAGATAATTTTAATTATGTATTTTTGGGAGTGGATGACATAAGGTCTTGGGAGGCATTGGTCTCCCAAGAACTATATTTTTGTTCTTTTATAAAACTTTGATAAGGAATAAAACCAAAAGAATACTGCGTTGAGATTTTTAGGTGATTGTTACTGAGATCTTTTCACAATGAAGTTAGTTAAACTAGAGAAATAGATGAAGAATATTTGTGAATTTCTCATTCACAGGGTATCATTAGTAAATAATTATAACTCAAATTGTACTGGCAGTACTCTTCTGGTGTGCTCAAAACAATACATAAACATGTTTTATTCTGTGCCAGTGGGAGCAAGCAGTGGGAAAACTTAACTGCTAATTGAAATTCCCTAGATTATGGCCATAGTGGTTAGTTTAGGAAAGTCTAATTGATTGTCAATGTGAGACTCTCTTTTTAATAATCATCTAGCTTTCTAGTTAATATTTTACTACCTTCCACTCAAAGAAGAGTTATTCCCTTAATTGATACAAATCATGAGCATTTGTGACACAACTAGATTCATCCATTTCAAGTTATTAATCAAATATAACTACTGTCTTCTTTTTTCTTTTTGAAATGGAGTCTCTATTGCCCAAACTAGAGTGCAGTGGCGTGATCTCGGCTCACTGCAACCTCCGCTTCCTGGGTTCACGCAACTCTCCTGCTTCAACCTTCTGAGTAGCTGGAAAAACAGGCGCACACCACCATGCCTGTCTAATTTTTTGTATTTTTAGTAGAGACGGGGTTTCACCATGTTGGCCAGGCTGGTCTCGAACTCTGACCCCACGTGATCCACACGCCTCAGCCTCCCAAAGTGCTGGGATTACAGGCATGAGCCACCGCGCCTGGCCATAACTACTATTTTCACTAAGTATACAAGTGATTTATTTAATGTGAGCTGTTCATTTGTGAATGATTATGGAAATAAAAAAAAAAGACTTGTTGGCAAAGTGTTGAATAGATAACTTTATTGTTATTATTTTATTTCTTTCATGTACTCCAGCAGATAAAGATAATGTACCTTCTGAACCTACTCTTAAAATTCCCAAGAAATCAATTGACAGATTAGTTATAAGTAAGAAATTTAAAACTTGATTTTAAACATTTATAATTTATATCCGCATGATTTTTTGTAAATTTTGGTTTGGATTCTTAGAAGTTCATATCACATTTTAATGAATGTTTATGAGTAAATTTCTGTATTACTCAAATACTTGAATAGTGAAAAATAATTAAAAATTACAGAGTATTTAAGGTAGATATAAATTTGTCATATATATGGTTTCAGGCAAACTTTGATACCGGCCATGAAAATACTACATGATGAAATATTTAAGTAGTTTCATATAAGAGTTACGGTTTTATTAAAAGCACTGCTAGTTTATATTTATGTAAATATATGCATTATGTAAATACATAATTTATATATATCTTTAAATTTCTGTGTAAAATAATCATATGTAAAGCTGAGAAGTAAGAATGACTTCTCTAATATGATATTTCAGAATGCCTTTCTCAGTTTTATGGGAATATCTATTACTTTCATTCTATGACATGTTGTGACATTTTTATGATAAAATATCTTTATTTAAGGTGTGTATTCTTAAATTTTCCTTATGCATGATTTAAATGAAGCTGTTTGCTACCAAAATTCTGCAGAATGAAATTTTTTTCTTTTACTGATACATAATATTTTACATATTTATGGGGTACATGTGAATATTTTTACATGCATAGAATGTGTAATTATCAAGTCAGGATATTTGGGGTATCCGTCACCTTGAGTATTTATTATTTCTATGTGTTGGTAACCTTTCAAGTCCTCTCTTCTGGCTACTTAGAAATATATAACATATTGTTGCTAACTGTAGTCACCCTAGTCTCTTATTGAACATTAGAACTTATTTCTTCTATCTAACTGTAAGTTTATACTCATTCACTAACCTCTCTTTATTTTTCCTTTCCGCCCTCACACCCTTCCCAGCCTCTGCTATATTCTAGTGTCTATCTCCATGAGATCAAGTTTTTATGTGAGTGAGAACATGCAAAAGTTGTCTTTCTGTGTCTGATTTATTTTACTTAACCTGATGAACTCCAATTCCCTCCATGTTGCTGCAAATGACGTGGTTTAATTCCTTTGAATGGCTAAATAGTAATACATTGTGTGTGTGTGTGTGTGTGTGTGTGTGTGTGTGTGTGTGTGTGTGCGCGCGCCACATTTTTTTAATCCATTTGTCCATAGATGGATACTTAGATTGATTCTACAGTTTTTGCTATTGTGAATGGTGTTGTGATGAACATGTAAGTGCAAGGTGTCCTTGATATACTGATTTCTTTTCCTTTGGTTAGATACCCAGTAGTGGGATTGCTGGATCATATAGTTCTATTTTAATTTTTTGAGGAATCTCCATACTGGTTTCTGTAATGGTTATACCAATTTGCATTCCCACCAATAGAATCCTCTTTTCTCTGTATCCTTACCAGCATGTGTAATTTTTTGTCTTTTTAATAATAGCCCTGCTAACTGGGGTAAGATGCTATCTCATTGTGGTTTATATTTGCATTTCCCTGATGATTAGTGATGTTGAGCATTTTTTCATATACCTGTTGGCATTTGTATGTCTTCTTTTGAAAAAGTTTCTATTCATATTCTTTGCCTACTTTTTAATGAGATTACCTTTTTTTATTGTTGAATTGAGTTCTTTGTATATTCTAGATGTTAGGTCCTTGTAAGATGAATAGTTTGCAAATATTTTCTCCCAATCAACATCTTGTCTCCTCACTCTGTTGATTGTTTCCTTTGCTGTGCAGAAGTTTTTAGTTTAACATAGTTCCATTTGTCTATTTTTGTTTTACTTACCTATGCTTTTGAGGTCTTAGCCATAAAATCTTTGCCTAAACCAATGTCCTCAAGTGTTTCCCCTTTGTTTTTTTCTAGTAGTTTTATATCATCTGGTCATACATTTAAGTCTTTAATTCACCTTGAGTTGATTTTTGTATATGGTGAGAGATAGGAGTCCAGTTACATTATTCTGCATATGAATATCCAATTTTCCCAGCACCACTTATTAAAGAAGGAATTCTTTCCCCAGTGTACGTACTTGGTATCATTGTTGATTATTAATTGGCCGTAAACATGTGGCTTTATTTCCGGGTTCTCTATTATGTTCCACTGATCTTGTAGAATGAAATTTTTATCTTAATTTCATGTAGAGCTTGTCTTTATACTGCTTTGTGGTAGCTACAATGCTCTATCACAAAGCAATACAAAGATATAGATGCACGTACTTATTTCTGTCTTATGTTGACATAACTGGCATAAGTTCTGTACTATCAATCAGCAAACTTTAAAAATGATTTTTAACTGTGAAGGTTTAATGTCCTGAGTCACAAGACATGATAATATCTATTATTATATCATCAGTAGTGAAAATAATTGTAGTAGTTATGATGATATTGAATTAAGTCAGTTAATTAGAACCTGATGGTAATTAGAAGAAAATTTCTTGCTTGATCTCTATTAGCAGAGAATATCTAACTATTATTATATCATCAGTAGTGAAAATAATTGTAGTAGTTATGGTGGTATTGAATTAAGTCAGTTAATTAGAACCTGATGGTAATTAGAAGAAAATTTCTTGTTTGATCTCTATTAGCACTATTAATTTTGTTTTCTTGTGTGGCCATAGACTGCATTCATAAAAACCAACTTGCTGAGCAAAAGTAATTGATTATCACAAATCTATTACTCTTATTGGCAAAGCAATTAAAAAATCTATGACTCTTGAAGAAATAGAATAGGGTCCAGTTCACAAAAATACAGGTGTACCTCATTTTATTGCATTTCGTTTTATTACTTTTTGCAAATATTGCAAGTATATCAATGCTGTTTTTCCAACAGCATGTACTCACCTCATGTCTGTTTTTCACATTTGGTTAATTCTTACACTATTTCAGACTTTTGCATGATTTTATCTGTGTGGTGATTTGTGATTAGTGATCTTTTGCTGTTACTATTATTATTGTTTTGGTTGCCACAAACTGTACCCGTATAAGAAGGTGAAGTTAATAAATGTGTGTGTTCTGACTGTTCTTCTGACTGGCTGTTTCCCCATCTCTCTCTCTCTCTCTCTCTCTCTCTCTCTCTCTTACCTTGGACTTCCCTATTCCCTGAGATGCAGCAATATTGAAATTAGGCCAATTAATAACCCTGCAGAGGGTTCTGTGTGTTCAAGTGAGAGGAAGGGTCACATGTCTCTCACTTTCAATGAAAAGATAGAAGTGATTAAGCTTAGTGAGCAAGATATGTCAAAAACCAAAATAGGCAAAAGCTAGACCTCTTGTGCCAAACAGCCAAGTTGTGAATGCAGAGGAAAAGTTCTTAAAGGAAATTAAAAGTGTTGCTCCAATGAACACATGAATGTTAAGAAAGCAAAACAGCCTGATTGCTGCTATGGAGAAAGTTTTAGTGGTCTGGATAGATCGAAGAAGCAAGAACAATCCCTTAAACCAAAGCCTAACTTTCTTTAATCCTATGAAGGCTGAGAAAGGTGAGGAAGCTACAGAAGAAAATTCTAAAGCTAACAAAGGTTGGTTCATGAAATGTAAGGAAGGATGCCATTTCCGTAACGTAAAGTGCAAGGTGAAGCAGCAAGGGCTGATGTGGAAGCTTCAGCAAGATCTACCAAGATATTGATGAAGGTGGCTACTCTGAACACAGATTTTTCAATGTAGATGAAACATCCGTCTATTGGAAGGAGATGCCATCTAGGATTTTCATAGCCAGAAAGAAGTCAGCCACTTATGGTAGCTCACACCTCTCATTCCAGGATTTTGGGAGGCTGAGGCAGGCAGATAGCTTGAGCCCAAGAGTTCGAGAGCAGCCTGGGCAACATGGCAAAAAATACAAAAATTAGCTAGGCATGGTGATGGGAGGTAGCTACTCAGGAGGCTGAGGTGGGAGAATCACCTGAGCCTGGGGAGGTTGAGGCTGCAGTGAGCCATGATCATGTCACTGTACTCCAGCCTGGGTGACCCTGAGCTGGAGTGTAGTGATGTGATACAGTGAGAGCCTGTCTCAAAAAAAAAAAAAAAAAAAAAAAAAAAAAAGTCAATGCCTGTTTCCAGAGCTTCAAAAGCAAGTCTGACTCTCTTTTTAGGAGCAAATGCAGCTGGTGACTTTAAATTGAAGCCGATATTTATTTGCCATTTTGAAAATTGTAGGGCCCCTAAAAAGTATGCTAAATCTACTCTGCCTGTGCTTTATAAATGGAATGAAAAAGCCAGGATGACAGTGTGTCTGTTTACAGCATGGTTTGCTGAATATTTGAAGCCCACTCTTGAGACTTACTGCTTCGGAAAAAAGAGATTTCTTTCAAAATACTGCTACTCATTGACATTACATCTGGTCACCTAAGACTTCTGATGGATATGTGCAAGGAAATGGATATTGTTTTCATGACTGCTAGCACAACATCCATTCTAAAGCCCATGGATCAAGGAGTAATTTTGACTTTTCAGTCTTGTTATTTAAATAATATGTTTCATAGTGCTATAGCTGCCATAGATAGTGATTCCTCTGATGGATCTGGATGAAACAAATTGAAAACCTTCTGGAAACAATTCATTACTCTAGAAGCCATTAGGAATATTTGTGCATTAGGAATATTTGTGATCCATGGGAGGAGGTCAGAATATCAGCATTATCAGGAATTTGAAAGAAGTTAATTCCAACCCCATGTTTGAGATTTTGTTGGAAGAAGTAACCGCAAATGGGGTGAAAATAGCAAGAAAACTAGAATTAGCCGTGGAGACTGAAGATATGACTGAATTACTACAGTCTTATAATAAAACTTGAACAAATGAGAAACTGACTCTCAGGGATGAGTAAAGAAAGTGGTTTCTTGAGATGGAATCTGCTCCTGGTGAAGATGCTGTGAACATTGTTGAAATGACAACAAAAGATTTAGAATATTATATAAACTGAGCTGATAAAGCAGTGATAGGGTTTGAGAGGATTGCCTCTAATTTTTAAAGAAGTTCTGCTGTAAGTAAAATGCTATTAAACAGCATTATGTGCTACAGAGAAATCTTTTGTGAAAGGAAGAGTCAATCAACGCAGCAAACTTTATTATTGTCTTATTTTAAGAAATTGCTATGACCTCCCCAGTCTTCAGCAACCACCATTGTGATCAGTAAAGCAGATATCAACATCCAGGCAAGAGCTTTCATCAGCAAAAAGATTAGGACTAGCCGATGGCCCAGAGGATCATTATCATTTTTCATTAATACATAATCTATTTATTTGGGATTTTAACTACATTTGCAAAATCATTTTTTATATATAATATAATCACAGCAATGAAGACTGTCAAATTGATGGTCCTATTTATACCCAAGGACTGAGAATTATGCAAGGAATGGATACAACGGGGTAGAATATTGAGGGCCATGTCTAAATTCTGCCTACTACAAGCGAGATAGGTTTTCTCTTGCTACTTATCTTTCTCAAAATATTCTAAGCATTTTTATACATTTATACTTTGAAGTAAACTTTGTTGGCAAAAGCAACAAAGCACTCCATAATTGTTTCAAAATTTGTGTACATTTGAAAATTTTTATAAAATACTGTGAATCAAGTAATGAAACATCAAAAGCCACCAACAACTTAGCTAATAAGATACATCCATCCCCCTATATAGTAATCAAACACCAATCCTTTTGGGATTGTACCTGGAATTTAAACTTACAATCTGATCAGAGAAGAATGGGCATTTAAAATATACTTAGTTTTTATATATATCACACATTTCTTGGAAATTAATTTTCATTATATTCTACTTTTGATGCTGTTGTGATAAAGTTTTCATCATGCTTTCTAACTGGTTCTTGCTGTTATATATGAAAACTATTAAATGTAATTTTCTACATAATATTTTACTGAATTCTAATAGTTTCTATACCTAGTTCTATTAGGTGAATATCTGGGTTTTTATCTAGGAGTCAGTCAGCTGAAAAAAAATTTTTTTTCTTTTCAATGCTATATTTGTGACTTTAGGTTTATATTTTATTGTATTTTGGCTAGAACTTGTAGAACTTTTAGACCAAGTATAATTCTAATAACTGTAGTTTCTTTCTGTTTTTTTTTCTGGTGAATGCCTCAAGTGTTTCATCATTAAGTATTATATTCGCTGTTTAAGTGTTTTTTTGTATCACATATATGTATTTTCTAAATCACAATGAAGGAATTGCATCATGAATATATATTAAATCTTCGTCTTCACATTTAATTTTATTGAATGCTTTTATGCATCTATTGATGTAGTTTTTGAACCTAATGGTGTATAATATTATTAAAAATTTTTTCAATAGCAAGTACTTCCTATATTCCTAGATAGCTACCTACCTAAAATAGCGTTTGGGAAAGGTAGAATTTCAGCTGAAAACTTCAAGTTCAGGAAATTTGTTTTAAATGGATTAGTTTACGTTCTACCAGTGAAAAATAATTGAGGCAATCTATAATACTTTAAAAATCTTAACACTTAAGAAATTTAAATTTAATCAGCTATATGAAAGCATAATTCACATACAATAAAATACCTATTTTATTGTATATTCCAATGAGTTTTGACAAACACATCCAGTTTGTAACCACCAGCACAGCCACGATATAGAATATTTGTATAATCTGCTTTCACTGTGATTGTGCTTTTTTCTGGAAATCACTTAGAATTTTTACATATGAAAGTGTTACTTATATTCCAAAATTTCCATGAGAGAATGTGGCATTCTGTATACTGCTTTTTGGTCATAGTCTTTACCTTCGTCTTTACCTTATAATATTGACTTATTATATATGGATTGTGTAAGAATGGTGAAAACGTAGTTGTTTCATTTAAGTTTTGTTTTGTTTTTGATGCTACCCATGTAAGTTTTTTTTTTTTTTTTTTTTTCTTTTTGATGGAGTTTCTCTCTGTCGCCTGGCTGGAGTGCAGTGGCACAATCTTGGCCTACTGCAACTTCTGCCTCCCACGTTCAAGCAATTCTCCTGCCTCAGCCTCCCGAGTAGCGGGGACTGCAGGCACCCGCCACCACATCTGACTGATTTTTGTATTTTTTAGTAGAGATGGGGTTTCACCATATTGGCCAGGCTGGTCTTGAACTCCTGACCTTGTGATCCACCCGCCTTGGCCTCCCAAAGTGCTGGGATTACAGGCGTGGGCCACTGTGCCCGACCTTAAGTTTATATGTTAGTTTTACAGAAAGTCTTGGGGCATCAGAAAATCAAAGAATGTGGAAAAATACAAAAATCACAAAAAAACTGCAATATGCATGTGTATATAACATATAATTTATACTATACTTGGTGGTAATTATGAAAATATTACTAAATTAATTTTTTTTTCTGGTTATGACAGCAAAATGTCTTTAGTATTTGTTTTTTTGTTTGTTTGTTTTTGGGGGCATTTAAATTAGAAATGAACTCACATATCTAACATGAATCTTTGTGCTTAAAATTCTAACCTGGCTCTAGTCTTGCAAGTTTTAAATCTTTTTTATGCAGTTATGGAAAAAATATGTTTCTGCTTGAAGCAGTTGTCAAACAATCTTCTTTCATCAACAGTCAGACACAGGGCAGCTGAATGAGGCTGTTTAGTCTAGAGTGAATGCTCATGAGATTACAAGGTCACTGAGGAAATATAATTGTGTAGTTGGTTCCAGAATAGTTTTTTGTAGTGAGGACTTAAATTATAACATCAATTTAAAAATATATAAAATGAGATATATTCTAAAATTAATCTCAGAAAGAAAGCACTAAGTTAAAAAAAGTAAATTATTACAATAAAATGTTTTAATTTATATTTTTACAGGACCCTTAAAAAAGCAGATTCAATTTATTATTGGACTTTGTTTACTTCTCCCGTATCGTGGTAGAATTCAGTAGATCCCGTGGATCTTATTTAAAATTGTCTCCATTGGGAAATGAAACCTCATTGTATAGCTCAGGTTAACTGAGAAAACAATAGATTGTTCAGCAGTTCCTTTTTTTTTTTTTTTTTGGACGGAGTCTCGCTCTGTTGCCCAGGCTGGAGTGCAGTGGCATGATCTTGGCTCACTGTTCAGCAGTTCTTTTACTTTTGTTATTCATTTGGTTGTCGGTTAGCAAATAGTTATGAAGTGCCTACTGTGTGCCAGTTACTGTTCTGGGTGCTGAGAAAACAGTAGTGAGCCAAACAGAGGAGTAAATGTCTACTATCATGAAGCTTAAATTCTCCTGTAATAAAACCAACAATAACAGTACATTATTGAATCTGTTAAGATGCTGTTAGATGTTTCTATGAAAGATCTAACATTTGAGATGAAACTTAAAATTCAACTGTAATAAAACCAACAATAACAGTACATTATTGAATATGTTAGATGCTGTTAGATATTTCTAATATTAGAAACACCTGTTAGATATAGCAGATAAACCAGGGTTTTCCAGAGAAAGAATCAATAGGACATTTAGAGATACATAAGAGGATGTTCATGTTTGGAATTGGCTCACATGATTATAGAGGCTGAGAAGTCCCATGATATGCTATCAGCAACCAGGAGAACCAGGGAAGTTCATAGTATAACTCACGCTGAATCCAAAGGCCTGAGAATTAAGGGAGCCAGTGATGTGACTCTCAGTTTGAGGTTGAAGGCCTGAGAATGGAGACTTAGCGGGGGTGGAGGTGAAAGTCATGGAGTATGAAGGCCCAAGAACCTTGAGTTATGATGTCCAAGGACAGAGTAAATGTCCCAGCTCCAGAAGAAAGAGTGAATTTACACTTCCTTCGTTTTTTTGCTGTGTTCAGGCCCTCAGCTGGATTGGATGACATCCATCCACATTGGTGAGGGTGTATATTTTGTACTAAGACTTTTGATTCAAATGCCAATCTTTTCTGGAAACACCTTCACAGACGCACCCAGAAATAATGTTTTACCAGCCATCAGGAGATCCTTTAGCCCAGTCAAGTTGACACATAAAATTCCATATGATAATTAGTACTTTGAAGACAAATAAAGGATAAAAGGATGGATAGTGATTGGAGTAGTGTGCTATTTTTGGTGATTGAAATCTTTTGTAAGATGGTATTTTAGCAAATACCTGAATTAGCAAAGAAATGAGTCATTTGATATCCTTGGGAGAGTCAGCAGGAACTGTAAATGCACCAGTGGGAATATGAATAAGGAAGAGGAAGGAGTGCAGAATGTCTGGAGCAGGAGTAAATATAGGGAATGGTAGGAGAATAGGTTCAGAGAGGTAGCAGGTTTTTATGTAAGGGGGCAGGCTAGACCTAGTTGATGATACAGGTCTTTATAGACCATGGTCAAGACTTGGGTTTTTACTTTGAAGGAGATGCGAAGTCATAGGAGAATTTTGAACAGAAGTTGCCATAATATTACTTTCATCTAGAAAGGTCTGTCATCAGAGAGTAGATGGTGGGCAATGGTGGCAAGGGGCAGCGTGAATGCAAGAAAATTTGCAGTAGTCCTGCTAAGATGGTAGTGGCTTGTCCCAGCATGGTAGCAGTATAGTTCATAAGAAAGTGGTCAGATTATGGATATAATTTTGATAGCAGGGGCAAAATAATTTTTGATGGATTGGTTAAGGGGGGTATGAAAAAGAGAAGATTACTTCCAAGGTTTTTATCTGAGCAAATGGTTGCTCCTAGGGTTTTATCTGAACAACAAAGCTGCAAGCAATAAGGGGTTGTGTTGTTTATAGAGATTTTTTAAAATAATAAAACTGAATAAAAGTCTTTTTAAAATGAACATGTACTGACAGTTCTAAACAATGTTGGTTTTCAAATACTCGTTTCTGAAAAAATCTTTTGTTGGTCCAAGTTCTCAAAAATCACTGTAATTACTTTTAAATCTAATAGTATATATGTAAGCTATTAACATCTTTATTTCTCGTTCTTTAATAACATTTTATGTATGCAGAAATTAGTTCAGAGAACTTTGAGTTTTACAATCATCCCCAAGCTCCACCTTTCCACCCCCCAACCCCAATAGCCACAAACTTAGCTATATTTAGCCTCACTCAAGAGTAAATTTATATGGTTTTGGAATTTTTCAAGCTCCTTTCTAACAAAATTTCTATTTTTAACTCCCCTATGGTACTACATATTGCTGAGTTAGTACATTTGAAGTAAACAGTGTTAGCTCAGTGATTATAAAGATGAAGAAACAGCTGGACACGGTGGTTCACACCTGTAATCCCAACACCCTCGAGGCAGGTGGATCATGAGGTCCAGAGTTCGAGACCAGCCTGGCCAACATAGTGAAACCTCGTTTCTACTAAAAATACAAAAATTAGCCGGGTGTGGTGGCACGCGCCTGTAGTCCCAGCTACTCAGGAGGCTGAGGCAGGAGAATCGCTTGAACCTGGGAAGCAGAGGTTGCAGTGAGCTGAGACCATGCCATTGCACTCCAGCCTGTGTGACAGAGCAAGACTCTGTCTCACCAAAAAAAAAAAAAAAAAAAAGATGAAGAAACAGAACTTAGGTTCTGAGAAGTTTTATTTGTGTTTAAAGTTTTCAATTGTGGGGACATTTGAAAGTTCCTAGAATCAGGCCTAAGCGGGCAGATCACCTGAGGTCGGGAGTTCAAGACCAGCCTGACCAGCATGGAAAAACCCTGTCTCTATTAAAAAAATACAAAATTAGCAGGGCATGGTGGTGTATGCCTGTAATCCCAGCTACTCACGGGGCTGAGGCAGGAGAATTGCTTGAACCCAGGAGGCAGAGGTTGTGGTGAGCCAAGATTGTGCCATTGCACTCCAGCCTGGACAACAAGAGCGAAACTGTGTCTCAAAAAAAAAAAAAAAAAAAAAAAGTTGCTAGAATCAATTTTAATGAAACAAAGATTGCAACAGTATTGCACTTTCTAGAATTAATTGTGAAATAAAATTTTTTATATTCTGCCAAACTCATCCTTATCACTAAGATATTTCCTAGTTATCTGAATATCTGTTTCTTCAGATAAGAAACTTTTGTAATTAAAATTAACAAAAAGTATTCTCCAGGTGACTATGAGCAGAGATAAATTGATGAATCTAACTATAACATCTATTGAACATAACTATGTAAAAACAACCAATTTTAATGCACTCATTGACAAATCTGCAGAAGTCAAAGCTCAAAACAAATTATAATGTGATAGTCCATTTTGTGCTTATAAATTGTGCCATTTTTAAAAAATTAATAGATATTTTAGTTTGTTACTTATTTCTTTCATGATATAAAGATTATTTTACGTTTAAATTTTTTTATTGGAATAATTATGTGTACAAAGTGCTATAAAAGGAAAGCCTCACTGTGTGCTTTTTCTGGATTGTTATTTTTTTCTTTATTTTTTATTTTTATTATACTTTAAGTTTTACGGTATATGTGTACAACGTGCAGGTTTGTTACATATGTATACATGTGCCATGTTGGTGTGCTGCACCCATTAACTCGTCATTTAACATTAGGTATATCTTCTAATGCTATCCCTCCCCCAACCCCCCGACCCCACAACAGGCCCCGGTGTGTGATGTTCCCCTTCCTGTGTCCATGTGTTCTCATTGTTCAATTCCCACCTATGAGTGAGAACATGCGGTGTTTGGTTTTTTGTCCTTGCGATAGTTTGCTGAGAATGATGGTTTCCAGCTTCATCCATGTCCCTATAAAGGACACGAACTCATCACTTTTTATGGCTGCATAGTATTCCATGGTGTATATGTGCCACATTTTCTTAATCCAGTCTATCATTGTTGGACATTTGGCTTAGTTCCAAGTCTTTGCTATTGTGAATAGTGCCGCAGTAAACATACATGAGCATGTGTCTTTATAGCAGCATGATTTATAATTCTTTGGGTATATACCCAGTAATGGGATGGCTGGGTCAAATGGTATTTCTAGTTCTAGATCCCTGAGGAATCGCCATACCGACTTCCACAATGGTTGAACTGGTTTACAGTCCCACCAACAGTGTAAAAGTGTTCCTATTTCTCCATATCCTCTCCAGCACCTGTTGTTTCCTGACTTTTTAATGATTGCCATTCTAACTGGTGTGAGATGGTATCTCATTGTGGTTTTGATTTGCATTTCTCTGATGGCCAGTGATGATTAGAATTTTTTCATGTGTCTGTTGGCTGCATAAATCTCTTCTTTTGAGAAGTGTGTGTTCATATCCTTCACCCACTTTTTGATGGGGTTTTTTGTTTTTTTCTTGTAAATTTGTTTGAGTTCATTGTAGATTCTGGATATTAGCCCTTTGTCAGATGAGTAGGTTGCAAAAATTTTCTCCCATTCTGTAGGTTGCCTGTTCACTCTGATGGTGGTTTCTTTTGCTGTGCAGAAACTCTTTAGTTTAATTAGATCCCATTTGTCAATTTTGGCTTTTGTTGCCATTTTTTTTGGTGTTTTAAACATGAAGTCCTTGCCCATGCCTATGTCCTGAATGGTATTGCCTAGGTTTTCTTCTAGGGTTTTTATGGTTTTAGATCTAACATATAAGTCTTTAATCCATTTTGAATTACTTTTTGTATAAGGTGTAAGGAAGGGCTCCAGTTTCAGCTTTCTACATATGGTTAGCCAGTTTTCCCAGCACCATTTATTAAATAGGGAATCCTTTCCCCATTGCTTGTTTTTCTCAGGTTTGTCAAAGATCAGATAGTTGTAGATATGTGGCATTATTTCTGAGGGCTCTGTTCTGTTCCATTGGTCTATATGTCTGTTTTGGTACCAGTACCATGCTGTTTTGGTTACTGTAGCCTTGTAATATAGTTTGAAGTCAGGCAGCGTGATGCCTCCAGCTTTGTTCTTTTGGCTTAGGATTGACTTGGCGATGCGGGCTCTTTTTTGGTTCCATATGAACTTTAAAGTAGTTTTTTCCAATTCTGTGAAGAAAGTCATTGGTAGCTTGATGGGGATGGCATTGAATCTATAAATTACCTTGGGCAGTATGGCCATTTTCACGATATTGATTCTTCCTACCCATGAGCATGGAATGTTCTTCCATTTGTTTGTATCCTCTTTTATTTCACTGAGCAGTGGTTTGTAGTTCTCCTTGAAGAAGTCCTTCACATCCCTTGTAAGTTGGATTCCTAGGTATTTTATTCTCTTTGAAGCAATTATGAATGGGAGTTCACTCATGATTTGGCTCTCTGTTTGTCTGTGACTGGTGTATAAGAATGCTTGTGATTTTTGTACACTGATTTTTTATCCTGAGAGTTTGCTGAAGTTGCTTATCAGCTTAAGGAGATTTTGGGCCGAGATGATGGGGTTTTCTAGATATACAATCATGTCATCTGCAAACAGGGACAATTTGACTTCCTCTTTTCCTAATTGAATGCCTTTTATTTCCTTCTCCTGCCTGATTGCCCTGGCCAGAACTTCCAACACTATGTTGAATAGGAGTGGTGAGAGAGGGCATCCCTGTCTTGTGCCAGTTTTCAAAGGGAATGCTTCCAGTTTTTGTCCATTCAGTATGATATTGGCTGTGGGTTTGTCATAGATAGCTCTTATTATTTTGAGATATGTCCCATCAATACCTAATTTATTGAGAGTTTTTAAGCATGAAGCATTGTCGAATTTTGTCAAAAGCCTTTTCTGCATCTATTGAGATAATCATGTTTTTTTGTCGTTGGTTCTGTTAATATGCTGGATTATGATTATTGATTTGTGTATGTTGAACCAGCCTTGCATCCCAGGGATGAAGTCCACTTGATCATGGTGGATAAACTTTTTGATGTGCTGCTGGATTTGGTTTGCCAGTATTTTATTGAGGATTTTTGCATCAATGTTCTCAAGGATATTGGTCTAAAATTCTCTTTTTTGGTTGTGTCTCTGCCCGGCTTTGGTACCAGGATGATGCTGGCCTCATACAATGCATTAGGGAGGATTCCCTCTTTTTCTATTGATTGGAATAGTTTCAGAAGGAATGGTACCAGCTCCTCCTTGTACCTCTGGTAAAATTCGGCTGTGAAACCATCTGGTCCTGGACTTTTTTTGATTGGTAAACTCTTAATTATTGTCTCTATTTCTGAGCCTGTTATTGGTCTATTCAGAGATTCAACTTCTTCCTGGTTTAGTCTTGGGAGGGTGTGTGTGTCGAGGAATTTATCCATTTCTTCTAGATTTTCTAGTTTATTTGTGTAGAGGTGTTTATAGTATTCTCTGATGGTAGTTTGTATTTCTGTGGGATCGGTGGTGATATCCCCTTTGTCATTTTTTATTGCGTCTATTTGATTCTTCTCTCTTTTCTTCTTTATTAGTCTTGCTAGCAGTCTATCAATTTTGTTGATCTTTTCAAAAAACCAGCTCCTGGATTCATTGATTTTTTTAAGGGTTTTTTGTGTCTCTATTTCCGTCAGTTCTGCTCTGACTTAGTTATGTCTTGCCTTCTGCTAGCTTTTGAATGTGTTTGCTCTTGCTTCTCTAGTTCTTTTAATTCTGTTGTTAGGGTGTCAATTTTAGATCTTTCCTCCTTTCTCTTGTGGGCACTTAGTGCTATAAAGTTCCCTCTACACACTGCTTTGAATGTGTCCCAGAGATTCTGGTATGTTGTGTCTTTGTTCTCGTTGGTTTCAAAGAACATCTTTATTTCTGCCTTCATTTCATTGTGTACCCAGTAGTTCAGGAGCAGGTTGTTCAGTTTCCATGTAGTTGAGTGGTTTTGAGTGAGTTTCTTAATCCTGAGTTCTAGTTTGACTGCACTGTGGTCTGAGAGACAGTTTGTTATAATTTTTGTTCTTTTACATTTGCTGAGGAGTGTTTTACTTCCAACTATGTGGTCAGTTTTGGAATAGGTGTGGTGTGGTGCTGAAAAGAATGTATATTCTGGTGATTTGGGGTGGAGAGTTCTGTAGATGTGTATTAGGTCCGCTTGGTGCAGAGCTGAGTTCAATTCCTGGATATCCTTGTTAACTTTCTGTCTCGTTGATCTGTCTAATGTTGACAGTGGGGTGTTAAAGTCTCCCATTATTATTGTGTGGGAGTCTAAGTCTCTTTCTAGGTCTCTAAGGACTTGCTTTATGAATCTGGGTGCTCCTGTATTGGGTGCATATATATTTAGGATAGTTAGCTCTTCTTGTTGAATTGATCCCTTTACCATTATGTAATGGCCTTCTTTGTCTCTCTTGATCTTTGTTGGTTTAAAGTCTGTTTTATCAGAGACTAGGATTGCAACCCCTGCCTTTTTTTGTTTTCCGTTTGCTTGGTAGATCTTCCTCCATCCCTTTATTTTGAGCCTATGTGTGTCTGTGCACATGAGATGGGTTTCCTGAATACAGCACACTGATGGGTCTTGACTCTTTATCCAGTTTGCCAGTGTGTGTCTTTTAATTGGAGCATTTAGCCCATTTACATTTAAGGTTAATATTGTTATGTGTGAATTTGATCCTGTCATTATGATGTTAGCTGGTTATTTTGCTCGTTAGTTGATGCAGTTTCTTCCTAGCCTTGATAGTCTTTACAAATTGGCATGTTTTTGCAGTGGCTGGCACCGGTTGTTCCTTTCCATGTTTAGTGCTTCCTTCAGGAGCTTTTGTAGGGCAGGCCTGGTGGTGACAAAATCTCTCAGCATTTGCTTGTCTATAAAGGATTTTATTTCTCCTTCACTTATGAAGCTTAGTTTGGCTGGATATTAAATTCTGGGTTGAAAATTCTTTTCTTTAAGAATGTTGAATATTGGCCCCCACTGTCTTCTGGCTTGTAGAGTTTCTGCCAAGAGATCAGCTGTTAGTTAGTCTGATGGGCTTCCCTTTTTGGGTAACCTGACCTTTCTCTCTGGCTGCCCTTAACACTTTTTCCTTCATTTCAACTTTGGTGAATCTGACAGTTATGTGTCTTGGAGTTGCTCTTCTCGAGGAGTATCTTAGTGGCGTTCTCTGTATTTCCTGAATTTGAATGTTGGCCTGCCTTGCTAGATTGGGGAAGTTCTCCTGGATAATATCCTGCAGAGTGTTTTCCAGCTTGGTTCCATTCTCCCCGTCACTTTCAGGTACACCAATTAGATGTACATTTGGTCTTTTCACATAGTCACATATTTCTTGGAGGCTTTGTTTGTTTCTTTTTATTCTTTTTTCTCTAAACTTCTCTTCACGCTTCATTTCATTCATTTCATCTTCCACCGCTGATACCCTTTCTTCCAGTTGATCGCATCAGTTACTGAGGCTTGTGCATTCATCACGTAGTTCTTTTGCCTTGGTTTTCAGCTCCATTAGTTCCTTTAAGGACTTCTCTGCATTGGTTATTCTAGTTGTCCATTCGTCTAATTTTTTTTTCAAAGTTTTTAACTTCTTTGCAATTGGTTTGAACTTCCTCCTTTAGCTCGGAGTAGTTTGATCTTCTGAAGCCTTCCTCTCTCAACTCGTCAAAGTCATGCTCCATCCAGCTTTGTTCCGTTGCTGGTGAGGAGCTGCATTCCTTTGGAGGAGGAGAGGCGCTCTGATTTTTAGAGTTTCCAGTTTTTCTGCTCTGTGTTTTCCCCATCTTTGTGGTTTTATCTACCTTGGGTCTTTGATGATGGTGGCGTCCAGATGGGTTTTTGGTGTGGATGGCCTTTCTGTTTTTTAGTTTTCCTTCTAACAGTCAGGACCCTCAGCTGCAGGTCTGTTGGAGTTTACTGGAGGTCCACTCCAGACCCGGTTTGCCTGGGTATCAGCAGGGGAGGCTGCAGAACAGTGGATATTGGTGAACCGCAAATGCTGCTGCCTGATCATTCCTCTGGAAGTTTTGTCTCAGAGGAGTACCCAGCCGTGTGAGGTGTCAGTCTGCCCCTACTGGGGGGTACCTCCTAGTTAGGCTACTCTGGGGTCAGGGACCCTCTTGAGGAGGCAGTCTGTCGGTGTTCAGATCTCCAGCTGCGTGCTGGAAGAACCACTACTCTCTTCAAAGCTGTCAGACAGGGACATTTAAGACTGCAGAGGTTATTGCTCTTTTGTTTGTCTGTGCCCTGCCCCCAGAGGTAGAGCCTACAGAGGCAGTCTGGCCTCCTTGAGCTGTGGTGGGCTCCACGCAGTTCGAGCTTCCTGGCTGCTTTGTTTACCTACTCAAGCCTGAGCAATGGCAGGTGCCCCTCCCCCAGCCTCGCTGCCGCCTTGCAGTTTGATCTCAGACTGCTGTGCTAGCAATGAGCTAGGCTCTGTGGGCGTAGGACCCTCCGAGCCTGGTGCAGGATATAATCTCCTGGTGTGCCGTTTGTTAAGCCTGTTGGAAGAGCGCAGTATTAGGGTGGGAGTGACCCAATTTTCCAGGTGCCGTCTGTCACCCCTTTCTTTGACTAGGAAAGGGAATTCCCTGACCCCTTGCGCTTCCCGGGTGAGGCGATGCCTTGCCCTGCTTCGGCTCAAGCACGGTGTACTGCACCCACTGTCCTGCACCCACTGTCCGGCACTTCCCTGTGAGATGAACCCGGTAGCTCAGTTGGAAATGCAGAAATCACCTGTCTTCTGCATTGCTCACGCTGGGAGCTGTAGACTGGAGCTGTTCCTATTCGGCCATCTTGGCTCCCCAGCTTTGAATGGTGTGTCTGGATTGTTATTTTTAATTTCATGGTTATTACAGAAAATAATTTAGTTGTGTAGAGGCACAGATATGGTAAAAAAAAAAATCTGTTCTGGCTGTCTAATATGCTATGTATGCAGCTGCCTAATAGAGTCCACTCTGGGGATGGACTTCTGTGTTGTAGGTAGCTTCTGTGTTGACCAAATTATCTTAATTTAGTCATAAAAAATTCTACATCCTATTTGGTTACATTATTTTAAGTAGGCTATAGAGCCTTAGGGAGATTTAAAAAAGATATCCACAAACTTAAGTAGTGGTCAAGATAGGTCCTATATAGAAGGTTAAAAGAAGTGCGATTATTGAAGCTAGAATCAAATGGCTATACTTTGGGAGAGCAGAGTGAACATGGGTAGCAAATCAAATTTTAGTTTATGAGGGATTTTTGAAGGGAATAATGTTTTTGGAAGGAAAATTACCAATAAGATGGCAAAATGTGGACTAGATGACCAGCCAGCGTTGGCTGATTATTCTGAAATATTTCAAGGTGAGAGAAGATGCTGATTGATTCTATGTAGGTTTGTTTTTTATTTGACCGAGAGCAAGGTGCTATTTCAGGTAATTTTTAATGCAGATTGCTGTTCCTGGATTCTGCTTGTCTCAGTGTAACTTTTTTTACTCTGCCCAGCTTCTAAATCTTAGCTTTTTGTTCTACTATTTACCTCTGTATTTCTAAATAACATCATCATACTGCAGTTCCTTGGTTTCCAATTTTATAGCTGTCTCTTGACTTCCTAGTATGAGAAATGAAGATTTAGCCATCTAAAACCTCTTCTCTACCCTTATTTCACTTGCCCTATTATCTCTTAATGCAATTATATTACGTTTTGAAAATTGAGTCATCTTCCCTATATTCATGGTGAATATGAAAATCTTATTTTCAGCTGAGCCACATATTTTAAACTTATTGTGTTTCTTAGATTTCCCATAATGATTGCCATGTTTTTGGTGTCTCTTCACATTTTTCCTTTGGCTTTAATCAGCACCTTGTTCACCTCATCAAACCCTAAAATCTACCCTATCTAGGGCTACGGAATATGAAAAGAAAATAGAATCTCACCATTTGTTGCCTCTTGCTTTGTTTCAGCCTCCTTACCCAATGTAGGTGTTACTTCCTGGTAGTTTTATTAATAGCTTAGTCTCTCCTGTCCTTGTGTTTGAAGGCATGCAGTGTAGCTGCTTTGCTAATTTGTGATGGGTTTAGCATCAGATTTTTTGGAATTGGTACTTTTAAAATGTTTTAAAAATATCCTGCCAAAGAATGGTTAGCTGTCTTTAGATTTAAGTGAAATTCAGTCAACTTTCATATCTCATGCCTTGAATTTTACCTCAAACTTAACTTAAAAAGAAAGTAAAGGAGTCAGAAGCAATAGTATTCTTACTGTCCTGTTTACTGCATTCATCGGTTCCCAGCTCTGCATACCAGAGCGGGAGAGGAGTTGCAAGACACATTTGGACAGCTCTCATCTCCCTACAACTGAGTCAACAGCAGGAGGGTATTTCTTGGAGCGCTGTGGTAACTTTTCCATGAAGCAGGTCTTCTTCCTTAGGAAGGCTTAGTTGTTGCCTTTATCCCCTCATTTGTTACAGTTAACATCTATAGCCTGATGTTGGCTCTATCACTTCCATCTGTTTTATGAGCTTGCTACTGTTGTTGCTTTGAAAGGTGGTTTTGTTTATTTGTTACAAATAATTTATCCATTATCATCTTAACCCTCAACTTTAACATTTAAAAATGACATATTGAAGAGCTGTATTATCAGTGTTTTTTAGACTGTAGGTTATATACATTTTTAAAAATAGAATAAAATAAAAAGTAAACTCACCAAGGGCATTATATAAATGTAAGCATTGGGCCAGGTGCTATGGCTCACGCCTGCAATCCCAGCACTTTGGGAGGCCAAGGCACAAGGATCGCTTGAGCCCAGGAGTTTAAGACCAGTCTGGGCAACATAACAAGATCTCGTCTTTACAAAAAATGTAAAAATTAGCCAGGGATGGTGGCATGCATCTGTGTTCCCAGCTACCCAGGAGGCTGAGGTGGGAGGATCACTTGAGCCTAGGAATTCGAGGCTGCAGTGAGCCAAGATCACACCACTGCACTCCAGCCTGGGTAACAGAGTGAGACCCTGCCTCTAAAAATTTAAAAAAGGCCAGGTGCAGTGGCTTATGCCTGTAATCCTAGCACTTTGGGAGGCGGAGGCAGGCGAACTGCCTGAACTCAGGAGTTCCAGATCAGACTGGGCAACGTGGTGAAACTGTGTCTTTACTAAAATATAAAAAAATTAGCCAGGTGCGGTTGTGCATGCCAGTAGTCCCAACTAGTCAGGAGGCTGAGGCACGAGAATTGCTTGGACCTGGGAGGCGGGGGTTGCAGTGAGCTGAAATCCTGCCACTGCATTCCAGCCTGTGTGACAGAGCAAGACTCTGTCTCCAAAAAATTTAAAAAAATTAAAAAACAAAAATAAAAACAAAAAATAACCTGTAAGCATTGGCTTTTAAAACTTTTGTAAAACCCACTTGTAGTGGGTTTTTATGTAAAGTATACTGTTAATTATGGTAAGAAAAGTTTGAGAAATGCTGCCCTAAACACATAGAAGAAGTCACCGCTCAAATTGTTTCTAAAGTTTAGGGAACATACTTTTAAGGTCTAAGGGAAATTATGTATGAGCAGAGGTTGGCGTAGCCTCAGGCAAATGGAGAGGTCCTCTAACTTCTTTCTTAGGGTAGGTACAGTATTGTAATGCTTCATGGAATTTTCAGTTTCTAACCCTCATTTTACCAGGAAAAAATAGTCATTCCTATTTATTATCTAGGTCCAATGAACCCCTTTATTAAATAATTTTACATTGTTTTTATGAATAAGCAGTGTATAAAACAATTTTATTAGAAAATTTAACAGATTTAAATATAGCGCAATCAAATTTTTATTCCATATATTCTTGGTTTAGATGGTGTCTGTACTCAAAATTGGCAGTGCCCTTCGAATGCAACTAACCACTCATCAGTGGTCACACATGAACATGGGACATATGCAACTTGTATATGTTGAATCCATATTTCAAATACATCTCTAATAGATTTGAGTTTTGTTTTTTTTTTGTTTCTTTTTTGTTTTTTTTTTTATGGAGTCTCACTTTTTTGCCCAGGCTGGAGTGGAGTGGCGTGATCTCGGCTCACTGCAACCTCCACCTCCCGGGTTCAAGTGATTCTTCTGCCTCAGCCTTCCAAGTAGCTGGGATTACAGGTGTGTGCCACCACACCCGGCTAACTTTTTGTATTTTTAATAGAGACGGACGGAGTTTCACCATGTTGGCCAGGCTGGTCTTGAACTCCTGACCTCAAGTAATCTACCCGCTTTGGCCTCCCAAAGTGCTGGGATTATAGGCGTGAGACACCGTGTCTGGCTGAGCTTGTTACTTCTTCTGGTTCCACTTGCATTTGTATCATCAAAATTCAATTTGGATTCAGGCTTTCAAATACATCAGCAGGTTTAAGCTTATCATTATCTCTTACTCTTTTTGTCTTTGCTTGATCAAAATTTAAAACCTTTGAAAACTTTGATGGCTTGTAATTTGGTTGAAAAGAGGACCACCATCTTTTTTATTCCATAATTGCAAAAGATTCTCACTTTTAGATTTGTGAACACCAGTTAGAAGGATCAATCCAATTAATTGTTCTTTTTTTTTTTTTTTTTTTTTTTTTTTTGAGATGGAGTCTCGGTCTGTCGCCCAGGCTGGAGTGCAGTGGTGCGATCTTGGCTCACTGCAAGCTCTGCCTCCCGGGTTCACGCCATTCTCCTGCCTCAGCCTCCTGAGTAGCTGGGACTACAGGCGCCCGCAACCATACCGGGCTAATTTTTTGTATTTTTAGTAGAGACGGGGTTTCACCGTTTTAGCCAGGTTGGTCTCGATCTCCTGACCTCGTGATCCACCCACCTCGGCCTCCCAAAGTGGTGGGATTAGAGGCATGAGCCACAGTGCCCGGCCAATTGTTCATTTTTACATGATTTTCTCCCTTCCAAATACCTTTATGTGGACACTTGCCAATATCATTTATACACTTAAAAAATGTATCAACTAAATTATGGTGCACAAACATCATAAAAGATGAAAGGATGTTGACACACGTACTTTTAGCAAAATGGATGGTCAAGGTTCTTGTTCCAAATTATTGTGGAATGAAATCTATCTTGTTTAATGACTATCCAGATGAGAATATATATATATATATATATATTTTTGTCCTTAAAAATACATACTTGAGTGACTGCAAATGGGCATGAGGGATCTGCTTTGAAGTGATGAAAATGTTCTGAAATTGGGTTGTGGTGATGATTGCTTAATGATGTAAATTTACTAAAAATCATTGAATTGTGCACAATATATTGGTAACTCATAGATTTTTGAGTTTGGGAAGTTTTTTGTTTTGTTGTTTAGTTACATGTTAGGTGAAACTAACCAAGTGAAGGGGCAAGAGAAGGCAGAGAGATGGTGCTATACACAGCTGATATAGGGTTGGAGGCTGAATGCTACACACCGAGAGAGACAGACACACAGACAGTCTGCTCAGCATGTCAGCCAGGCAGCATTCTGGGACTTGGACAGTTGGTTGGTGTGCCAGAGCCGGCAAGAGGTCTGGCTCAGAGCTGGAGAGGACCAGGAACCCTGGAGGCTCCCTGGTCCAACGTCCTGGTTGGCATCTGCAGCAGCACCTGGGCTCAGCTCAGATCACTCAGGGTCTTGTGGGCAAATTTGGGTGGCAGAAAGGCTGCCTCGTGCACATCTGATTTATAGTATTTCAGTTATGTATGTTCCACCAGCTTCTGTGTCAGCTGTCGCACGGACTCCCAGAACTTGGTGCTTGGGTTTTGCTGCACATCATGAAGCTAATCTGGCCACTGCGGTAGGTGGGGATGGTGCAGTAGGTGCAGCCCACCATGGGAAAGAGTGGCATGCAGAATTGCTGCGTCTTTTTGGTGAGGTCCAGGTACAGCCACTGGCAGTCACCTGGGCAGCAGAGAATGCCATGCTTCTTTAGGGCTGCCCTCCTGAGGACTGTCTTCATGAACTGGTAGTAGGATTCCTTGAAGAGGTTTTTAGCAAGGCAGTGGGGTCTGAGGAGTCATTGATAACACTGAAGGCATCCTAATTCTGTTTCATGAATTCAAACCCATCACCCATGTGTAAGTTCAGCTTTGAGCAAAAGTAGCCAACAGCTTTGCCTGGCAGGAACTTCTGAGAGACTTGGATGACATCCTTATCATTCTCACATTGGACCATAGACTTCACAGAGGGGTACTACCTCACCTTGCACAGGATGCCCTTGTTCCTGTCCTCAATAATCACCGCCATTTGTAGGTTGGGGTGGCTGCAGAGAGGCAGGTTGACTATAATCTCCTGGTAGGAGAACTTGTTCCTCTCTGTATACTGGATGATGCCATCCAACGCCATCATGTTGCCATAGGTCTTACTGCAGATGACAAAGGTATCCTAGTACTGTGAGCACTGGTCGGGGGCAGCTGCTCCACCTGCAGTGACAAGGCATGGGTGGGCCACAGACTGCATGTCTTGCAGAATCAGTCCTATAAATGGCAGTGGGGCCAGAGGCTGGGGGCGGCCATTGGGGCTGGGCTTCATGGCAGGTGATCCACAGCACTGTGGGACCAGCAGAGCCCAAGCCCACCAATAGAGTTTGGGGAGATTAAAAAAAAAACTTTGAAAAGATTAATCTAGGCTATCATTATCTGAGATTTTACTTACATGATTATTTTTATCATCACAATTAGTGTCTAGAGGGCTACTTTCTGCATCTTTACACTCTTATGATCCACCTTATATTCACCTAATAATAATGAAATGTCTTTGTCTTTTTTTTCCTTTCCATTATGGATTGAAAACAGAAAAATCTTGATTTTTTTTGGGACAGTCTCGCTCCGTCGCCCAGGCTGGAGTGCAGTGGCGCGATTTCGTCTCACTGCAACCTCTGCCTCCTGGGTGCAAGCAATTCTCCTGCCTCAGCCTCCTGAGTAGCTGGGATTACAGGTGCCCACCTGTAATCATTACAGGCCCACCACTGTGCCCAGTTAATTTTTTTGTATTTTTAGTAGAGACAGGGTTTCACCATGTTGGCCAGGTTGGTCTCGAACTCCTGACCTCAAGTGATCCACCTGCCTCAGCCTCCCAAAGTGCTGGAATTACAGGCATTGAGCCACGACGCCTCGCCTTATATTCTCTTAAGAACTACTTTCAAGTAGAGATGACTTTATTTTCATTAAGTTTGTAGAAATTGTATTTCTATTTAGAGAGACTAATTTTTGTTTTTAAAAGGAAAAACAATCAGGAGATTGAGTTGTTAGGAAATTATTAGACATGTATAGCTTGGTGACTCTTTCAACCTTTCAAATGTAAAACATGTTGGCTTTTGGGTTAAAGTACTCTGGTAATTTATCGTTATCATGTTCTATGATTGTAACCTAAGTCTCTCTTCTTCTTCTGTCTCCTTATTAACTGAGATATAATTCATGCTTTTAATTTCTCTAAGTCCTTCTACCATGAATTTTCTAGCTAAATTAAACGTAGGAAACAATACAATAAGGAAAACATAAACCTAAGAAATATTAGATGTTACATAAACTGTTGGAGATTGTCATTCACTCCTATTTTCAGAAATAGAGATTATGATAATTTAAATTTGAAGGAGAATTCATACAATATAATGTATTAAGACATGTTAGCGTTTTCTCTTGAGGTCTCTCCCAGTTATCTTGGAGTCACATGTATCTGTTAAAATAAATAAATTCATTGGGTATTCCCCATTGTAAAAGTAATATATGTTCATTATAGAAAAATTTTGAAAATATAAGCAAACAGAAGAAAAATTACCATGTTTCTACTGTTGAGTTATTGATTTTTATAATATAGAAAATCATAAGCCATAAGTGGTCTCTGTTCTTAGGAAATATAAACCCATCACCCCTATGCTTTTTTTCTTGGCACTTTATTAAATGTCACCTCTCTTCCTCCTGCTTTGGAGTGGCACTGTCTTAAGTTAGGAAGCCACTGTTACTACTCCCCAAACAGTTCAGCAGATGAAAACTAGATAGTTGGTTCTGTTGGTACAAAATAAAAATATATTTAAACTTTGTTTCTAATAATATTAAATTATTTTAACACGATCAGAATGCCCAAAGTAGTCATTATTCTGACGTGAAGGTAATGTTGCCATGGTTTTTTGTTTCTCTTTATAACTGGTTTTAAATGTAAAAACATAAATCCTAAAGAACAGGAATGGAAAATGGGGATGGTTTTCATTTGCTACAATTTCCTGTGAGACATGGCTCTAAACAAGACCCATATTTACACAACTCAATATAGTTTTACATACAGTGTTGTATTCAGCACATTTTAAAATTCTTTAATTTCACTTTTCAGTCATTGGTTTAATACTTTCATAGTAAATTTGTTTAATAACACTAGGTGAAGTTTGAAATAATTTTTGAATAATTTTACAGTAGAAACACCAGTTAAATCACCCTTTTGGTAATAAATGTCGGAAAAAAAGTAATTATTTTTGCTGCCACTGCAAAATCAATTGTGTAACTGTTCTTTTTAAACTGACTTTTACATTACTAAATTTTAAACACTCCTGTAACTTGTCAGAAGCAGGTTTTGGTTAATAGATATTTTCAGTGATGTAATGGGAACTTTTGGCAGTGAGTCAGAATATAATGGACTATGATTAATGTTTTAATAAGTAGTTTTCTATTGCTCATGATGTAAAGGAGAAATGGTTTCCTGCTTGGATGGATAGGAGAATAGCAGGTGTGCATATAGTGTTTTTAAAAAAGAATTGGGATACTTTTCTTAGAGTAACATTAACATTTTTATTCGGTTAAAATTTATTATAGAGATGCATATGTTACCACAGAAATCTGAAATTGATTTGGAACAATAAAATTAGGAGATGATTACCAATGTTGTAGTTAAATCTTTTATTTTTTGGCCTTTTGTTTTCTTTGAAGCTTTAACTTGAGGTCTCTGTAGATTGATCTTGGTTCTTACTATAAGCTGTAAGGAAATCAGGGATCTCTACAGGGTTTGATGTTTCTGAAATAAATTTCTTAAAACTTCTAGGGGAGGGAGAGGGGACAAAAAGAAAAAAAAAACTTTCAAGTTTTTCTCTTAAGGCTAGGAAATACAGATTGTTAGTCAAATGGAATAGTGATCAAGTAAGATTTCTCCATTGCCAAGGCCACAAGTTCAACGTATAAACTCAGTAGTTCAGAAATTTGGAAAGTTAAACCCAGGAGATTTTGTGTCAGTCTTGGAATCTGAGAAAGTTTATAAAGACAAACTGGAAGAAATATTAGTATACCAGACTTGAAGGTTTGATTCACAGTTTGCTTTCATTTTTTTGTGATTTAATTTTGGCAACTTATATGCAGTAAGTATCTGTTATTTTGTTGTAGGTGAAGAGTCCTAGGGCTCAGTAGATACATTCTACTTGGGAATGGTACTTTACTACCATAGATACTTTCTTTCCCATATTTGTGAATAAAATTGAGCATTTGTTCAAATGTACACTTTCCTGGAATAAAGTTTATGGTTTTTATTCCTGTCTCAAAGGGATCCTGATTCCCAATAGAGGACCTAGAGTAGTGGTCTCAAACCATATATCAGAATCACCTAGAGGGTTTTCTAAAACAAAGATTGCTGGGCCGCACCTTCAGAGTTTGTGATTCAGTAGGGCTAGAGTGAGACCCCAGAATTTCATTTCCAACAAGTTCCTAAGTAATGCTGATGCTGATGGTTAAGGACTATACTTTGAGAACCACTAGCTTAATCTTCGTTAATAGCCTTCTAGACCTTTTTTGTTATATTGCATATTTTTGTTATTATACATATTTAACAAAAATGCTTCTGTTACATTTGCTACCTGTCTTAACCTACTATATCTTATCTTTACATTTTATACTTTACATTAATACTTTAAATGATACATGTTTATCCATTGCATCATTTACAGTATTTCATAACATAATTTATTTAACCAGTCTTCAATTAGACATTTAGGTCAGTTTTCATTTGTTGTTTTTATAAATAGAATCTTGCTAAATTTTTATGTGATCTTCTAATTATTTCATTAGCAAAAAATCCCTGGATTAACGGATGGACATGGCATGGCACGGTGGCTCACGCCTGTAATCCCAGTACTTTGAGAGGCTGAGGCAGGCGGATTACTTGAGGCCAGGAGTTTGAGACCAGCTTGGGCAATATGGTGGAACCTTGTTTCCACAAAAAATAAAAAAAATTAGCCAGGTGTGGTGGTGTGCATCTGTAATCCCAGCTACTCTGCAGGCTGAGAACCCAGGACTGCACTCCAACCTGGATGACAGAGCGAGACTGTCTTAAAACAAAACAAAACAAGATAAAAACAGTAGATATATTTATAAGGCCCATTTGAGGTGTAAGTGACTTAACATCCCTGGCACTTGAACACTAATGAATATTATGACTGCCACTTTAAAGGAGGCAGAAGAAGTTTAAAAAGTAAAACAAAAAGTTTGTTTCAGAAAACAAGCATTTTACCTCTGTTTCAAATAGTCTAATTTTTTTAGTGATGAAAACTTCTGAGACCAGTAGATGTTTGTAAATAAAAAACATTTATGGCAGTCTTTGTAACTGTAATGAAACTGGTAGAGAGTAATAATAGCCTGTTTTTTGTTTGTTTGTTTGCTTTGGGGGATATTTGCAATACAGTTTATTGATATGTCACATACATGTAAAGTTTATAATTCACCCCAGAATTTATATTACTAAGTTTGTGCTAGTATTAAAGAGCTTTTCAAATTCAGTGCCTGTTTAAAAAAAAAAAAAAAAAAACTGTACTCCATGCCTTGAAAATAGCAAAACTGTGATATAGATTAAGGTGGGGAAGCATTTTTTTTTCTATTTAGAGCTATAATAAGAAAAAATAAATTGAGACAGTGGTTTTTAATTTGAAAAAGAGAAATGAAATATTTATTCATCTACTTTTAAAATGGAGAAACAATAATATGTATGTGAAATCTTTCTTCTGTACTGTAAAACTAGCTACACAAATAACATCACCCTCCCTGACTCTCAAAATAAAATACTAAACCCATACAGAGAAAACTACTCTGAAAGACAGCTCCACAGATGAGGTCACTGAAAGGTGTCCAACATTGGGGATGTTGGGTAAAGCAAGGCAGGGAATGGGTGAGTGAGGGCAAAAGCTGACAACTTGGAAACATATTAAAAGTAGGTACTAGATCAAATTCAGTCTGTCCTGTTGCATTGCCTATTTCTAGAACGCATATTTATAACATGAATTAGCTCACACATGAATGGTAAATAGTGGAATGATATCTGTATAATGTAGATTCCATATTGTAGAAGCTATTTTGTTTGCACATGATTTTTCCCAGTAAGTAAATATGTTACATTGTTAATTAATAATAGCAGCTGAACTCAGATACAGTTGGCTGTCCATTCATGGGTCCACATCCATAGATTCAACTAACGGCAAATTGAAAGTATTTGGGGAGAAAAACAATAGTTGGGCCTACATTGAATGTGTACAGACTTTTTTCTTGTCATTATTCCCTAAACAATACACGACAACACCTATTTACATAGCATTTATAATACGTTGTATTAGGTATTATAACTAACCAAGTATATGCTCCCTGGTGTCCAGGGGGGTGAAAAATAAATTAAATAAATAAAGTATATGAGAAGATATGCACAGGTTATATGGAAATACAGTGCCATTTTATATAAGGGACTTAAGCATCTGCAGATTTTGGTATCCTGGGGGTGGGGTTCTGGAAGCAATCCCCCACAGATGCTAAGGGATGACTGTATATGGAAACAAAAACACAATGGGATGCATGAAGCCACAGAGGAGTAAAGAGAGTGCTGTACAGGATGTCTAGTTATACCATGTTCTTCCTTTTGGCTTAGTTTTGCCATGCATCCTGTCTTGGAAGTGCTACTTGTGGAATTCTTCCCAAGTTTTGCTCATTTTGCTTGTTTTTATAACTTAGCAACCTTATCCCTTCCTTACACTTCCTTCCATCAGGTTACATTCACTTTTTTCTTACGTTTCTTATAAAACCTATATTTACTGTATCATCTGTTTATTTGGAACTTAACCAAGCTTTAAAAAATCAACTGTGTTAATACTTTTTGGAGGAATAATTAATGTTTTTGTTGGGTCCCTGGTTATGTTATCTTTCATGTCTGGCTTCTTTCATGTTTTTGAGATTTATATTGTAGATTTTGTGTGGACTGTCCCCGATTTCACTTCTAACTTTTAAGTTCACATTTGGCAGAATATAAGATCTTTCAAGAAAAATTATGTTATCACAGAAATGCCAGAGTAATGTTATAGAACTCTGGATCATAGAGTAGGTCAGTCAGAAGCACTTTAGCACATAGAATTGCTCAGTGTAAGAGGAGATCTTTTGATGGAAATTCAGTCATGATTGTGGACTTTCATCACAATACTGTTCATTTGGCCCTACTCTCTGGTTAGAAATCCCTAGTAGTTAAAAGGTCTTCTCCAGTTATGAGGTAAACTCATTACCTCAGAAATCACCCTTATTCTACCCACAAAGAGTTGTTGAAAGAGATATGAAAAAAACAAAATGCGCTTCCTACTCTCACACACCACAGTCAATACTTCTGACGACAGGTGTTGTGGGGTTTTCCCCCCACACACCAACCAAAGCAGTTCTCCAGTCCAGTAGACACCAACTGGGCGTCCTCTAATTCAGTTCTGTTCTGACACTGTCTATCTGAAGATAGTATCATATACCACAGGTTAAGGGCTCAGTCCCATAAGACTGCCCTCCACTTCAGATGCCAGTCACCAGTAGTAGGTTCTTACCTATACTTCCGACCAAACCAGATATAAATTGGGGGTTCCCACAGACCATTCGTCAGTTTTGATTAATTTGCTAGGGCGGCTCACAGAACTCAGGGAAACACTTTACTTATGTTTATCCAACTATTATAAGGGATATTACAGAGGATATACGTGAACAGCCAGATGGAAGAGGTGCATAGTTGGGGAGCACAGAGCTTCCATGCCCTCTGACATGCCACGCACCCGCCACGGATCTCCACAAGTTCAGCTGTGCAGAAGCTCATCCCAACTCTGTCATTTTGGATTTTTATGAAGGCTTAATTATGTAGGCTCTGTTGATTATATCATTGGCCATTGGTGATTAACTCAACCTTCAGCCTCCTCCCTTCCCTAGAGGTCAGAGGGTGAGGCTAGAAGTTCCAGCCTGCTAACTGCATGGTTGGTTCCCCTTGTGAACCAACCCCATCCTGAGGCCATTCAGGAACCCATAAGATTTGCTTCCTTCAAACAAAAGATGCTCCTATTACCCAGGAAATTCTAAGGCATTTAGGAGCTCTGTGTCAAGAAATGGAGTCAAAGACCAAATATTAGAACAAAAGATTCTCCTTGCCACCCTATCTATAAGTTTATTAGCCCTGTGCCAGGGACTGTGGGCAAAGACCAATATGTATGGTTCTTATTATTTCAAAGTTAATTTACATGTTCAAAAGGAAAACTATATCTTCTGACTTGATGTGGGCCTTCTTGAGATACATCTCCTTTATCAGAGGTCATCCTTTGGGACCTATTGCTTATTTGGCCCTGTAAAAGGCACTCAGCCTGGGATACTGTTTGAGGTTTAGACTCAAGACAAAGGGTAGACATGCAGAGTCTATGATGCTCTACCCAATTTCGTTAATTTTAGTGTGCTACTACCAAAGACTTAAAGCTACTTTTAAAAACTTTATTGAAGTAAAATTTACATACCACAAAGGTAACGCATTTTAAATATATGATTCAGTGATTTTTGGTAAATTTACCAAGTTGTACAACCATCACTACAATCAGGGCCAACTTCATGTATGTGTAACCAGTACAGTCTCACAGGGCCCCATGCCCAGAAAGGAGCCCTGAATTCACAAGGGTGCCCTGTACTTGGAGTTTAATACTCTGTGGTTGTCATCTTGAATTCTTAATAATTTTATGTTTAGATTTATCGTTTTGTAAGTAAAGTCTGATGGGACAATTGAACATGCTCTAGGGGCTTTGAACCACGTATTCTTCCCACCTTGAGACATGTTTTCGACCACCTTCTTTCTGTTTCTGCTCATTGTTGCTGCCTCTACCCACGGTGAGGCTGTGGACACAGGGAAGGTCAGGACTGGATGTATGTGCCTTGTGTGCCTCTGAGGGTCTGCATTTACCCAATGAGTATCTCATGACTGAGGGATACAGCATTAAATAGCAAATAAAGTACCATAACAGGTCAAGAGAGAGACCCTAGAAGAAAGGAAAAAAATGTTTTCCTGCTTTTTAAACAAAGTGCCTGCATTTTATTTTGTACCAAACCTGACTACAGTCCAGTTTTAGAACCTTCGACAACCCCAAAAGATCCATCATGTTAGTTTATAGTTAGCCCCCTTTCCCATCACCAGACTTGGGCAACCACTTAGCTCTTTTTTGTCTCCACAGACTTGCCTATTCTAGACATGTGATACAAATGGAATCATAAGTATGTGGTTTTTGTGTCTGGTTTCTTTCATGTTTCTGAGGTTCATATTGTAGTATATATATCCATGTTTCATTTCTTTTTATTGCTGAATAATACTCCATTGAATGGATATACTACACGTTATCTATTTGCTTATCCATTCATCAGTTGATGGACTTTTTGATTATTGCCACTTTTTGGACACCATTAATAATGCTGCTATAAATATTCATACTGTTTGCATGTATGTTTTCATATATCTTGGATATATACTTAGGAATGAATGCTGGATCATGTAACAAATTTGTATTTAACTTTTCAGAAGCTGCCAAACTGTTTTATAAAGTGGCTGTACATTTTACATTCCTACTGGCATGAGGGTTTCCATTTTCCACATCCTCAGCAATGTTTATTATTGTCATTTTGATTATAACCATTGTTGCGAGTAAAAATTGGTATCTCATTAATTTGTCTTTCCCTCATGGTTAATGATATTGAGCTTCTTTTTATGTGTTTATTACCCATCCATATATCTTCTTTGGTATGATGTCTGTTCAGATCTTTTACTCATTTTAAAGTTGGGTCATTTGTTTTATTATAAAGTTACAAAAAGTTATTTTTTGATTATGTGATTTTTTAAATAAAAAAATTAATAGTTAAAAAAAGAATGTCATTTTACAAAGCACTTGCCATATATATATATCTTATAATTCTTTATATATTCTGGATATCAGCATTTTATTAAATATAATCTGTGGCTGGGCACAGTGGCTCATGCCTGTAATCCCAGCATTTTGGGAGGCCTAGGTGGGCAGATTACAGATTACGAGGTCAGGAGATCAAGACCATCCTGGCTAACACGGTGAAAGCTCGTCTCTACTAAAAATACAAAAAATTAGCCAGTGTGGTCGCATGTGCCTGTAGTCCCAGCTACTCAGAAGGCTGAGGCAGGAGAATCACTTGAACCTGGGAGGCAGAGGTTGCAGTGAGGCGAGATCATGCCACTGCACTCCAGCCTGGGTGACAGAGTGAGACTCCATCTCCCAAAAAAAAAAAAAAAAAAAAAAATATATATATATATATATATATATGTATATTTATATTTTGTAAATATGTTTTCCTAGAGTGTGGTTTGTTATTTTATTTTTTAATGATGTTTCTTGAAGTATAACACATTGAATTTTGATGAAATTCAGCTTACCAATTTTTTCTTTTATGGATCATGCTTTTGGTGTTGTATCTAAGACACTTTTGCCTAACCAAAGGCCAAGAAGATTTCCTCTTATGTTTTCCTGTAAAAGTTTTGTAATATTACCTCTTACATTTGGGCCTCAGATCCATGTTAAATTAATTTTTGTATGTGGTGTGGGCTAAAGGTCCAAGTTCATCATTTTTGCACAGAGATACCCAATGGTCCCAGTACCATTTGTTGAAAAGAATATTCTTTCCTCACTGAACTCCCTTTAAAACCATGTGTTTTGCCTATTATCCCCAGTAATTCCTAGTATAAGCAAAGCTTTTTGATTATCGAGTCCTGAACGTTTTCTTGACCTGGGGAATATTGCCTTTTCTTTTCCTGAATTACACATTTAGCTGTGAGCCTATCTGTAATAATAATAGTGAGCATTAGACAGAAGTGTTTGTTAACTCTGAGGAATTTCTAATTTTAAATAAGAAAATTATGAGGAAACATTTTATATCTTTCCTGTCAATTTATAATTAAATTTTGAAATAAGTATTTATTATTACTGTTTTACATCTAGAAGGGTCTCTGATTCCCAAGCCATGAAACATTCTGACAGGAACCACCCTCTTTCAACCTAAAACAAACAAACACCTAACCTTCTAATGCCAAAAGGTCTTAATTTTATTTCACTCTTTAAACTCAAATTGTTTGCATTCAGAGGTCAGAAAAATATAACATGCTTTGGTAAAGTAAAACTGGCTTCCTTAATTACTTTTCCAGGTCAAAAAGTAGAGGTCATTGAGGCAGTGTTTAGTTTTAGTTGTGTTACAAACACTATCATCAGTCAATTCCAGAGTATTTGCTTAAGAGGATATCCTCCTTCGAGATCTTTATTACTAAAGATTCTTCTTCCGTCTTTATTATTATTATTATTATTATTATTATTATTATTATTATTTGAGTCTATTTCCTTCTCTAGATAAGCTTTTCTAAGTCTGGGAACATCTCTTGTTCATTTTTGTTTCTCCATCTCACTATACTCTACCCTGTCCCCTCATACCTCATCCCACAATGCCTTGATGGCACAGATGTTCTGAAATGACTTCTTAAACTGAAGAGAATTTAAGAGATATAATGGAGAGAAGTATGATATTGCCAAGTGCCAAGATTCTCCTTCCTTCTGAAGTATATTAAATGTAATTGTGCTGGGTGGAAGAATTATGAAGACCAATTAGCCATAATTCCTCTTTCAAAAGCTGACAGTCTGGAAAAGGGAGATTGTCATATAAACAAGACATAAGAAGAGAGGGTCAAGGAACATTTCATAGAGATATGGACATTCAACTTCATTTTAAAGGATAAGTAAGAGTCTCCTAGTAGCATGAACAGAACATTCCGTCAGAACAGAAGGATTCAGAGATTTGACAGAACAGGGTGCCTTGAGGGAAATGTAAGTAGTTCAGTCTGACTGGAGCACAGGGTTTGTAACATAAAGTGACAAGAAACTAGTTAGGATCAAATCATGAAGAATCTTATTTATCATATTAAGTATTTTGAGTAATACTCCTTTCCCCCTTTTTGTTCCTGTGTGTCTTAAATCAAGGTTGAAAACCACTGCTATCTCAGTAACTAGGCTCTGAACCATACACTCTTAGTAATAGGTAGCTATGGAAGACGTTTAAATAATTGAGATATTCAGATTTATATTTTAGAAAAAATACTTCTGAAGGCAGCAGTATGGATCATGTATTTGAGAAGCCTGAAGTAAAATAAAGTGCCAAAATAAGAGAGTTGTAAGCAGTGAGGATGGAGTTGAGGGAATGGATTTGAGACTGAAGGGATAGAATTGAAAGGACTTGGCCACTGACTTCAGGTGCAGGGTAAGGAATGAGTCTAGGAAAATTCCAAGGTTTTTGGCTTGAGTGTCTGGATGGCTCTGTGATGACTTTCATAGGGTTCAGGCTTCCTTCAGAGTTTTGCACAGCCTATAGAATATGCCACTTAGACACAAGTCTTTGTGTGAGAGCTGCAGCAGGGATCTGAATGATTAAGGCAGCTGCTCAGGCTTGCTTTCTCACTACTCACTTTTGTTGCCTGTGTCAGGGAAAGGCCAGGGAGAGAAATAATTGGGGACAGGGACTGCATTTATTCTGCTGCCAGAGAGTATGTGCAGCTGCCGCTTCCTTCTGATTCACCACTACCACTTGCCACAGCAGCTGGGCTGGACCAAAATAGGTAGACTGTAAAAGATTCTGTGATAACAAAGCCCATTGCAGCACTGGGTGTAACTTGAAATGTTTTTTATTCATATTTCTCTAACTTTTTTCTTATTTCAAAAATATGTCTGTAGATACATATCGTAGACCTGAATTGTATATTTAATATGTAAGACCCTTAATATTTTTGATTTAGTCAGTGTGGGAGAATAGTACTACTTACTTTAATGCATATATATATATGTGTGTATATATATGGTGTGTGTGTATATATCTATAACCTTTGACACTCTGAAAAGAGCTGCTTAATTGTCAAGGTAGAAGATTTTAAAAACATCCTCAAAGTTTTTTTTTAAAAAAACAATGGTGAATTAATTATATACTCCCTTAGATACTGAGCCTACTTTTTAAATTTTTTAATTCAGTCATTTTGAGAATTAAGTGTGTTATTTGTCCATTGAATTAAGTTTGTGTGTAAATATTTGCCATTTCTAGAATATTCATACTTCTTACTCTTACTAATTTTTTCTGATAAAAACTTCATATTATAAGGATGTTAGTTTTAATCAATTTTATATTATCAAGTTTTCTAGTATATGTCTTTAATTTTTGCTTGTACAAACCTATATATTAGGTTACATTAGAGTTCTGTTATCTTTTTTCTTATGTAAGTTTAGTCTAAAATAAGACTGACATACTAGTTTTTAATTCGCTCATATTTCTTAAATTTTTGTTTCATTTGTAGTATAAAATCACTTTTTTAGAGAATAATATTTAGTTTTTCTTCTATCCTTGTAAAACTACAGCAGCCTTAAATTATGCTATAGGTGTTCATTGTTGGTTCATCATAAAATAATTAACACTTGCATTCCAGAACTGTAATTCCACTTAGTACAGCATTTCATTTCATTTTTTTAAAAGAGGTTTCCATTTTTAGAAAATTTGGAGGTTTTTTCCCTCCTTTAAAGACATGGTTAAATAATGATTAATATAGTTCAAGAAACTGTCTTACGTGGAGTGTGCAGGTATTTCAGCTCTGTTTTTTTCTTTTCTTTATTCTTTAAATGTTAGATAGATTTTAGTTTACCACTTTAGAAAACTATTTTTAACTGTTTTTATATATTTATATATCTCATACTGAATGCCAGGTAAGAATTTTATTCTGCACTACTGACATTAATTCCCAATAGTTAAACATAATAGATGACCATACAGTTGTTATCTATTTCTTATCCTGTGCTCTAGGATTTATCATTTTTAAAGCTATGTGTTAGAGATCATACTTATTTCTGAATAGCTAAATATCAGTGTTTTTGCATCATAATTTGGTGTATACTGTGTTACATTTTCAGAAAATTTGATTTGATAAATATAACCATAATCTTAAAAACAAAACTTTGAAGATATATGAATCACTTTGTAAATAATAATAATATGCAGTACAGTGTAGGAGTTGAGAGAATTTTTGGAATTATATTGCCTGAGTTCAAATCTTGGCTGTTTTGCTTGGTTTATAACCCTAGGCAGGTAACCTACCTAACATTCTGTGTCTTTGTTTCCTCCTTTATGAAATGGAGATATCTAATGGGGTTGTTTTGAGTACTAAATGAGGTAATATATGGAAGAGCCTAGAATACTGACTGGTAGAATATTGAAGTATAATATAGAAAGTCCGGTCCCTTAGAATCTATTTGTATTATACTGATTTTAGGTCTATTGAGATTTTCTACCTTTCCTTTCTCTCCTTTTTTTCTTCTTCTAATTTGATCAATTAGGCATATCGACACAATGATAAATTGTTGTATTGCCGTTCTTCCGTATAATTTTGGCATTTAGTTCAGTGTAGCATTTATTTCCTAATTATTGAAATAAAAATTCAGTTTATCTTTAAGGAAGACTACTTGGTTTTCTGATGTTTTGAAGCAAACAAAGTAGCGGGTAAGATGTTTTGTCCCAGTGATTTTATTTGTGCTCTTAACACCAAGGGAAAGTCACAGGTTAAATTCTTAAAAAGAATTTAAGGAAAAATGTAAAGAAAATAAGGGAGTACATGATTGACAAATTATCCCATTTATTTATTTAATAAGAATTTTAGTTTTTAAGAAAATGAGATGTCCTTCCTTTGTTATTTAAGTAAAAAGCATAATCACATCTAAAACATGGATCTAGACAATCCCATAGCTATTGACAGTCTGAAGTCCTACCCATAATTGTTTGTTTTCCTTGTTTATCTCCCTGCTCTAATTCCGTACTATGGTATTCCTTTGAGAGGCTCTGTCCCACCCTTTGTTACCTTGTATATAGAATTTTTTCACTTAAATGAATTCCCCAGAAAATCTACGCACATTGTCTGGAAGATTTAAGGGTTACCAGGAGGGATCATATTACCTATGTTAACCTAAAAAAAGACACTAGAGAAAATTATCTCTAAATATGTTTAGTTTTCTTGGGAATGAGAAATAAGGATTATAAAGTGGAATGGATGAAAGGGCAAGCTACAAGTGCATTCAGTGAGGGAAGAGTAAAGGGAAGCTTTTATTAGCCAAAAGGTAGAGATGTACATAAGCTGCTTAGAAAGAGAGTTTATTGGTTTCAGAAGTTCAAAGTCCAAGTTGTTGACAATTCATTCGTAGAGATGCTGTTACTGGGCAAGTGTTCTTCCAAGAGCAACTTATCTGAGTTACTGCCGTCCTAAAGAATATACAGTGATAAACCTTGTCAAAGGCAGGAGATGCATATTTCTTACAGGGATTTTAGGACATCACTGGAAACAGACATGTAAGCATGAGCCTCCTTTCCTTGGTGCCTTCCTGGCCCTATTTTGTCTGGGTCTGAAAATTGATTTCATCCTGGTATCTGCACCTTTACACCCAACTGTAAACTATGACCATGATATGGTTTGGCTGTGTCCGCACCCAAATCTTATCTCGAATTTCCATGTGTCGTGGGAGGGACCCAGTAGGAGGTAATTGAATCAAGGGGGCGGGTCTTTTCCATGCTGTTCTCCTGAGAGTGAATAAGTCTCACGAGATCTGATGGTTTTAAAAAAGGGAGTTTTCCTGCACAAGCTGTCTTCTCTTGTCTGCCGCCATGTGAGACATGTCTTTCACCTCCTACCATGATTGTGAGGCCTCCCCAGCCATGTAGAACTATAAGTGCAATTAAACTTCTTTCTTTTCTAAATTGCCCAGTCTTGGGTGTGTCTTTATCAGCAGCAAGAAAATGGACTAATACAGACCATATGTCACATTGCTCATTTCATCTCTTCTGTCTTTTTCCTTCCTCTCTTTCTGGAACATAAAGAAATTACTTCCCTTGCCTGTGGAAGGCAATTTCTCCCACATTTAAATGCTCTTGGGAGGGGCAGAATGCCTCACTTTCCCTAGTTTATCAAGGGTTTCCTTCTAAACAAAGTGTGTAAACAAATATAGAGGTGCTTTCCCTAAATTAAGGAATTCTAGTGAAGTAGATTTTCTGTACCTTAGTACCTTTGTATTTGTGGTTGTTTATTATTCATTTTCCATTTAACATTTCACAAGTAGCCTAACTTCTTTAATTTTAGAGAGGCTTTAAATGAAGAATTTTAAATGAACCTAAGAGATTATCTAGGTAAATGTGTTTTCCTTTTCCCTAAGTTTTTGTTGATGCTGTCAGTTAGTTTCACTATATGTAGTCAAAAAACTCTTGAAGAGGACCATTTGTGTTACGTAGATAGGGGCCATATTTCAGGCAATTGTCACCTTCCCCACCTCTCTCCCCCTCTCTTTTTTTTCTTTCTTCCTCCCTCCCTCATCTACCTACCTAGCCCCCATCCCTCCCTCCCTCCCTCCTTCCTTTCTTCTTTCTCTCTTTCTTAGCATTATAGTTGATATTGAAATACTTTATATAAAGTGCAAGAATGTACTTAGATGTGACATTGATAAAAAGTTGCATTTTGATTCTTACTGTTGCTTATTCATTTTCCATTAGTTGAAGGAACTAGAAATTACTTCCAGATGTGTTGCTTTATTCCTTGTCTTCAAGAAGTAGTATCTTCTCTTATTTTCAGTATTTTAAATTCATTTAACAAATACTGTGAGTGTGTTATGGGCACATAATGTGTTTGGACATTGTGAAAAATTCAAAAATATATTATGGCTTCTGCTCACAGAATGACAAGTGATGGAGAAATGCCAGGAATAAGAGTATGATGCAGGGTAGGAGGAGAAATCAGAAAGCAATAGATTCTATATACATAGATTTGGGCCCTCACAGATGCTGCTTTTTTCAAACATATAGTTGAAGATGCAGTATTGGATTTGAAATTCCCTGTAGATAAGGAAATTGAACATCAAGCTGTTGCCGAATTTTGCTCCTTAGTTCAGCTAAAACCGGGCTCTTGTCACGCAACCAGGGAAATTTAGGCATGCAGACACATTGAAAGGTGAGTAGAACAGGATATTATTAGGCTAAAAGGGAAAAAAAGAAACAAAAAACCCAGCACAGTGAGATGGACTCCTGCTAACAGGCCCCCAACCTCACAGGTTGAATCCCAGGCCACCACACAGGAACTGAGGAGGCCAGGATCCTCCTTGCTACTGGTGGCTCCACCCCGTTCCCCCAGTGCGCATGTGGGCATGCTCAGACAAGGTCATGGGCAGGTTCCCTCATCTGCACGAAAGCATCTGATGTAAACACTTGTGGGGCTGTTCAGAGATTCTCCGGAGACCCCTTTTTTGTGTGTGTGCATTTTTTTTATTATACTTTAAGTTTTAGGGTACATGTGCACAACGTGCAGGTTTGTTACGTGTGTATACATGTGTCATGTTGGTGTGCTGCACTCATTAACTCATCATTTAACATTAGGTATATCTCCTAATGCTATCCCTCCCCCCTCCCCCCACCCCACAACAGGCCCCCGTGTGTGATGTTCCCCTTCCTGTGTCCGTGTGTTCTCATTGTTCATTTCCCACCTATGAGAACATGCGGTGTTTGGTTTTTTGTCCTTGCGATAGTTTGCTGAGAATGATGGTTTCCAGCTTCATCCATGTCCCTACAAAGGACATGAACTCATTATTTCTTATGGCTGCATAGTATTCCATGGTGTATATGTGCCACATTTTCTTAATCCAGTCTATCATTGTTGGACATTTGACTTGGTTCCAAGTCTTTGCTATTGTGAATAGTGCTGCAATAAACATACATGTGCATGTGCCTTTATAGCAGCATGATTTATAATCCTTTGGGTATATACCCAGTAATGGGATTGCTGGGTCAAATGGTATTTCTAGTTCTAGATCCCTGAGGAGTTGCCACACCGACTTCCACAGTGGTTGAACTAGTTTACAGTCCCACCAACAGTGTAAAAGTGTTCCTATTTCTCCACATCCTCTCCAGCACCTGTTGTTTCCTGACTTTTTAATGATCACCATTCTAACTGGTGTGAGATGGTATCTCATTGTGGTTTTGATTTGCATTTCTCTGATGGCCAGTGATGCTGAGCATTTTTTCATGTGTTTTTTGGCTGCATAAATGTCTTCTTTTGAGAAGTGTGTGTTCATATCCTTCACCCACTTGTTGATGGGGTTTTTTGTTTTTTTCTTGTAAATTTGTTTGAGTTCATTGTAGATTCTGGATATTAGCCCTTTGTCAGAAGAGTAGGTTGCAAAAATTTTCTCCCATTCTGTAGGTTGCCTGTTCACTCTGATGGTAGTTTCTTTTGCTGTGCAGAAGCTCTTTAGTTTAATTAGATCCTGTTTGTCAATTTTGGCTTTTGTTGCCATTGCTTTTGGTGTTTTAAACATGAAGTCCTTGCCCATGCCTATGTCCTGAATGGTATTGCCTAGATTTTCTTCTATGGTTTTTATGGTTTTAGGTCTAACATTTAAGTCTTTAATCCATCTTGAATTAATTTTAGTATAAGGTGTAAGGAAGGGATCCAGTTTCAGCTTTCTACATATGGCCAGCCAGTTTTCTCAGCACCATTTGTTATTAAATAGGGAATCCTTTCCCCATTTCTTGTTTTTGTCAGGTTTGTCAAAGATCAGATGGTTGTAGATATGTGGCATTATTTCTGAGGGCTCTGTTCTGTTCCATTGGTCTATATGTCTGTTTTGGTACCAGTACCATGCTGTTTTGGTTACTGTAGCCTTGTAATATAGTTTGAAGTCAGGCAGCATGATGCCTCCAGCTTTGTTCTTTTGGCTTAGGATTGACTTGGCGATGCGGGCTCTTTTTTGGTTCCATATGAACTTTAAAGTAGTTTTTTCCAATTCTGTGAAGAAAGTCATTGGTAGCTTGATGGGGATGGCATTGAATCTATAAATTACCTTGGGCAGTATGGCCATTTTCACAATATTGATTCTTCCTACCCATGAGCATGGAATGTTCTTCCATTTGTTTGTATCCTCTTTTATTTCATTGAGCAGTGGTTTGTAGTTCTCCTTGAAGAGGTCCTTCACATCCCTTGTAGGTTGGATTCCTAGGTATTTTATTCTCCTTGAAGCAATTGTGAATAGGAGTTCACTCATGATTTGGCTGTTTGTCTGTTATTGGTGTAGAAGAATGGTTGTGATTTTTGCACATTGATTTTGTATCCTGAGACTTTGCTGAAGTTGCCTATCAGCTTGAGGAGATTTTGGGCCAAGGCGATGGGATTTTCTAGATATACAATCATGTCATCTGCAAACAGGGACAATTTGGCTTCCTCTTTTCCTAATTGAATACCCTTTATTTCTTTCTCCTGCCTGATTGCCCTGGCCAGAACTTCCAACACTATGTTGAATAGGAGTGGTGAGAGAGGGCATCCCTGTCTTGTGCCAGTTTTCAAAGGGAATGCTTCCAGTTTTTGTCCATTCAGTATGATATTGGCTGTGGGTTTGTCATAGATAGCTCTTATTATTTTGAGATATGTCCCATCAATAACTAATTTATTGAGAGTTTTTAGCATGAAGTGTTGTTGAGTTTTGTCAAAGGCCTTTTCTGCCTCTATTGAGATAATCATGTGTTTTTTGTCGTTGGTTCTGTTAATATGCTGGATTATGATTATTGATTTGTGTATGTTGAACCAGCCTTGCATCCCAGGAATGAAGCCCACTTGATCATGGTGGATAAGTGTTTTGATATGCTGTGCTGCTGGATTTGGTTTGCCAGTATTTTTTTGAGAATTTTTGTATCAATGTTCATCAGGGATATTGGTCTAAAATTCTCTTTTTTTGTTGTGTCTCTGCCCGGCTTTGGTATCAGGATGATGCTGGCCTCATACAATGAGTTAGGGAGGATTCCCTCTTTTTCTACTGATTGGAATAGTTTCAGAAGGAATGGTACCAGCTCCTCCTTGTACCTCTGGTAGAATTCAGCTGTGAATCCCTCTGGTCCTGGACTTCTTTTTGTTGGTAAGCTATTAATTATTGCCTCAATTTCAGAGCCTGTTATTGGTCTATTCAGAGATTCAACTTCTTCCTGGTTTAGTGTTGGGAGGGTGTATGTGTCAAGGAATTTATCCATTTCTTCTAGATTTTCTGATTTATTTGCATAGAGGTGTTTATAGTATTCTCTGATGGTAGTTTGTATTTCTGTGGGATCGGTGGTGATATCCCCTTTATCATTTTTTATTGCATCTATTTGATTCTTCTCTCTTTTCTTCTTTATTAGTCTTGCTAGCGGTCTATCAATTTTGTTGATCTTTTCAAAAAACCAGCTCCTGGATTCATTGATTTGTTGAAGGGTTTTTTGTGTGTCTATCTCCTTCAGTTCTGCTCTGACTTAGTTATTTCTTGCCTTCTGCTAGCTTTGAATGTGTTTGTCCCTTGCTTCTCTAGTTCTTTTAATTGTGATGTTAAGATGTGAATTTTAGATCTTTCCTCCTTTCTCTTGTGGGCATTTAGTCCTATAAAGTTCCCTCTACACACTGCTTTGAGTGTGTCCCAGAGATTCTGGTATGTTGTCTCTCTGTTCTCGTTGGTTTCAAAGAACATCTTAATTTCTGCCTTGATTTCGTTATGTACCCAGTAGTCATTCAGGAGCAGGTTGTTCAGTTTCCATGTAGTTGAGTGGTTTTCAGTGAGTTTCTTAATCCTGAATTCTAGTTTGATTGCACTGTGGTCTGAGAGACAGTTTGTTATCATTTCTGCTCTTTTACATTTACTGAGGAGTGCTTTACTTCCAACTATGTGGTCAATTTTGGAATAGGTGTGGTGTGGTGCTGAAAAGAATGTATATTCTGTTGATTTGGGTTGGAGAGTTCTGTAGATGTCTATTAGGTCTGCTTGGTGCAGAGCTGAGTTCAGTTCCTGGAGAGCCTTGTTAACTTTCTGTCTCGTTGATCTGTCTAACGTTGAGAGTGGGGTGTTAAAGTCTCCCATTTTTATTGTGTGGGAGTCTAAGTCTCTTTGTAGGTCTCTAAGGACGTGCTTTATGAATCTGGGTGCTCCTGTATTGGGTGCATATATATTTAGGATAGTTAGCTCTTCTTGTTGAATTGATCCCTTTACCATTATGTAATGGCCTTCTTTGTCTCTCTTGATCTTTGTTGGTTTAAAGTCTGTTTTATGAGAGACTAGGATCGCAACCCCTGCCTTTTTTTGTTTTCCATTTGTTTGGTAGATCTTCCTCCATCCCTTTATTTTGAGCTTATGTGTGTCTCTGCACGTGAGATGGGTTTCCTGAATACAGCACACTGATGGGTCTTGACTCTTTATCCAATTTGCCAGTCTGTGTCTTTTAATTGGAGCATTTAGCCCATTTACATTTAAGGTTAATATTGTTATGTGTGAATTTGATCCTGTCAGTATGATGTTAGCTGGTTATTTTGCTCATTAGTTGATGCAGTTTCTTCCTAGCCTCGATGGTCTTTACAATTTGGCATGTTTTTGCAGTGGCTCTGGAGACCCCTTTTTATCTGCCTAGGCATTTGGCTGTCTCAAAGCTTTATTTTTTGTTGTTGTTGTTTTGAGACGGATTTTCGCTCTGTTGCCCAGGCTAGAGTGCAGTGGCACGATCTTGGCTCACTGCAAGCTCTGCCTCCCAGGTTCATGCCATTCTTCTGCCTCAGCCTCCCGAGTAGCTGGGACTACAGGTGCCTGTCACCACGCCCAGCTAATTTTTTGTATTTTTAGTAGAGAGGGGGTTTCACTGTGTTAGCCTGGATGGTCTCAATCTTCTGACCTCATGATCTGCCCGCCTTGGTCCCCCAAAGTGCTGGAATTACAGCCGTGAGCCACTGCACCTGGCCGTCTGTCTCAAAGCTTTCTTACTTATTTATCTGAATTCAATGGCTTAATAAACTTATGATGAGATATCTAAAAGGATGGGTTTAAAATTCAGTTCTTCCTTATTCCTTCTCACAAATCTCTTCAACATTACAGAATCAGAAGGGTCAAAATTAGAATAGCCTGAGAAGCTCAATTTAAAAAAAAAGTTAGAGTGAGATTTGAACTTTAGTCATATATAGTTTCTATTGAAATATTTGAAACTCTAGATAATGTTAACTGTATGACGTTCCCACCTAGTGTTAATATTTGAATTATTCTTTAAAAGTTTTTGGGAAATGCCTGTGTTAAGTATTGGTAATTTAATAAAATTCCGTTTATTCTCATAGTATATAGAAGTTTTGTTATTTCTAGTTTTTATGGTTTTTAGTGATTATGTGGTATTTAAATAATAAACAATGGTGAATTTAACAGATCAAAAATTCATTTAATTGTATTACTGTTTTGTTCCTCATCTGGAAATATTTCTCTGGCTAGTCCATTTTTCCCTTGATCTCTTAGTCCCTGTGATTCAGGAAATTGTATTAATGAATTTATGGTCAATACTACTGACTAGGATGCTTTCAATAACATAGTTTAAAATGTAGTCACACTTATAGCTAGAATGGTGAAACAAAAGTTTGTTCTCCTTAAAGATTTACCTTGTTAAGAAATAGTTTCTGATGGCTCGGCACACTGGCTCACACCTGTAGTTTCAGCCTTTTGGGAGACCAAGACAGGAGGATTGCTTGAGGACAGGAATTCAAGACCAGCTTGGGCAACATTGCAAGAACCCATCTCTACAAAAATTTAAAGAACAAAACTTAGCCAGGTATGGTGGTATGCGCCTATAGTCCTAGCTACTCAGGAGGGAGAGGAGGGAGGATCACTTGAGCCCAGGAGTTCAAGGCTGGTGCTAAGATTGTGCCACTGTACTCCAGTGTGAGCAATAGAGTTAGACCCTGTTTCTTAAAAAAAAAAAAAGTCAATGGCCGGGCGCGGTGGCTCACTCCTGTAATCCCAGCACTTTGGGAGGCTGAGGCGGGCGGATCATGAGGTCAGGAGATGGAGACCATCGCAGCTAACATGGTGAAACCCCGTCTCTACTAAAAATACAAAAAATTAGCCGGGCGTAATGGCGGGCGCCTGTAATTGCAGCTACTCGGGAGGCTGAGGCAGGAGAATGGCATGAAACCTGGAGGCGGAACTTGCAGTGAGCCGAGATCGCACCACTGTACTCCAGCCTGGGCGACAGAATGAGGCTCCATCTCAAAAAAAAAAAAAAAAAAAAAAAAAAAAAGTCAATAAATGAAAGCTGCTTCTCTATTCAAAGTTAGGGATTGTTGGTTCATATCTTCTTTTCCACACTCCACTAAAAAAATTTTAAGCTGATGAAAATACTTTTAGGGAAACATACTTTTAAATGGAATAGTTTTTTCTGATATAAATGATTACCGTTAAGTTGTCTGTCTTAAAGAGTTCAGCCAAAAAGCACATCTATCTTTATTTAACCATTTGTTGCTGCTGCTGCTTATTCCAGTAGTGTTAGCACAGGAAAACTTGTCATTCTGGACTTCTTCCATCTTGCCCTCAAGCAGTGCCCAGAAGCAAAACCCTAACTGGGGGATAGTAAGCTTTACTTACAGTGCCAAAAATCCTATCACCATTTGCTGTCACAAGAAAGGGGCCCTTATTGTTATTTCTCTCTTAATTTTTTTTTTTTTTTGTAAATTTGGACTCTTTTAGTCTTATTTAAAATAGTGATATTCATATAGTAATCTCGCGGTACTGACATTTGTTTTTTCCACTATCAGTGCCTAAGACAATCGTTGACAGTTATTAAAACAGTAAGGTTTTCTTTGACTTTGTTTAAGAGCCTCTGATTTAGCGCCCTTCTTTTGCAGTGATATTTATATTAAATCGAAAATTTGTAAAAATCAGCCCATTTTTATGAATAAAAAAATAGTAGATACAAGTTTGCAATATAAGAAATGACCACTACAATGCATTTTAGAAATTAAAATTAAAGCTTCTTTAACATATGTTAAAGTAAGCAAGAAATAAGCCTCTGGTAAAGCTACTGAAATTTTGGGATTATTCATTACTACTGCAAAATCAAGTTTAACCTCACTGTCGCAGTGCTTTTGTCAGTAGAGCTAAATCATAATTCACTTAATTTACAGATGTATTTTTAATGGGCTGATAATCTCTTAGTTATCTTGTCATTTGACTTTCCACAAGTTTGTATTAATTGAATTAGAACCACATGTAGTGTGTGTGTGTGTGTGTGTGTGTGTGTGTGTGTGTGTGTGTGTGTGCGCTTTTTTTTTTTTTTTTTTGAGACGGAGTCTTGCTCTTGTCACCCAGGCTGTAGTGCAGTGCCGCAATTTTGGCTCACTGCAACCTCCGCCTCCCAGAGAACCATGTGTATTTGTAAATCAACAATTGTGGTTCCTCTGATGCATACTGAATAAATTATTCAGCTTTCAGATTTAACTTCTATAGATCTGAGTCACTTTCTAAATTGTTACTGGAAACAGTAATTGTAAATTAGCTGAGTAAATGTGCCTTTGCTAATATGAACACTCATAAAATTTCAGAGCACTTCACAGTTTCAAAGCATCATTTCATTGATTCTTAACTACAATTCTAGGAGATAAGCAAGGCAAGTATAATTATTGCTGCATTCATTTTACAGGTGGGGAAATTGAAGCAAAGTCATTTGCCCCAGGCCATATGGCTTATAAACAGCAGAATTAGGGTCATCTTCTGGCTAATCTTTCAACTGTTTGTTTTTGTTTTTCATATCATCTCGTTAGAGTCAATTATCTGTTCAGGCAGTGGGCAGTGAGGGAGTGGGGAGAGGTGGAAGGATTTGTTTCTCTTTTTTTTTTTAATTCCTAAACATTTCCACCAGAGACATAAAATTATCCAAAACAAATAAATGCATTATTTTGCCCTCCATGTTGCTGGTTGCTAGGGCACCCATGCCTAATTTAAAATATATACATCTTTTGAATGTAGCATTTTAAGTTTTCAGATTTATGCAAGGTATGGAGAGGAAGGGAGACTGTTAGCATGTTTTAAAACAAGGTTAACTCCATATGGAGCCCTGCCTTCTCAAGCAATGAATTTTCCAGGATTAATTATAACCGAAGCAAGATTTAGTCATGGACTAAAAGTAGCTGCATTATCATAGAATTCTTAAGTGTTATTCATATAAGTTTTGTATATAGGATGAACAAATTATAGGTTTCTAACTAGAACTGCAATGTCATTCCAGAAACTATGCAAGGGTATTAAAATGCTTATTTTACAGTTGTTCCTGGCATTTCTATAATTAACTAATGATTTAGTACATCTGGTGATTTGGACCAGGAATGTGAGCAAATCAGAATATATTAACTAGTAGAGGAGGTAGAATGTTTCCTATTTTGTAGTGTTAAGAAAGTAGACAGTTAACTGACTCTTACCCTGAAGAAAATGACAAAGGGTCAGCCAGGTGCCCTTCCTTATCAGAGATCGTAAGTTTCTATAGTCCTTTTGTATGGAAGTGATAGTATTTGGAAATGGGGCCTTTGTGAGGCATTCAGGCTTATATGAATTCATGAGGGTGGAGCCTTCCTGACTCTATTAATGCCCTTATAAGAACAGCTACCAGAGAACAAACTTGCTGTCTCTCTGCCACGTGAGGACACAGATAGAAGGCCAGGAAGAGAGCCCTCGCCAGCAACCAAATCAGCCAGGACTTCCTAGACTCCAGAATTATGAGAAATAGACTTCTATCGTTTAAGCCACTGAGTGTGTGGTATTTTGTTATAGCAGTTGAAGTAGACAAATAGACTATTACCATATAGCTTTAGAATCAAACATTTAATGTTAAATCCTACCCCCATAGTACTGGTCTCAGGAAAGGTATGTGGCCTGTTCAGGGTTGTTATAAATTATCAGGAACAATATACAAGAAGTGCCTAAATTATAAAATTTTATAAACTTATAAAACTTCAAATTGTCAAGATTTTGGTAAGCGAGGCACTTTAATTTCACTTTCTAGAACTCATAATTTTCTAGGAGAAATTATCTCTGGTTTTAATTTTTATTCCATTTTATTGTCTGAATTATTCATAGATGTACAAATAATGAGAGGACTCAAAGAGTTTTCATGCAAACATAGCTCTTAAAAAGTGTTAACTCTTTGCTCCAAGGAAATAAATATTTAGAAAACTCTTACTGTAAATATGATTATAGCAGTTTCCCAAAGCTAATAAAATATTTCATCAGCTAATGAAAAATTCAGTCAGTGCAATTAAGCAGCTAATGTGAAGACCTGAATCAGAGTTTCAAAGCTACTAAGAACCACTTACCATCATCATGTAGGCTCAAGTGCTTTTCACTCAAAGCTTAGTAGTATACTTTCTTGTTCAAGGTATACTTCAGGGGTTAAGAATATTTCCAAACCTATAGCTTCCTATTGTGTCCCAAAATGTTTTTTTGAGACACAGGCAGCACTTTCAGTTTTTTTTCTAAATCCATCTTTTGAGTCTATAATGTGTCATGATAATCTTTTTATTATGTAAGAGGGGAGTCAGGTAATTTTATCTCTATCCAGAGCCCTTTGCCAGAAAAAAAAAATAGAGCATCTTTATATAAAGGAATTCTAACTATCTATTTTCTTTGTTTTTCTTTGGAATAAATTTGAATACCAAATAGATTCCTTATAGGAATCACTTTACAATATGGGCCCAGTCTCAAAGTTGAATAAATCTTTGGTCATTTTTCTCTGTTACATGAGAGAAGGGCTTAGGCCACTGGGGGCACTTTCTAAAATTCCTTTATAATCACATCTTTTCTTCCTTATGAACACATTAGTATTTTTACTGTTTTAATTATATTAAATACATTAGTATTTTAGTGTTTTCGTTATATTGTGACAATATATAACATTTGAATACAAATAATAATTAGAAATTTTAAAACATGTATGAATTATTGTTAAATTAGTTCTGCCGAGAGAAGCTGGAGAAGATCCCATAAACAACAGATTGGTGCCATTCAGGTATCATTTTGCACACAGATACGGTGGCTTCTTCTCTCACATCCCACAGTGGCTTTCCCACATCATCAGTTTCCTAAATCTCCCACTCCACTTTCCCCTCTTTATACTCAGCAACTAACTTTTCAACATGCTACACAGAGAAAACGTATGTATGAATACATTCTCTCCAAAGCCACACTCTAACTATAAACTCGTCCATACTTGTACACATTGCTAACTCCTTCTGTCCATTCTTATTGGCAGAAAGGCCTGTCCTGCTTTTGAGGCCAGTCCCACCACCTGTGTTCCATGGCCTACTTTTGATTCAACTCAGGGATATTAGACCATCAAATTGGTCTCCCTCCCTCTTTCAGATTGAGATCATCTTCTCTGTGTTGAAATATTTCCTTTACAACATGAACATACTCAAATTTCCATCTTAAAACCACATAGTCGCTTCATCAACCCTGAATCTTCCTCTGACTACTGCTCTTTCTTCCATATTCAATGAAAAACCTTTGAAAAAAGTCTTATACTTGCTCTCTCTACTTCCTTATTTCTGATTCATCCACCAAACCTAGTGGAATTTGGCTTTTACTTAGAATCTGATTTTGCTGATTCACAATCGACTTGCTAATTACAAAATTTGGTGGGTAACTTGCGGTCCTTTTCTTATTTTACCCTTCTATCGAACCATTCTCTTATTCTTCAAACTGTATCTTTCATTTGCTTTATGACACTACTTCCTTTTTGTTTTTGTTTTTGTTTTTTTTTTCTTCCTCTGATTTCTTCTGAATCCTTTTGGCCAGTTCTTCTTCCTCTGCTAAAGTTATTGTGTGAAGTCATTCCTTGACCTTTTGTTCTCATTCACTATCACTAATTGAGTACCTGTGTGTATGGTAGGCTCTTTTTTAGGCACTTCTTGTATATCGTTCCTGATAATTTATAACAACCCTGAACAGGCCACATACCTTTCCTGAGACCAGTACTATGGGGGTAGGATTTAACATCAAATGTTTGATTCTAAAGCTATATGGTAATAGTCTATTTGTCTACTTCAACTGCTATAACCAAATACCACACACTCAGTGGCTTAAACAATAGAAGTCTATTTCTCATAATTCTGGAGGCTGGGAAGTCCTGGCTGATTTGATTGCTGGCGAGGGCTCTCTTCCTGGCCTTCTATCTGTGTCCTCATGTGGCAGAGAGACAGCAAGTTTGTTCTCTGGTATCTGTTCTTGTAAGGGCATTAATATAGTCATGAAGGCTCCACCCTCGTGAATTCATGTAAACCTGAATGCCTCACAAAGACCCCATTTCCAAATACTATCACATTGAGAGTAGGGGCTTCAACAGAAGAATTTTAAGGGTAGAGGTAACACAATTCAGTACATAGCAAATCGTTTTCAGACTTTTTAAAGGAACACAGCTGTTTTTTTAAAAACAATATCTTCCTAGGACCCCAACATATAAAATAGTCAAAAGCAGAACTACTCCATTACAGTGGGAATGACAGGTCCAGAGCCCTGATAATTTGGACCTCCCTCCCAATTCTAACCCCATAGTGCTCCAAAGGTATTTGCTCAGAACCCAAGGGCTCTGAGAAAACAGTTTAAAAGGTACAATAATTTATGTTAAATTGTCCAGGCTCACACCTGTAATCCCAGCACTTTGGGAGGCCGAGGCGGGTGGATCTTCTGAGGTCAGGAGTTCGAGACAAGCCTGGCCAACATGGTGAAACCCCTTCTCTACTAAAAACACAAAAATTAGCCAGGCATGGTGATGCGTGCCTATAATCCTGGCTACTCTGGAGACTGAGGCAGGAGAATCGCTTGAACCCGGGAGGCAGAGGTTGCAGTAAGTCCAGATTGTGCCACTGCACTCCAGCCTCGGCAACAAAGTGAGACTCTATCTGAAAAATAAAAATTATGTAAAATTGCAAGCCTAGATTTATTTTTTAGTTAGTTTGAAAATCAGATTTCCAAATGGATCCTGGACACTTCTGTCATTCTACCTGTGTCTGACCAGTACTTCACTCAGTTCTTTATGCTCCAAATGGAACTTACCTTCATTGTTAACTTCTAACTATTGTTTTAGTGAAACTTCCTACCTCAGCAAATCTTCCAGGCTCCAGACCTGCGATGACAGGTGGAAAGATTTCTTCTTGCTGCTATGTCATGTAATTGGACAGTTAAGGCCTGTAGAGCTGTAGCCCCATAGAGGCCCTCATAATCTTTTCTCTTTGCTTCCTTTTTTACCCTCTCTTTCTCCAATCTATCTTTTCTACAAAGGTAAATTTCTAAAATTCAAGCCCAATCGCATTATTCACCTGCTGACATTTTTCTTGAGCCCCCATTGTCTGTTTTAAAAGATACTGAAGGGGCTGAGCATGGTGACTCACGCCTGTAATCTCAGCGCTTACCAAGGCCAAGGCGGGAGAATTTCTTGAGGCCAGGAGTTCGAGAACACCCCGGGCAACTAAGTGAGACCCTGTCTCTACAAAAAATTTAAAAATTAGCTGGGCATGGTGGTGCATGCCTGTAGTCCCAGCTCCTCAGGAGACTGAGATGGGACAATCACTTGAGCCCAAGGAGTTCAAGGCTATGATTGTGGCACTGCACACCAGCCTGAGTGACAGAGCAAGACCCTGTCTCTAAACAAACAAAAAAAGATATTCGAGGCATACAGAACCCTCAGGATTTGACACTGAGAATACATCATATTCTCTCAGGCCTCAAGTCATTGTAGAGTTTTTTCATTTCTAGAAAACCCTCTTTGCTTCTTTACCTACCTGGCAAATTATCATTTTCCTTTCATGTATCAACTTACTCATTATGTTTTCTGTACTCGCCTGACTTCTCCGGGTGACCAGTTCTCTTATCATTAAAAATGGTTTATTTTTATGTTTTTCTTCCTATTAGACTTATATCTCCTAGAAAACAGGGACTGTTTGTCTTCTCATCTAGCACTTAACATAGTAGTTGGTACATAGTAAGTGTTCAAGATATGTTAATTGAATAGTTGAATTCTTTTCAAGAAAATTAATTTTTTAGCATATCTAGGTATCAGCCATTTTATCTGTTAAAGAAACAGCAAGATAAGATGATTTCAAAATTTCCTTCCAGTTTTAGGATTATCTGTTAAAGAAACAGCAAGATAAGATGATTTCAAAATTTCCTTCCAGTTTTAGGATTCTGTGTTACTTCTCTTACTATAATCTCCTTACCCATGATTCTTCTCACTTATTTTACAAAGCATTTAAAATTTATTTTTAATAATCACATGTAGAATTAATTTTAAGTATATCTTTAAAGAAGGATGGACTTTTATCCTCTTGATATTTATTTTATATTTTTTTGAAAATTATTTTTGTTCCATAAAAAATTAGTTTTTGCAAATGAGTCCAATTAGGAACAAAATATATCAAGAATAAACTTTGGATTTTTTCCTCTTCTTTACTTCCTGTTGACTAATTGTAGCGGGTTCTCTCCAAAGCATGTTCTTGGCGTAGGAAAACTGTGTGGCCTGTTTTGAACCTAAGGATGACAGGTGGAAATAATTTTTCTCTCAAAAGTAGAATTCAAGAAAACAGTAGGGCTTTTTTCTTTCTTTTAACCTTTTAAAGTGATGAAATAAGAAGTCTACATTTTTAACGATAAAGCATTTTTGTAATGTACTGAAGCAGGTTCTGTAAAATTTAACTTTTAAAACTTATGATTTTAGAAAAAAGTCATATGTAACTCATTAGAATGTATTTTTATTTAAAATATTATACCAGCATGTGCACAGTTACAAGGCATTGCCAAAAAATGTACTCTGGAAGCAAAACAGAATACTGAAAATAATGCTACAATTTTTAAAATAAGAGGAAAATATTTTCTTTACACATGAAATTTTTGGTCCAAATGATATTTAACCAACTAACTGGCTAATCTATTAAAGCATTCTATTTCAGAAAAGCTTCATTTTTGGTACCATTGATTGCATTAGCACATTACTTCTGATAGTGGGCATAGATTATTTTTTTTTCTAAAGTGATGTTTTTTCCAAAGTGATATTGTGGTTTTACTCTTGGAAGAAAGTACAAGTTTTCTGTGGGCCTAAGTATTAAAAATGTTTTTTAAAAACTTGAAATTGTTATACATTAAACTAGAACTCTTGGAACTTTTTCAGATTTTGCTGCTATAGTCACTAGTCCTTTGACTTAGATATTTTATGAACCAATTTTTACTGGCTGGAAAATAGAATTTTCCATAATTAAGAGAAAACATCAGTTATTTTATCCAGTTGACTTTGTCTTTGCTTGTTATTGTTTGCTTTAGAGATTTATCTAAGTTGTTGACATGATTCAGATTCTAGTGTATGAAATAAAGCTTTTGAGGGGAAGTTGCTTTGAATGGAAAAATAAATACCTTAAAAAATATTTAGCTTTGAGTGTGTCTAGTCCTGTTTGAATTTTTTGTTTTTCCTTGCACTCATAGTTGTATTCTATTGTAGTATATATATTTGAGTATAAAATTGGTTAACACACTAAGAGTTCAGTTTATGAGATGGGATAAATTTAAATCTCAAAGCAATTTTCAAATATACTCATTAAGAAAATGCAAGTATTTATATTTTAAATAAAGTCATTTTCCACTATATACCCTATCACCCTTTTATTATTATAGACGTTTTCTAATTTCCAGGAAAACCTCGTCCACCCCAGTGACTGATATATACTCTAGCTTGTTCAACCCATGGCCTGCAGGCCACATGCAGCCCAGGACAGCTTTGAATGCAGCCCAACACAAATTCGTAAACTTTCTTAAAACATTATGACTTTTTGTTTTGTTTTATTTTTAGCTTATTAGCTATCGTTAGTGTTAGTGTATTTTATGTGTGGCCCGAGACAATTTTTCTTCCACTGTGGCCCAGGGAAGCCAAAAGATTGGACACCCCTGATGTATAGCTTACCCTTCATTCAAACCCCTTTCATCTTTCGACGAAGCTTCATAATTTGTGGTGATAATTGTTTTCATATCCTATTTTTATTTGCCAGCTATTATCATGGCTGCACTTTAGAGCTATATCTTAACTAATCAGAACCTAATTTAGTTTTAAAAATTCTGTATTTTCTGATTAGAAGTTAGGATGATTTTTTAAAATGATGGCAAATAAATATTTATGTTGCTATCAAGAAACTTATCTAGTGGGGAATGTATAACATTTTTAAGTAGCCATGGTACGTAGAAGAGAGGTAGCGATAAAGTGCTTTGCGAATTCAGAGGAGGAAAGAAGTAATTCTATCTGGACAATCCAGAAGAGGTGTAATCTAAAACAGTTGTTAAATATTTCAAACATAGAGAAGCACAGAGAGTAATATAATAACATAATAATTGTGCTACCCAGAATTAAGAAATATTATTTGCAAACATCAAAAAATTCTAAACTTAATATCTTTCCTCCTTCTGAACAAAACAAAGACCTTAGAATGCTTAAACTCAGGCTTCCCCTCCCTTTTTTTTTTTTTTTTTTTTGCTGTTTTTGTTGCTACTTTGTCTTATTGTTATTATTGTTTTTGGCTCATCTTTGCTCCTTACATCCTGCTTTTCCCATTGGAGTTTAATTTGCTTCTTGCTGAAACATTTCCTTTAGTGGTTCTTTTTCACATTTTCCTTTTTTTGTCGGGGGAGAGCTCTACTGTATTTTGTGTTTTCCTCACATATGTCTTTCAGTTTACTATTTTCTGTCCTTCTGTGGATAATCTAATGCTTAACCTGTCCATTGAAACTTTTATTCCAAGATTCCTGTTTGATTCTTTCAAAAAAGAAAATGCCTATTCTTTTCATATTGTCCTTTCCTTGCCGTATGGCAGCTATTCCTTTCGTGGTTTCTTTTGACATTAAATATACTTCTTTTAGAATTTCTTTCAGTTTATTATCTATGATTGTGGATGTGTCAGTCCTGCCATTGGTCATGTCTTCTGACTCTTTTATAAGTGAGGTTCATTTAAATTTTTTTTTTCCATTTTACTGTGAATTTTTTTTTAGTGGGAGTTGTTTTCCTGTGGGTCTTGGATCGTGAAGGCATACTGTTATAGAGATTCATATTTGCTTCTGACAAATTCCTGTTGGCTTCACTGAGTCTGAACCAGTTGTTATTCTTAATTTTTTGCGGGTGGAGCAGGCTTGGGTAGTCTCATTCCTTATGTGTGATTCCTTTTCCACCCATGCCCCAGATGGGTTGCAAGCTTTCTTGTGACTATACCCAAGCTAGTAAGCAAAATTTTCCTAGGAGCTGTTTCATAGACAGAAGAGTATTTTGTAGATCTAGGTTACATGCAGGGCTGCAAGCCCAGTTTCAGCTTCCTACCTCTAACAGGACTGAGACCTGTCTCCTTTAATAGAGGGTAACAGAAAACCTCACAGTTGACTTTGGCTTAAGTTCAGGGTACATGGAGATGGTTAATGGAAAATATGTTTGGAAAGGTGGGTTGGAATCAAGTACAGTAGGCCTTGAATGGTAGGCTAAGGAATTTGGACTTCATGCTACATATAGCAGGAATCCAATGAATGTCTTTTTGCGTGAGAGTCATGCAGAGCTTTGCTCTAAGAAGATTAATTTGGTAACCATGAATAGGTTGGAATGGAGAGAACATACTGTAAATAGGGAGATCAATTAAGAGACTATTCACATTAGTCTGTGAAAGAGGTAATAAAGACCTGAAATACGGTAACAATAGTGGCAATGAAGATGATGTGAGAGGTAAATAGATGTTTATAGAGAGATTATGATACAGGTTTCACACTGGTATTCAGGAGAAAGAGCATTCCAAGATGACCCCAGTGAGGATGCTGAAACTATTAAGGAAAGTCAGACACAGACAGAGCGTTAGGTTTGTAAAGAAAGGTGAGTTCGATTATGAAAATATTATCTTTGTAGTGCCAGTGGGATACCCAGGTACAAAGGGCCACCCATGCAGATAAACATATTGGACTATAATTAAGATAGAAGGACAGACCAAAAGAGATGTGGGGCTTAGTAGAACAGAAGCATTAAATGAAGCCATACATTTCAGAGACAGAATCAAGAATCAGGAAAGAGAGGAGGTAAACCAAGAAGAAAATTAGTAATTAGGAAATAGAAAAAGAGAATTGTGGGGAATGATATGTCAGAGTAGTAGGAGTGTGGCCCGGGGCATAGACTGATATTATGGAAATCAGAAACTGGAAGCATTTCACGGCCAGGGGCTATCACTATTAGAGAGGTGGAGGAAAATGTTGAGGAGGATGAGGTCCAAGAAATGGCCATTTAATGGTAACCAGAGTCAAAATACAAGGATATGAGGAACAAGTGGAAGGAGAGGCAGTGAGAGTGGAAATAATGTAGTAAATTCACTTCTGAAATAAAACTTATAAGGGTATACATAGTATTTGTGAAATATAGATCTGTATGTATATGTTTGAATCTATACAAATGTATTATACGTATGTATATATGTAAATTTTTCCCCATGTCTGTTAGCGTGTAGGTATTGGCACCCTTGGGTTACTCTATTACCCTGTGATAAAAGATTAGCAAGCAAGATTCTTCTTATCCTTTGAAATCTCCACTTTGATCTTCATAATAGAGGTACAGTAAAAGGGGAAAGATAGAAAGCAACAATATTATTGTTGGAATAGACGTAGGAGGTCACAGGGTTGGGAAAGGAGAGGTACATACTATTAGCAGAGGGTAAAAGTGCTTTGGAAATTTGGGCTATGGAAGATCTATCTTTTGTGAAAGCATGCTTTGTATTGAAATTATCAAATAGAAGATAGAGGGTGGACAAGAACACTTACACATAATTGAATGTACCAGATGCTTTACATAAATTTTCATGTTTCATCTTTCAAAACACTAATAAGGAGTGCATATGGTAGTTCTGTTTTTAATTTTTTGAGGAACTTCCGTACTGTTTTCCATGATGGCTTTACAATTTACATTCTCATTAACACTGTACTAGGGGTTCTCTGTTCTCCACACCCTTGCGAACCCTTGTTATATATTGCCTTTTTCATAGTAGCCATCCTAACAGGTGTGAGGTGATACCTCATTGTGATTTTAATTTGTTTTGCCTGGTGATTAGTGATGTTAAAGTTTTTTCACATACCTTTTGGCCATTTGTATGTCTTCCTTTGAGAAATGTCTATTCCAGTCATTTGCCCATTTTTTAATCAGGTTATTTGTTTTCTTGCTATCGAGTTGTTTGTGTTCTTTATATATTTTGTATATTAGCCCCTTTCTAGGTTCTCTGTTCTGTTCCATTGGTGTATACTGTTTTTATGCCAGTACCAGGCTGTTTTGATTACTTTAGCTTTGTAGTATACTTTGAGATCAGGTGATATTTACATGCCTCTTTGTTCATTTCCTTAAGCTTTATTTGCCTATTCAAGGTCTTTTGTTATTCCACATGAATTTTAGGATTCTTTTCTCTATTTCTGTGAAAAATGTCATAAGAATTTTGATAGAAAAATGTGATTAGAATTCAGTGATGGAATCATTGAATCTGTTGATCACTTTGGATTTTATGGACATTTTATCAATGTTAATTCTTCCATTCCATGAATAAGGAATATTTTTTCATTTACTTTTGTCTCCAATGTCTTTCATCAGAGTTTTATAGTTTTCAGTGTATAGATCTTCACCTCCTTGGTTAAATTTGTTTTTAAATTGTTGGGGTTTTTTGTTTTGTTTTTGTTTGTTTTGGTAGCTATTGTAAATGGGATTGTTTTCTTGATTTCTTCTTCAGACAGCTCCTTGTTAGTGTATGGAGGTGCTACTAATTTCTGTATGCTGATTTTGCATGCTGAAGCTTTACTGAATCAATTAGTTTCAACAGTTTTTTGGTGGAGTTGTTAGGGTTTTCTATAAATAAGATCATGTTATCTGCAAACAGAGACAATGTAACTTTTCCTATTTCTTCTTTTGCCTAATTGCTCTGGCTATAACTTCCAGTATTATGTTGAACAGAAATGGCAAGAGTGGGCATTCTTGGCTTATTCCTAATTTTAAAGGAAAAGCTTTCAACTTTTAACAGTTTAGTGTGATGTTAGCTATCGTATTTTATATATATATGGCCTTTATTGTGTTGAGGTACATTCCTTCTATATGTAATTTGTTGATAGTTTTTATCATGAAAGGACGTTGAATTTTGTTAAATGCTTTTTTTATATTTATTGAGATGATCATATGGTTTTTGTACATTATGTTAATGTGGTGTATCATTTTCATAGATTTCCATATGTTGCATCCCTGTGACAAATCCTACTTGATCATAGTGTATTGATTCTTTTAATATGCTGTTGATTTTGGTTTGCTAATATTTTGTTGAAGATTTTTACATCTGTGTTCATTATAGATATTAGACTGTAATAGTTCTTTTCTTTAATATCCTTGTTTGGCTTTTGTATTAGGGTAATGCAGGCCTCATAAAATAAGCTTGGAAGTATTGTCTCCTTTTCAGTTTTTAGAAAAATTTGAAGAAGGATTGGTATTAATTCTTTTTTGAACATTTAGGAGAATTCAGCAATGAAGCCATCAGGTTCTAAGCTTTTCTTTAATGACATTAAAAAAAAAATTATAGATTCAGGCCAGGTGTGGTGGCTCACACCTGTAATCCCAGCACTTTGGGAGGCCGAGACAGGTGAGTCACCTGAGGTCAGGAGTTGAAGACCAGCCTGGCCAACATGGTGAAACCCCATCTCTACTAAAAATACAAAAATCAGCTGGGCGTGGTGGTGGGTGCCTGTAATCCCAGCTACTGGGAGACTGAGGCAAGATAATTGCTTGAACCCAGGAGGCGGAGGTTGCAGTGAGCCAAGATCGCACCATTGCACTCAAACCTGGGCAACAAGAACAAAACTCTGTCTCTAAATAAATAAATAAATAAAAGATTCAATCTCCTTACTTTCTATTGGTTTGTTTACAATTTTTATTGCTTTATAATTCAGTCTTGGTAGGTTGTCTGTGTCTAGGAATTTATCCATTTTTTCTGAGTTCTCCAATTTATTGGTGTATAATTGTTTAGTGATTTTTTTCATACCTATGTGGCCTCAATTGTAATATCTCCTCCTTCATTTCTAATTTTATGTATTTGAGTCTTCTTTCTTTTTTCTTAGTTAATCTAGCTAAAGGTTTGTGAGTTTTATGTTTTTAAAAAAACCAACTTTTAGTTTCATTGATTTTTTTTCTTTCTATTGTATGTCTAATCTCTATTTTATTTCTACTCTGATCTTTATTTCCATCCTGACTGTAACTTTGGGCTTCCTTACACTAACTAGTTCTTTAAAGTGTAATATCAGGTTATTTGAGATTTTTTTTCTTTTTAAGTATTGTCTTTTATTAGTATAAATTTCTCAGGACTGCTTTGGCTACATACCATAAATTTTGGTGTGTTATGTTTACTTTTTCATTATTCTTAAGATATTTTTCTTGAGAATCAAAACTTCCCTTTTGATTTCTTCTTGAACCATTGATTGTTCATGAGTGTGTTGTTTAATTTCCACGTTTGTGAATTTTCTAGTTTTTCTTCTGTTACTGATTTCTAGTTTCATATCATTGTGGTTATAAAAATTACTCAATATGATTTCAGTCTTACTAAATGTGTTAAGATTTGGTTTCTGGGCTAACGTATGATTTATTTTGTAAAATGTTCTTTGCACTCAAGAAGAATGTGTATTCTGCTGCTGTTGGCTGGAATTTTCTGTATACGTCTGTTAGGTTTATTTTGTCTGAAGTGTAATTCCAGCTTAGTGTTCCTTTACTGATATTCTTTCTGGATTATCTATCCATTGTTCGAAGTGAAATGTTGAATTCCCAACTATTATTGTATTGCTGTCTATTTCTCCCTTTAGATCTGTTAATATTTGCTTTATGTGTTTAGGTGCTCTGACTTCGGTTCACATATATTTACATTTGTTATATCCTCTTGATTAATTGATCCTTTTATCATTATCTAGTGACCTTCTTTGTTTCATGTGATGGTTTGACTTAACATCTGTTTTGTCTGATGTAAGTTTACCTGTCCCTGTTCTTTTTGGTTTCCATTTACATGGAGTATCTTCACTTTCATTCTGTGTGTGTCCTTAAATGTGAAGTGAGTCTCTTTCAGGCAGCATATAATTGGGTCTTATTTTTTTTTATCCATTCAACCACTCTATGTCTTTTGATTGGCAAATTTAGTCTATTTACATTTAAAGTAATGATTGATAGGTAAAGATTTACTTTTGCTATTTTGTTAATGGTGTTGTAGTTATTTGGTTGTTTTGGAGACCTTTTGTCCCTTTTTTCTTGCTGTCTTTCTTTGTGATTTGATGATTTTCTGTAGTGGCATGTTTCTTCTATTCCTTTCTCTTCATCTTTTGTGTATCTACTGTAGGTTTTTGCATTTTTGTTACCATGAGGGTTACATAAAACATCTTATAGTTACGCTAGTCATACAAAAACATACAAAAACTTACTTTTACTCTCGGTATTAGTCTGTCCTCATCCTGCTAATAAAGATATACCTGAGACTGGGTAATTTATAAAGGAAAGAGGTTTAATTGACTCTCAGTTCCACATGGTTGGGGAGGCCTCACAATCATGGCTGAAGGCGAATGAGGAGCAAACACATCTTACATGGCAGAAGGCAAGAAAGCATGTGGCAGGGGAACTCCCCTTTATAAAACCAACAGATCTCATGAGACTTACTCACTATCATGAGAACAGCATGGGAAAGATCTGCTCCCGTGATTCATTTACCTCCTACTAGGTCCCTCCCATGACAGGTGGGAATTATGGGAGCTACAATTCAAGATGAAAATTTGGGTAGGGAAACAGCCGAACCATATCATTCTTCTCTTATATTTTATGTTTTCTGTGTCAGTGTATGTATTTTTACATTATATATCCATTAACAAATTTTTGTAGCTCTAGTTCTTTTCTGGAAATGCTTTTGTCTTTCAACATTTATATTAGAGTTATAAGTAATTTACACACTACCAGTACAGTGTTAGGGTATTCTGAATTTGACTATATATTTACCTTTGTCAGTGAGTTTTATACTTTGATGTTTTTTTTTTGGGGATGGCGTTTCACTCTTGTTGCCCAGGGTAGAGTGCAGTGGCACGATCTCAGCTCACTGCAGCCTCCGCCTCCCAGGTTCAAGTGATTCTCCTGCCCCAACCTCCCGAGTAGCTGGGATTACAGGCATGCACCACCACACCCAGCTAATTTTGTATTTTTACTACAGACAAGGTTTCTCCATGTTGGTCAGGCTGGTCTCGAACTTCCGACCTCAGGTGATCTGCCCGCCTCACCCTCCCAAAGTGCTGGGATTACAGGCTTGAGCCACCGTGCCCACTCTATACTTTCATGTTTCTAAGTAGTGGCCTTTTGTTAAAGTCTGAAGAACTCCCTTTTGCATTTCTTGTAACACAAGTCTAATAGTGATGAACTCCCTCAGTTTTGTTTGTCTGGAAAAGTCTTTGTCCCTCATTGGTGAAGGATAGCTTTGCTGCATAAAGTATTTTTGGTTGGCATTTTTTTTTTCTTTCACAAACTCTTCCCACTTACTCCTGGTCTGCAAGATTTTTGCTGAGAAATTCATCAGTGGTCTTATTTAGCTTCCCTTGTATGTGATATGCTGCTTCTCTCTTGCTGCTTTAAAAATTCTCTGTCTTTGATTTTTGAAAATTTGATTATAATGTGTCTTGGTGAAGTCTTCTCTGGGTTGAATCTGATTTTACATCTTTATGTTTCATGTACCTTGATGTTTATATCTTTCCCCATATTTAGAAAGTTTTCTGACAGTATTTCTTTCTCTTTCTCTTTCTTTCTTTTTCCTTCTTTCGAGACAAGGTCTTTTTTTTTTTTTTTTTTTTGAGACAGAGTCTCGCTCTGTCACCCAGGCTGGAGTGCAGTGGCGCGATCTTGGCTCACTGCAAGCTCCGCCTCCTGGGTTCACACCATTCTCCTGCCTCAGCCTCCTGAGTAGCTGGGACTACAGGCGCCCACCACCACGCCTGGCTAATTTCTTTTTGTATTTTTGGTAGAGACGGAGTTTCACTGTGTTAGCCAGGATGGTCTCAATCTCCTGACCTCGTGATCTGCCTGCCTCGGCCTCCCAAAGTGCTGGGATTACAGGCGTGAGCCACTGCGCCTGGGAGACAAGGTCTTACTCTGTTACTTTGGCTGTACTGCAGTGGCATAATTATGACTCACTGAAGCCTTAACCTCCCAGGCTCAAGTGACCCTCCTGCCTCAGTCTCCCAAGTAGTTAGGACTACAGGCACACGTCACCACTTAGGCACCTGGAGATTGGGAAGGCAGAAAACTGTGGGATGCCCAGTGGCCAAACCTGCAGGGGGTCTGTTGTAGCTATGCTGACTGCTAGATTCCTCAGCAGCCAGCAAAAGCCTGTTAGGGTCTTCTGCAGAGCAAGCTGCCGTGGTCCACCTCAGTGAACACCGTGGTATCCTCAGGGGTGAAATCTCTTGTGGTAGCCACAAGGGCTGTTGAGGTCCTCAGCAGAGAAGGCTGCTGGAATCCTGTGCAGAGCAGGCCACTAAGGATAATAATGATTTCTGCTTATATGGCTGATACTGATAGCCCCCATCCTTCTTTGTTTCCACCCATGCCAGTCTCTTCAGCAATCTGGGTGGGGTATAACTAATGCTGGTTGCTGATTTCTCAGGCAGTACCCTGAAAGTCTGGGGAAGCTGCTCTTTCATCCTGCTCTCCATTGCCATGCCAGTGATTACAAACTTGGGAGTTCCTTTTCTATGCTGATCAGTGCTAGCCTTGGGAATGGGATGATAAAGGCAGAATGAACTGTTTCTTTCTTTTGTGTGGTTATGGAATTTTTGTGTCATTACTTATGGGAGTTTTCTTCCAGTGTATTGCTGTAGTTTCTTAAGTAGATTCCTGAGCTCTTCCAGTTATTCCCATTCATGGGTAGCGTCCAATTATTGTTCTTTGTGAAGAAAACGAAGGCTGGGTTTTCCTACTTAGCCATCTTTCTGACATCATTCCTTGCTTTTCTTTATAGCTTTGTCATATTTACATATTCCATGTTTAGCTTTGCATGTTCAGAATTTAATATGAATGGAACCATGCTCTTCATATTCTTATGTAACTTGGTTTTTATGTTTTTTTTTTTTTTTTTGCTAAGCATTGTTTCTGAGAGTCAGTCGTATTGATGCATGTACATAGCTGTAACTTATTTATTTTCACTTCTGATAGTATTCCATTGTATCAATAACAAGTTTATCCATTCTCTTGTCAATGGACATTTGGTTGTTTCTGTTGTTCTTTTGCTATAAGAAACACGTCTGCTGTAAATACTATGCATATGCCCTTTGGAGTCCTTAGGTGGGGGAATCAAATAGGTTACCTTGTCTCTGTTATTATTGTTTTCCTCCTTTCCAGGTGGCTTACACCTCCCTTGTGTCTACATTTTTTGCAACTCTAGAAAGGAGGGGAAGAGAGTTTATGAGGTATTGGGGATAGCAGGGGATAGCTGCATTTACTACCCTTTACTTCAAAATAGCTTCTTTTGTCAGACCATTACACATTGTAGTTCTCTAGGCCTCTGCCTTAGGCCCTCCTCTTTTCTCGTTCTATCCCTTCTTCTTAAATATTAACATTTATTTTTATGGTTTCAAATACCATCTAAATTCTGGTAACTCCAAATTGGTATCTTCATTTCATAACTCTCTTCTTTTCACTTGGCCCATATATCCAGCTACCATTCCTCATCACCATGCATATGTCTCTACTATAATCACTTCAGACTCAAGTCCAAAACCAAAGTTGGGATCTTTCCCTTCTTTCCTCTCCCACCCTTAATTGCTTCTCCAGTTTTCTATTTCTCTGTGAGGGCATCTTCCCTGATCTATGTGATTATGTGACTAGGTACCTGGAAGTTGACCTTGACACTGCTTTCTCCTTCCCACCCTCATATTCCCACCCCCATATCCACCCACTCACTCACTGAAATATTTCTAAACCAGTAGTTTTCATTATTTTCACTGCCACCACCCTAATTCAAATCACCATTGCATCAAGCCTGGACTAGAGAAACATCCTCCTAAGGAATCTCTCTGTATCTACTCTTGCTTTTCTCTAATCCATTGGGCAGCCAAAGTGGACCATTTACATTATCAGGTTTCCTTTTTACTTTCTTTTTTCTTTTTTTTTCTTTTTTTGAGACGGAGTGTTGCTCTTGTTGCCCAGGCTGGAGTGCAATGGTGCGATCTCAGCTCACCGCAACCTCTACCTCCCGGGTTCAAGTGATTCTCCTGCCTCAGCCTCCCGAGTAGCTGAGATTACAGGCATGCGCCTCTGTGTCCAGCTGATTTTGTATTTTTAGTAGAGATGGGGTTTCTCCATGTTGGTCGGGCAGGTCTCGAACTCCTGACCTCAGATGATCCGCCCACCTCGGCCTCCCAAAGTGCTGGGATTACAGGCATGAGCCACCGCGCCCGGCCATCAGCTTTCTAATAATAACTTTTCAGTGGCTTCCCAGTGCCCTTGAATAAAATCCACAGTTTTTAAACATTTTCTATAAGGCCATCTTTTGTGTACTTTCTGCCTACATCTCTAGCCTCATCCTGAGCTGAAACCACCTGTCCCCTATATTCTCAATATGTACTGTGTCTCCTTACTCCTTCATATATGTTCTTCCCTCTCTCTGGATCACCGTTATACTCCCCTTGCCTTCCTAGCTAATTTTATCTCTTTGGATCTAAGCTTAACTGTCATTTTTTTAGGGAAACCTGTTCTGATCTTATTCATGTTGGCTTCTCTTTTTATCCACATTCATCAAGCCCTACTTTCTCATTTGTAATATTCATTATTTAATATGTTTCTTTTCTGCTGGATTATACGGTCAATGAGATCACGAAGGCTTTGTTCTCTGTCTTATTATCAGGGCTACTTCAATACCTGGCAAATAGTAGGCTCTCAGTAATTTTTTTTTTGAGAATGAATGAGCTGCATGTATCTAAATTTCTGCATTTTTGTCCCCTCACTCTTGGAGATAAATTACTCATCCTGCCTTTATAAAGATATGATGAAAATTCTGGCACATAGCTGTTACTAACATGGAATTTCTAGTAAAAAATTACATTAGACAAACCAGAATCAGGCACTAGGTTTTTTAAGGAATATTACCAAAGAAATTCAGAAGCTAGTACATTTATTTTTATAATATCTACTGAATTTCCAAGAAGTGACACTTGTTCCTCATTGGGATACACAAAATCTAGGCTCATATTACTTGCTATTTTTAGATTTTTTAATGAAACTTTGCCTTACTCTGTCTCTTCCAGTCATTATTCTGAATAAATTAATAGAAATGAGTATCATAATGTTTTAAGAATCAAAAAATAAAAACAATATTTATGCCATTTTTCTGTGTAATGTCATCTAAGCATATAATGGCAATACTGAAATTAGACAAACATTGTATTAATCTCTTGTGGAAATAAACATCTGACTTGGAAGAATATACTTAAAATTTATCAAATATCTTTTGGCCTATTAGCTACTGTTTATTATCTGTTTTTCATGGCTCTATCTATCTCATAGCCCATGTTCCTGAGATGTTCCTGTGTTTAAATGTATGTAGTATATAGACAGAATCTATCCTTAGAGGTCTATCCTTTGAGATAATCAGCACTACCAACAACATTGTTCATAGAATATATTATACTTAAGTAGCTATATCTTCTGTGTGTTCTATAGTTCACACTTAAATCAAGGAAGTAATCCTTTCATTATGTAATTATATTAACTGTCAGTAATAACTGTTCTATCCAAAATACCTGGTGTGCTCTTTGATAGCAATAAATTACACAGTTATAGTATAACTGGACTTATACTCCAGTTATAAGGCAGAAAGTCTTCTCCGAGCAATCTATATTCAGTTATTAAATATGAGTAATAATAAAGCATTGTGTTCATTTGGAAACCATGTGTCTTTTAATTTCCAAATATGAGTTTTGGTGTTTGATTGGTCTAAATGTCTGGCATAACTATTCACTCTCTTTCCAAGTGTATTGATGTAAATCTGAATTCAGTTTTATTATTAGTTTATTCAAATTGTATTCTCACTAGCTGGCTAGATGGTAAAGTGTAAGAGTAACATATGACTGCCTGTGGAAGTTTGTTACATTTTTGTTTGGACTTCATGAAGCCATATGTTTTTTGTTTTTTGTTTTTTTTAAGATGGAGTCTCGCTCTGTCGCCCAGGCTGGAGTGCAGTGGCGTGATCTTGGCTCGCTGCGACCTCCACCTCCCGGGTTCAAGCGATTCTCCTGCCTCAGCCTCCTGAGTAGCTGGGATTACAGGTGCGTGCCACCACGCCCGGCTAATTTTTGTATTTTTAGTAGATTCGGGTTTTCACCATGTTGGTCAGGCTGGTCTGGAACTCCTGACCTCGTGATCTGCCCACCTCGCCCTCCCAAAGTGCTGGGATTACAGGCATGAGCCACCACACCCAGCCGGCCATGTATTTTTATAACCAAGCTGCCCTCAGAATTATGAATAGTATTTCTGACATGTAGTGTCTTTTCTCATTTATCTTAGAATATATGGTTACCACTCTATAAACAGTTTGTCTATTATTCTGGTACTGTGCTTAGTTTAAGACACCTAACCATTAACTAGTTTTCAGAATGGTTTTGCTTTTTAGTGATAGTTGTGTGAGCGCACTGTTGCTCTGGTTGTTTTTAAATCTCACTGAGGTAGGCTTCAGGTTGTTAATGTAAATCTTTATAGCTTTGGCTGAACTTCCTACAAGAGCTGTGGGTCTTGATAGCTGAGATCAGCTGGCTGATCTCTCTTAATGGCAGTTAGATTTGAATTTTGTGGGCTAGGACACAGATCTGTTTGGAAATGGTCTGTTTAATGCATGATGGCTTTAAATGAAGACTAAAAAAACGGGCCACCTTGTAAAAAGAAAGTCTTAGTCTCTAGAGTTCACTACCTTTCTTAGTTTGAACCAATCCAAGTTTTTAACTCTCCATAGGGCCCGGTAATTTGAGGTGGAGGAAACTAATATGAACTTTACATTTCATTTCAATATTAATTCCAAGCCAGTGTGCTTTAAGGATTGTCACAAACATATTATGACTGGACAGGAAGAGTGCTTGCCTCTTGGTCTTGAGTGACAAGCCCTGCCCTCTGCCCCTAGCTGAGAACTCAAAGCATTGTTAAGTAGCACTAAAACGAGCTGAGTCCAAGACTTCAGCCAGATGGTCAATATAGTGCTTTTAAAGGAAGGGAAATAGGAAAAGAGTAATCTCAGAAGCACTCCTATGTTAAAGAACTAAGAAACTGAAGTCTTTCTGAAGCTAAGTGTAAATTATTCCACTTTCTTTGGGAGCAAAAGCTGCAAAATATAACACAAGAAAATGACAGTGTAGGAAACCAAAGTTCAGGAACAAACCTTCAAGTGTGGTTTTCTAATGCTTAATCGTATCTTACGCCCTTCTCAGGATCCATTGCTCCTTTTCCCTCCCTCTTCTCCAAGGTCTGTTTGAAAGGGATTTTGATGGGATAGGAAGGCAGCTTTAGACAGAGCATAAATTAGGGCATAAGATGTCCTTTGTACAAGAATTATCTTAGACATGCTTTCAAAAACATACTTTTTTTGACCTTATTAAGAAAATAATCAAAGGTATGATTTTTTAAGTCTTTGAGTTTAGTCTGCTTTCAGTAAAAATAAGGTATAGGTACCAAAATAAGCAAACCTCGTTTTTACTTTCCTGGTTTCTGCTTATACGATTTACACATATTTAAAATAAACCCATGAAAAACAGGAATAGTGTCATGGGATTGGCTAAATAGTCAGAGCAATTACCTCCAGGCTCCCAAACCCAACTGAGCTTGACTTTTGGAAGTAAATTTGGCTAAGACTTCTTCCTCATTCTGTTTTATAAAGGTATACATGAAATGATACTGACTTCTGCCAGAAACCCCAGGAATCCTGTTCAGTGATGTACTTGTAATGGTCATGAAAGAATAAAAACACAGATGTGGATTAAGGTAGAAAAGTACAGAAAACACTAAATTTTCATTGTGCTGTTTCAATGTGGCAGATTCTTTAAAATACTTCGACATGCTACAATAATTAAAGGTTTTAAGAACATTAAGATACTTAAAAAATAAAAGCCCACAATTGAATAACAAAAATGAACTTTGTTTTATTTTTTATTGGCATTAATGTAGGTTGCCGTGGTGAAAATAGTTTGAAATACTTCACAGTAACAGTTTTGTGCAGCCCTAGAGATCAAAAACAGCAAAGTAAATAAGCAGGACTCTCAACGACTCATACTCACAGACATGTTTAATGTAAATGATTGCTAGAAGGGAAGGGCATTTTCTTCAGTGCTATGCAAAGAAATTTTAATTGACTTGGTTTTGGCAGTGAGAATTGTACAACTTAGCATTAATAAGTCAAATTTAAAAATTTGCTCATTACTCTGGATTATGACTATGTTCAAGAAATACTATTTTCAAGCACTAATCATTTAGATAAAACTTTTTTTACACATTTATGGCATCAAGGAGTATGACTGTTTATAACATTTTACCTATAAAGCTGAACTGTTTTATATACTCTTTATGGAAACATGGCCATAAATTAAAAGATGCAACTGTTTTGAATATTTTACTGGTGGTCCTCTGTTTTCCTGCCAGCAGTGCAGCTGTTTCAGGTTTCTCAGGATAACATATAAAAAGCTGTATGCACACTGCAAGTTTATGCTCAAATTGCCAAGCCAGATATGGTATGACTCAACTTTCCCAGAAGCAAGCTGTACCAAAATGTGATGAATCAAAACAGTTAGTTGCACAGTGGTTTGTATTACAGCTATGAAAACCAATTCTCATTTATGATGTTTGGCTTTTCAAGGTTGACAAACATTCTACTGTGGTGCTTGAATTTTACCATAAGTGAACATCTATTGAAGCTAAGACTATGCTTTTCTTTTGAGGATCTGAGGAAAGGAAAGGGTGATACATTATCATCTGGTGTGCGGATAAAAATTAGCTGGAAACTTGTATCAGGAATGGAACATTTCATTTCCAAGTTACCTATAAAAATATTACTCACTTATTATTTGTATGATAGTTATTGAATTCCCTGTGAAGCCAGGTTAATTTTTAGACCTTTCTGAGGTAACTTAACATTTACTTCATTTCTCATGCATCAGAATCTTAACAGTTGATACTTTATTGTGTCTTGGAAAGTAATAAGCAGATAACTTTATGGCCATGGGGTAGGTGTGGTGAATCCCTATTTCAATCCTATGCGACCTAAGGTTCTATCAAGAGTTTAACAACGACTATTTTTCTTTTTTTTTTTTAAACAGGGTCTCACTCTGTTGCCCAGGCTGGAGTGCAGTGGTGCGATCTCCGCTCACTGCAACCTCTGCCTCATGGACTGAAGTGATTCTCTTGCCTCCCAAGTAGCTGGATTACAGGCACCTGCCACTGTGCCTGGCTACTTTTTCTATTTTTAGTAGAGACGGGGTTTCACCATGTTGGCCAGGCTGGTCTGAAACTCCTGTCCTCAGGTGATCCACCTGCCTCGGCTTCCCAGAGTGCTGGGCTCACAGGTGTGCGCCACCACACCCAGACAACAATGACTAATTAATAATAGTAGTCTCTAAAGTGGGATGTGTCCCATGAGGATATGTAAGATACAGTATATGGAGAAAATATTAAAACATTCATTCATTAATTTATTTAGAGATGGAGTCTCGCTGTGTCACCCAGGCTGGAGTGCAGTGGCGAAATCTCGGCTCACTGCAACCTCCACCTCCTGGGTTCAAGTGATTCTCCTGCCTCATCCTCCTGGGTAGCTGGGATTACAGGCATGTGCCACCACGCCCAGCCAAGTTTTTGTATTTTTAGTAGAGATGGGGTTTTGCCATATTGGCCAGGCTGGTCTTGAACTTCTGACTTCAGATGATCCGCCCACCTTGGCCTTCCAAAGTGCTGGGTTACAGGTGTGAGCCACTGTACCCAGCCAGAACTTTTATTTAAATATTTTTATTTCATCCTTTTTCTATTTATATTTTTATATTACACTGACTATATTAGTATCTTATGTATATAATTATATATAGTAACATATAGTACATTAGTATTCTACATAAAACATATCTGAGATATGTTTTATGGCTATAAAATACTATCAAAAATGTTTTTGTTTTTGTTCAATAAATATTCTCTTCTTCCTTCCGCTTTCCCCTTTCGCCCTTGGCAGAGAAGCAAATAATTGAGTTAAAACCTTGATTTGTGGCAATGTGAATAAATTATAGCTAATTCCAGGAACTTAGCTGCATCCTACCTTGACCCATTTTTTCTACTGGACTCTTATATTGCTCTATATGTTTTAGCTACACAGGTTTATTAAACATGGATACAGATGAAAAACAGACTTGTTATGTTAGAAGTTATAAGTTGCTCATGCATTAAGATTTTGACACACAGGAAGTTTGAATGAATGAGTGAAAAAGGTTCCAAGTTATTAAAATGTTCTGGTACCTGATTTATTCATTTGCCATACCAGTAATTCTAAGGTGGGTGAAGCTCCTTTACTTCCTGAAGAAACAAGTTAGTTTCTTAAACTAAGCATTAAAAGAAAGCTGGAATTATTTGTTTCCAGAAGTGTTAGTAGTCATGCTAAGTTGCCCTTCTTTGGCTAGATTGTCCAATGTTTTTTAGGCCTGTTTTGTCTATTTTTGTCAAGATATAAATGTTTAATTGCTTTAAAAAAACTGTGTGGTTGCAGAAAAAAATTGTACTGTTATATTGTTGAGATCAATGAGACTTTTCTGTATTTACTTTTTCAGACATTATTTTGAACTCAGGCTCAGTCTCAGAGATTTCTTCAACATGTAATTTTCTAATGTTTCCTTTCCTGCAAGGAATGAGACAATATATTCTTGGAATATTAAAGTACTTTTGAAGTAACTCATACGTTTTCTCCCCTCTTCCATTTGTTTAGCTATTGAGGGTTTGCTTTAAAACAAATTTATGTAGAAATATCAGTACTATAATAGTATTGTGATACTGTGTATTTCTTAAGCATATGCCAGGAAGGAGAGCATTAGTTAGGTGTCCAAAAAACAGCCAACAAAACAAATCAGCTCTGAAAATCGTGAAGCAGTGAATATTTTAGAATTATTTTTGAAACCTCTTTCAGAACTGTTTTTAGACCCCGTGGTAATTTGCTATGTAATTTAATACTAGTTTAGGCACTCCATGTACAGTTGGTATGTTTCCTTTTGAAAGATAATAATCTATTTATAATAAAAGTCTGAATATTTCAATCTCGGAATTCCTCTTTAAAACTTGAATCAGTTTTACTATTGCTTTTTAAAATGTTACCTATTTATATTTGCTTTGTATATCAATGCTACACTTCTTGTTTTGTTTTAGGTATTTAAACCATGTCAGAGCTGCCTCACCACAGGACCTTGCTGGAGGCTATACTTCTTCTCTTGCTTGTCACAGAGCACTACAGGATGCATTCAGTGGGCTTTTCTGGCAGCCCAGTTAACCATTTATAAGATTTGGACCTTGGAGCTGAACCAGGGAGCTAGCAAAAGTAAAGCAGACTTATAAAATTATAGCTATGTGCAGCTGCACAACACAGTCCTTCCACTAGCAGCTGTGTTAAAGTATTTATAAGGAGAAAATTTCAGAACTAAGTTGAGTAATATAGGGGATATATATTTGTGAAAAATAATTTTTACTTATATTTTTCAGAGGATTTGACACGATAAGCCTCATCTGATGGAAGAGAGGAATAAATAATTCACCTATATGTGTTTGAGGTTGTGACAGACTTATAAAATCTTTTTAAAAAATAAAGCTATAATTTATATTAAGTTCTGTGGTTTTTCTCTTATTACAGTGTTTTACTTGAACACATTTTAAATACCATTTTGATTACAACATTTACTGTTAATATCCAAGTCTATTATTTCTTCTCATAAAATGTTCCCCTTTTTCCTAATGTCTTGTTAATACTAGTCCAGACAAGTGGATATATTTCCTTTGACCAAGTTATGGCAAGAAAAACCTGACCCATGATAATGTCATTCCCTCAATACTAAGGACTCAATGCCTGTTTTAAGCAGTGGAAAATGAGGCAAACCTTGATCAAGGTGTTATAGTTCCCAGCTGTGAGCCACACTCAGGATAAAACAAAACCCAGCATTAACCTGCTTTAGTGACACATTCAAAGAAGTTAATAAAATTTAATACTTAAATGATACCTTTCACCTCCAATGTAAGCTCATTTTATGATGAATCCTTTGGAGACTGGAGAAGGTACATTTTAAGTACAGTTCCCTATGTATAAATTGTATACTGATACAGTTTTTTTGTTGAAACTTCAAAGGCTTTTATTACCAGGGTTTTGCTTAAAGAGTTTAGATATGAATAGGATGATATTGCAGCATCTCAACCTTGTATGAGTCTGTTACATAGAGCATTGGATATGGGATATAGTTTCTTAAGGAAATTAAGGGATTTCCTATCAAATCTCTATTACAACAGATGTTAGTTTTATGGGTAGAAACTTAGGTGAAACAAGACTTGTGGTTACATTAGGATGGACTATCCATCTGTAACAACTCCATCTTATTTTACTAAGCAGTTATTAATTAATTTTAGCAATACATCTTCATCTTTATTGTACTTCTATCTTTGTTAAATGAGAAAACCAAGGCATCAAATAATTGAGTAGACAAAGATCATATTCACAAGTTAGTAAAAAGCCAGAATTAGAATGCAGGTTTTTTTTTTCAAAGTCCAGTTCCATCTACATTCTACCAGACTGCATATCCTATTCCTGTATCTATTAGGTATTCCCGAACTGAGGATTAGTGTTTTTAAGTACAGTCTATAAATCTGTTCAAAGAATAGTTAGAACATTGAATGTAGAGTTAAGGCTTTGCAGCAGCCAATTGCAAAAATAAGGAATCCAGTCTTTTGAAAAGAAACACTACTGCTTGTTCTCATACCTTTTATAAATGTATTTTAAAAAGAATGAACTAATTAATAAAACATATCAAAGGCTTTTAAGGCTTGTTTTGAGCCTGCCTTATTGTGGAAATTGCATGCACCTGGTTTGGCAAATAAATTCCAAAACCTTTATACATTTGTAAATATTTTGTAGTTGCTATTGCTGTACTTTGTTCAATAGGCCAAATTTAGAAGTTAACTGACCTTATTTGATCAAAGGGAATGGTGAAAAATAACTTAGTGACAATTCACTGAGGTTTAGTGAATTCACTGAATTTACCAAACAACAGAAATATTCTAAATTGATGTGCTTATCCCCTACCATCCAAGTGATTTACTCTTAGAGACAAAGGCTGTACATATCTTTCATCTACATGAGTTAAGTCTTCAAGTATTTTATGAGTACAGAAGTAATAATTAACAACTACTGTATTACCTGTGTCCCAGGCACTGCTTCATGCTTTGTGTATTACGTAATCCTCAAAACAGTTCTACTAGTATTTTCCCCATTTTAACAGATGAGGAAGCTGAGACAGTGGTTAGGTAAGTTGCCAACAGTCATATAACTTAAAAATAGCAGAGCTGGGATTTGAACTCAGGCAGCCAGACTCCAGAAGCCATGCTCTAGAGATGACTGTCAAACAACTGCTGTGCTAAAACTAGTCCTGGTAGTCGAACTTCATAAGACTTCCAGGAGGTTCTACAGATCAAGTATCTAGATCTTTTATGAGATATAAATGACATCAACTAAATGATCTTGTTGATGTCCTAAGAGAAGTTCTGAGAAATTCATGATGTAGAAAATGATTTTACTAATAACTATACTCCCTCTTAAGCAGATATTAATGGTACAGAATACATTTACATCATAGTTAGTATACATGATTACTTAGTATTCCTTAATTTGATTCAATGAATATTTCAACTATGCTTCTCTTAGAAGTTGTCTTTAGGCTCTCAACAGGTTGTCAGATAATTATTTTAAAATCCAATTAAGGTGGTAGAAAACCTGTCAAAAAGTTAACAAAATTAAAAATTGTATCTAATGAGCTTTCCAGCTTTCTAGCTGTCATTTTCTAGTAGATTCATCAGGAATTCATTTACTAGGTATCACATCTGAAAGTTTAGGGTGGACCTAGATTTAAATAATGAATAATCACTTATCCACTCTGAAAGGGGGAAGTTAAAACGTTAATAGATACATCTAGTTCTGTTTTCTTTACAATTACATATTGCATATTTTGTCCAGAGTAACTAAATGGAGACAAGAGTCTTACCACTTTACATGTATAAATAAGAACATCATTTGTACACATACTTTATAACCTAGGACATCAGTGTACAATACTTGGGCTGTTTCAAAACAATTTGAATTAAGTAAGAATGAGTGTTCCAGTTCATTACATCCCTATACTGCTTATCATTTATTGCCTTCATTTGTTTACATGACCTGCCAGACTTCTGAAGGCATTTGAATTTGTAATTAATGATCTAGATTAGGGTTCTTAAACATTTTCTGTAGGGCCAGATAGTAAATATTTTAGGCTTTGCAGGGTAACAAGCAAAATCGTGGATATTATGTAGGTACTTACAGAACAAGCTAAAACAAATTGCCACACTTTTTTTTTTCTTTCAAACTGTATCCAGCTTTATTAAAGATACTTTCCATAAACAATCATGGTATTTCAGGCAGGACATGGGCAGACAGTCATTAACAGTATACAACTTTCAAACTCTCTTCTTCAATGGACTACCAAAAATCAGCCGCTATAAAACCCAATGAAGTCCTCATCTGATGCTCTGAACAGGGAAAGTTTAGAGGGTTAACATTTCACATTTAGCATGTTGTTTAACAACTTTTCACAAGCCAACCCTGACTTTCAGGAAGTGAAATGAAAATGGCAGAATTTATCCGAAGATCCATAATCTAGAAATGGAACCACTGCTCTTTTGACAGGTGCCATCTCAGTGGCATCACTGGAAAGTCCAGATTGCCAGACACACTGGTAACCAATGACCGGGGGTCAGGTCCCAACAGATGTCTGGGCTTAAGGGGATTAAGTCTATGCTGAAAGATGGAAAGGGAAAAGAAGACATAAAAACGAATTTGTTTTTCCATACCACAAGGCTTTTGTGCCAAGGTGGCCATGTGTGTCAAAGTCAGGAAATCCCTCCTCCTGGGAGCCAAGAGGAAGTCTCTCAAAACTAGAAGGGAAAGATGTTTTCCCCGTATCAATCCAGCTTCAGAGATATTCTATTAGTGACACATACCCCTTCCCCCAAAAACAACAATGAAGTGTTCTGTGTGCTAACAACATAGCTTAAAAAAAGTAAAACAAAATTCTGCATTTTTATAAAACTTGATAAAGAATATTTCAAACTGTACAGTCACCAGAAGTACAGTTATAAAAAATGCACACACTTCACTTGGGATCTCCAGCACCTTCCCGCTCCTTGCCAGCATCAGCTTTTCTCTTTTTCCCTTTGGGTACCTTCTCTCCCTTCTTTGCAGGGGCCTTTTTAGGCTTGGGCTCTGGCTTTGGAGGAGCAGGTTTAGCAGACAACCTCGCAGATCTTCTCTGTGATTCATCCTTCACCTTGGCTTTATCTCCTTTAGCATCCCCTTCAGTCTTTCTCTTGGGCATGGCGGCGGCGGCGGCGGCGGGATGTGGGCACCGGGTGTGGGACGCAGCAGCGCGCGGGCTTTGGTCGGTCCAGGGGTCGTTCTTGCCTCTTCTCCTTCACACTGCTCCCACGCTTTTTTAATTGACAAAATTCAAAATATAGCCCAATTTTTTGTAATGCCTTTTTTGGTGAGAATAACATTGCCTCTAATCAGGGTTCTAAGTAAGTGTTCCCTGTGATCAAAATCAGTTGTAAATGATTGCCTATTAATGGTTATCATTAACCATCATTAACCATTAATACTAATGGTAATAAGATTTTACACATTTCATCTTTAAAAATGTCTTCTCATACAGATAGGTATTGCCAAATACTGCTATCAATCCAGGAGCATATGAAATTAACTGAGCATATTCATCACTTGGAAAGCATTTGTAAAATTCTTTTACATTTCTTCCCTTGAAATTTGCCTTTTAGCATGTCATTATTTTAATCACTTCTTACTGAAAATTAGGTTGAATCACCTCAATTGCAGTTAAATAGATTTTGAAACAGGGAAATTTCCTTTGCACTTGCACCTAGGTCCCTAAAAATGCTGAACTCAGAAAATATACTCACTAAAATTTGTGGGAATGGAAATCTTGTTTCTTTCTCTTTGATAGTATGACAAATGTGTAAGGATATTGTCATCAAATATTGTGATTCAAATATCGATTGTCAAAATGACTGTACCATATCAAAGTTGTTTTGCCTTGTGTTTTAGGCCATTCTTGCATTGCTATAAAGAAATACTTGATACTGGGTAATTTATAAGAAAAGAGGTATAATTGGCTCACAGTTCTCCAGGCTATAGGAAGCATAGCACTGGCATCTGCTTCTGGGGAAGCCTCAGGAAGCTTTTACTCATGGTAGAAGGCAAAATAGGAGAAGGCACTTCACATGGCGAAGGCAGGAGCAAGAGAGTGTGGGGGGCGAGTGCCACATACTTTGAAACAACAAGATCTCATAACTCATTATCTTAAGGACACCACCAAGGGGATAGTGCTAAACCATTCACGAGGGCCACATATAAGGGCTCACACCTGTAACCTTCACACATTGGGAAGCCGAGATGGGAAGATCTCAAGCCTAGGAGTTCAAGGTTACATTGAGGTGTAACTGTGTCTCTACACTCCAGCCTGGGCAACAGAGCAAGACCCTGTCTCTAAGTAAAAATAAAAATAGAGTCAAAGAACCATCCAGAATCATTTCCTTTTTAAAGTGACTATTTATGTCGCTTTCAATGTCCTTAACTCTTTAAGCAACTGTTCTTGCCAAAGGCCAGTAATCTTAAGTTTATTTTCTCTGGATATATTCAGCTGCTGCATCCAAACATAATTAATTCACACCATCAATAAATGGCTTTGCTTGGCTAACAAATGATTGACTTAGAGACTTACTGTTGTTGCAGCCTCATTTTCATTTTGTGAAGAAATTCTGCTTTGTTATTTCCATTTTAAATTTTCTAATTTTTCTAACAGTTGCTTGCCTGTGAGTTGGGAATACTGTGATGAGTGGTTTGTCTGGTAATGTCAATGGTTATTCTTTTAGCTTAGCTATATAGATGCTTTGTCGTCTAATTCAACATCAAAATAATTCACACCCTACTGTACTTTAAAAATAACAACAAAGTCCACTTTTCTTGTTTTGCTATAATAGATATGCTCTGGTAATAAAAAATAAAATGTGGGTTCATGTGATATACATGGCACTCAAAATGCTGTCGTTACAACCACATCAGTGATTTGTGATGTGTCAAACAGCAGTGTGAAGTGATGACAGTCACATTCAGTGTGTGTTGCAACCACTCAACTCTGCTATTGTTCAAGAAAGCAGCTGCAGTCCTCACTTCAGCAGCACATATACTAAAAAACTGGAATGGTACAGAGAAGATCAGAATGGTCCCTGCGCAAGGATGACATGCAAATTCGTGAAGCGTTCCATATTAAAAACAAAAAACAGCTGCAGATGATATGTAAACAAATGAGCATGGTATGTTCCAATCAAACTTTATGAACTCTGAAACTCTTAATTTCATACAATTCTAATTTTTAAAACTGATACATAATAGATGTCATAAAATTTTCACGTCACAAAATGTTCTTTTGATTATTTTTCAACCAATGGAAAACGTAAGAACATTATTAGGCCACAGGCCATATGAAAACAGGTGGTGGGACAGATTTGGCCTGCAGGATGTAGTTTGCCTGCCCCGTTCTAAATAATTTCATTTTTTATTACTTTTATGGTGATAGTTAATTGGCAGTAAAGGAGTAGTTACGTAAAGGACAACTACAAAGTGGTGTTAATACCTTCCTAGTTAGTACTCAATCACCCTACTTTCAAAAATTATTTTCCCTGAGAGAAAATATTTATTCATATTTATCCAATAAAAATTAGATATATTTTGTTATAAAATAATTGTATGTTATAATTTAGATAACAGGGAATGTATTTGGTAGCCTTAGTTCAGTTAAAGTTTAATTGGTAATCCTCAATTTGTAAAATAAGGCAAAGTACAAGGGTTCAATAGTAAAAACCAAACCCTAAAATTTTATTAAATAATACAAATTCTATTTCACTACATGTAAGTCTGGTAGGGAGATGGAGAAAACATTTCCAATTAAGTGTTTGAAACAATTTGTGTTTTTTCGTCTGAAAAGGCTTCAGCCGTCCTCTGCCTTTTAAGAGGTGGATCTTCATGATTCTCTGTAATAAATCCAGAAAACCTATTTTAGGTAAGATATTAACAGTTGAAAATACTCTTAAAAAAACAAACAATATAGGCATTTTTAATCTAGTCAACTTAAACATGAAATAACATTCTTGCAGATTTACTATTTTAATGAAATAGCCTTCTATTAGACTGAACTAACACAGTAGCTTTCTATTAGACTGAACTAATACTGCATTAAAATTTGTAAAACTGGGAGGAATTAGTTACAATTGAATGGCAAGGTTTACATTTAATTTCCCAGAAACTGCTCACCTGGATTTCTGGTCTGGTTCTTGTAGAGGACAGAGGCAGGAATCTGAAACGTGATGCACAGCATTTCCTTGTTTGGGGCCACATTTCTTACCAGGTGAACTGAACTGCATGCCTCCAGAGAAATGCCTAACACAGCTCCAGCCCTTTGCCGAACATCCTCAGCAGGGTTAGCATCTTTGGAAAAGCTATAACAATGCACTATGGGAAGGAACTCACTGCTGCATGGCTGCCCATCTAAAAGCCACTTGAAAGCACTAAGAAACTCTATAGCTTTTGCTGGCAAGTTCATGACAACGTGCACAGAGGGTTTTCTTTCTTTTGACAGACCCAGCAGCTGCATTAACTCTTCTTTGACTGGTCCTTGGAGGAAGTCTTTCCCATCCAAGTTGAAGACTTTCACCTTTTGGTCCACTTTATTTAATTTACAGTTGTACAACAGCCATTTATGAGATTCAGGATTGAGATCATTGGCAAATACAGTGCAGTTTTTCTTTGCTACTGGAATGGCAAAGGGCCCAACCCCAGCAAAAACATCAAATAGGACATCCCCAGGTTTGAGAAGTTCTGTGATACGGCTGTGTTCTGTAGACAGACGAGGATTCCAATAGACTTTTGAAAAATCAAATTCATAGGTGTAGTTGTTTTCTCGAACCTGAAAAAAGGTGTTATGCTTTTTGGTTAATTTCCTTGGTCCTAAATCCTAACCATTGATATTGGATAGGTTGTGTATACACACAGGCAAACACATACACATTTAAGTTTACTACTGTAAGAGCCAAACAACAGTGCATTTAAAGGCATTTTAATTAGACTCCTGGTGTTTATGCTATTCCTAAGGCCAGTTAATATACTGCATTAGACTTATTCGTGAGAAAAAGTCATCTCTTTAAAGCCAAATGGCTCTCCATCTCAATCCTATAGGGCCATGGCCATAAAGTAGTTACCATATCACATGAGGAATTTTTCAGACAGGCCAATTAACTGGCTTAATTATACTCTTATGTCACCAGATAGACAAGGCAAGACCTACAATTTTGAAACAACACACCACCCATATCTTCATGCTGGGTAGCCAAGTTGCAGACAGTACTTCTATGCAGCAAACAAGCTTCCCTCCTTATTTAGTTTTGTGTTTGTAAAAGGGAGCCATGGTAGATGTGTCACTCAATTTTGAGGTATTTTACTATGTTTTTCGACAGCTACTTGAACTTTGCAAATTTGATGTCTATAAATTAGAGCCAGTGTATAGAATGAATCATTCCCAGATTCTCTTTCCCAAATTTGAGTTTTCATGGGTAAACTAAATATATACAGTGAAGCTAATTCTTGAACAAAAGACTTTTTAACGTTTCTTTTGGGTCTATTGTAGTAGACACCTTAAAAAACAGAAAATAAAACTTAAGTTACAGTCATGAAGTATGACCTCAGCCATCATCTTAAACTCATTAATTTATGCATGAAGAATCAAAGGCCAGAAAGTTCATAAGTTCTATAAATCTCATAGATAGATACATCTTCCATCTTCTGCTTTCCAGGACCTTAATTCCCAATTTGTATGTATATTTTTTTTCCTTCTCCCAACCATATCAGATGCTTCCGGCCAAATTATTAAGGTTACAGAGGTGGAAATGTTTCTGCAAATTTCTGCCAACTAAAAGTCTTTCTGGGTATAACCTAGAAGGTTTAAATATATCTCGAGAACTATTTTATACATACTGTTCTATAACTTGCTTTTTGTCACTTATATTGCTTTCTGGCAATTGTCCATTGTCAACCTATCGATGGACAACTTATTTTAACAAATATGGAGCTAAAAAACCTTTAATGATGGAAATATTCCATTGTATCACTATATGAGAATTTAACCAATTCTTCTGAAAAGGCTTTATCAGTGTTATTCCATCAATAGCATACATAAGTGATCACATTCTCACATACTCACCAACACTGGATGTTACAAGTATTTTAAATCTTTGTCATCTATTCTGACTCTAAACATAATATTGATATACACCTTACTTGGAGATAATAAAATATACCTTTGTCATCATGTTCTGCTCTCCAGATAGCACTTCCATTTGGAAATTTCGGTACATATTGTCAATATTATTTATTTTATTTACTGCTGAGGTGATTCCTGGATTTTTGTCAATCATAACCTGGCCTAAAAGAAAAAATGAAAATCCATAATACTGCCTATTGGTTGCAAAATAAAAGCTAACATTGTTAATATGAAACAGAAATGAGTTGTATTTCTTTTGGTTGATAAAGACTGCACCTACTGTGTGTAATGTGGCATGCAATTTAAAAAATTCAACAGATGACTAAAGTTAATGTCTGACGGTTGCTAATATGCACACACAAAATGTTGGGTACATTTTTAAAGAAAACGTTTTGAGGAGTTTGGGTCTACCTAATGTTTTTTCCATGTTTTACTAAATCTTTTCAAATGAACCAATAAACAAGGAACCAAAAAGGTAGATCACAAGGAATTGGGAAAGAATGGAAAGAGATGTAAAGGACCCTGGCAACAAATGGCCTCAGAAAACAGTAAAACATCTGCCGGTTCCACTGGCCTCAAGCCAAATGTCTGTTTTACTATGGCTTTGGAACAAATGCCCCCACTTTAGAAATATATGCCAGCAAAACAATGTTTCCAAAAAAAAAGAAACATAGATTATTTACAGTCCTATCTAAATTAAATGTTCATTTACTTCAGAGCAAAAAAAGCTACAGAACTGGCATACTCATGGCCATTTGATGAATCTATTTTTTTAGTTAGCACTTTAAAAAAGTTATAAAAATCTATATGCTATCTCATTGCATAACTTGATTTGTAAATCAGCACACAGTACCCAATTATACAATATCCTGAAATACAACCAGCATTTGTCCCATTTCTGATAATCAGATACTTGTTTTTTAATATAGTATCAATAAACGAATTAATCATTGTTCTTACCCTTTCTGCTTCATGTATCTGAACTCAACTTTTAAGGTACAGAATTTAGTTTGAAATGAGGAATGAAATTTATAAATTTTTAAAAACTATTCTGAAGGTCTATAGTAAAAGCTTTAAAATTACTACTGTATGAAAATGTTTCACTTTTAATGTATGAGTGCCTCTATGAAAGAAAGTTTATAAAATAGGAATGCCAGAGGAATGTTTGAGTTAGGGTAGGCAGTGACTCACAGGAAAGCCTAGACTTGACATTTGTACCCAGTCACAATTACAAGGATCTGCTTAAGTATTTATGTTACCACTATCCATTATTACTCCCTTCATCAATAAAAACAAAAGAAATGTGTAACAGGACAGTATGGTGCTTGACATATAGAAGAGGCTCAATTGGTTGAATCAATGAAAGCATAAGTAAACATCTTGCACTTTTGACTATAAAGTACCCAAATTTATGAAACCTAGTATTTAACATAGCCCTGAAGGCCTAACAAGTCTTGTGTACCAAAAAGATCTCTCCTCAATGTAGCTGCCAAAGCATGTGATTCAAGTTTAATCTACACTGATGTATTGTTGTACACAAAAGCCTGGACCAGTATTTGGAACTTGCTATGACTAAAGAAGATATTTCAAAATGGCCCTCAAAAGAGGGTATGTAGCTCAAGATCTAGCTTAAAGTTAACATGATAAAATGTTCTGCCTCTGTAACTTGGCATTAAAAAAAATAATTTTTAAAGCTAAAATTAACAATTTGCAAATTCCCTTCAAATACATGAATATTACTATGACACACGTACCAATTAAATGTTTGAAAGGCAGCTGATGATCTCGAAGGTTTAGGTGTGCAATATGTCCAATCCTGCTAAACCCTGAAGTTACATCTTGACCTTCAGGAAGCACAGCTCTCAAGATTTCTTCTGACTTAAAGTGTTCATATGTTAGTTCCAAATTGTATTTAGAGATCTGTGGACTGACATTAAGCTGCTCTAAAACACTGAGTTCTGCTTTCTCAAAGGAATCATGAGTAAATATTTTATAGGGATCCAACATGATTAGTCTACTTTCTTTATCTTCCGGATCTTCAATCACACGTCTTATGCCTGGGCGCTGCAATGCTGCCCTTTTTAGGGATCGCATCAATTTACTGACTATTTCTTTCCTCACTTTAAGCACTGGAATGTTGACTGTCTTTTTAAAAGCTGTTCTATCAAGTTTTGTCATGCCTCGGACATCAGAAGGTGGTGAAAACAATTCAGTCTCTCTCTCATGTGTTTCTGTTTCTGGCATGGTTGAGAATCTTTTTCTTTGACCCAATAAGAAAATACCAGGTGCTTCCAAAAGCATCTGTGTCAGGGATGTCCAAGCTACTGGAATCAACGATTTTGATTCAGTTATGCTATGGCTTTCCAGTTTCAGAAATCTTCCTGAGAATCCAAATGGCCTCCATAAGATCCTTAAAAAAAAAAAAAAAAAATTCACACACGACAGCTTTTGAGAATAAAAATCTAAATTCTACTATCTCAAATAACGGGCTAAATGCTGACAAATAAAACGTTTAGTGATGTGTGGGAAGTATACTATCTTTTCCAGACTAGGATGACTTCTTCAGGAAGTCGTATTAGTGGTAGATAATAGTGGTATATATTAAATTTACACCTTCAACCCATCTGCTCCCAGTTCAGAGGGCTTAGTGATCCATTAGCCATACTCAATGATCCTCTTCACCCACAATTTTCTAGATAATACATTTGGGATTGGAAGACTGAAGTATGAGTTAAATGGTCATCTGTAAATGAAATAGTCATTATACATGACCATTACTAGTGGTGATATTTATTAGGATAGTCTCATGGGTGCTTATTGTGTCAGATACTGCGCTAAATGCTTTATGTACATTATGAATCTTGGGAGGTGTGCAGTATTGCACCCTCATTTTGTAAATAAGTAAACTAAAGCTCAGACGTAAGGTAACCCACCCAAAGTCTCCCAGCTGATAAGTGGCTAAACATGGATTAAAACCTAGTTTTGACTGACTTCGGTGCTTGTGTTCTTAATATATTGCTCTGTTGTTTGTTTTCGATGCTTTACTGCCACATGTCCTGCCTTTAACTAGAGGCTTCTGTATTTTGAGGACGAGAGCTTTGCTGATTGTTATATGCATAGTATCAGTTATTCACTGTCTTCTAAAATACCAAAGAATTTACTTGTAAGGGGAAAGGGCCCTGTCCCAGAATCCTGTAAAGCAACGAAGTCTAACTTCACCGTCAGAGATCAAATTGGTTCTAGCAGCTGACCAGCTGGGTGACCCTGGATAAATTACTATAAGTCTCGGTTTTCCCACCAGTAAAATGTGGCGAAAGGCTTTTGAAACATTCCTTACTATCCAGAACCTCGAAACTAAGCTCAGCACCTAGGCGGGTGGGTGACCTCGCGATGTTTCTGTGCCCAGGCAGCACATGGCAGAGAGCAGCCCTGGGCGGGCTGGTACCTCCCCTGGACCATTAGCCCCTAACGCGGCCGCCACCTCACCAAAGCACCATTCCAATTCCCCACGTCGCTCTGCAGCTGGATCCGCGAGCCGACCCCTCACCTCCCGCTCCGGTACCGATCGGATGTGGGTCGCGGGTGGATGGGCGGGTCTTCTATGACATCATCACTGTTCGCCGCGAAGAGGGCGCGCGTCATCAGATCAAGTCGACTCGCTCCTCTCCTTCCAGGCCCTGGTGAAGTACGGAATGCCGGAAGGGCCGGGCTCAAAGCTCCGCCTCTGGCGCGACCGACGACTGGAGCGCAGGGCAGGGGTAGAGGCTCGTAGATGGAACTGGTAGTCAGCTGGAGAGCAGCATGGAGGCGTCCTGGGGGAGCTTCAACGCTGAGCGGGGCTGGTATGTCTCTGTCCAGCAGCCTGAAGAAGCGGAGGCCGAAGAGTTGAGTCCGTTGCTAAGCAACGTAAGTGGGCTGTGTTCGCTTCCCCGCGCTGACGCCCTCCGGCTTCCCTCAAGTGCCTGCCAAATAAGACCCAGAAAAGGAGGACCGCACCGGGACAGGGGAGATGCTGGAGCCTGAACCCTGGGGGATGGGGTCTGAAGGCAGCCGCCGAGATTCAGATGAGATTGGCGCAGTTATGAACGTGATAGCAGCCTAGCATACTCTAGAAAGAAAAGATGAAAAGCGTCGGGTGGAAGAGATGCAGCGTTGAGTGGAAGCTGCGAACATGATGGGATGAGCGGCCCTAGGATTATGTACTCACTGCTGTTAGTTAGTATTTTTGTCACCTTATTTTCTCCACCAGTCTCGTGAGGTCTTTGCAAGAGTCACAGGATTTTCCTCTTCCGACTTAGTCATGGGGGGAGGGAAAATAATAAACATTTTAATACAGAAATTCTTAGCGGTAGAATGGAAGTGGCTTGGTAGTAAGTGCATAGCACGTTCCTGACCCTAAAGCCTGTGCAGTGGGCACTCCGCTTTTTAACTCGAGTCCTAGACACTGTTCCCAGGACTTTGTTCCCGGTGCTGTTTGTGGGGAGGGGGATGTTTTCAGGGATACTGCCAGAACAACGTGAATTGCTTCTGTTTATAATATTGTCATTGCAAGATATTCCTGACCATCCTTCCAGTTTGGTAGAACTAATTCATTAGATATATAAGTAGAGATTAGTTGTGCAGTCCTAGTAATTGAGGAGAAACAACTGCCCACAGCAGTCCCAGGTTGACTCAGCAATTCTTTAGTAATCACATGAGCTGAGGCCTTATCCCTCCTCTCTCTCCCCACTCCATTCCCATCCTATCTTCATCTCTTGCAGTCACAAGGTTAGTCATGGCCCTTCCTGAACTCTGCCTGTCTTGTGTACTGGTGGAAATCATTTTCCTAAGAAACCCTAGATTCCTGGAGCTGCAGTAGTGGGAGGTGGGAAGGAAAGGAAAGGAAATTAGTGTTGGTTAAGCAACGAGTGTGTCATACAAACCCTGGTGGTTTGCAGCTTTTTTCCATAATCTTTCATTTATGGAATTTCTTTACGAAATTTTAACTTCACCGTCCAAACATTTAACACTACTAAATTTGTGTGCTTACAGGAACTTCACAGACAGCGATCCCCAGGTGTTTCATTTGGTTTATCAGTGTTTAATTTGATGAATGCCATCATGGGAAGTGGCATCCTTGGCTTAGCTTATGTTTTGGCTAATACCGGTGTCTTTGGATTTAGGTGAGTCTTCATATTTTAGCATCAAATTTTTTTTTCCATTTTGATAATATACGGAGAAGTAGAGAGATAGATTCCAGAAGCTGCTATTATACAATTTCTAGTTAGTTATTTCTGGGGTTTTAGCATTTTTCTTGTTATTCTTGTTGCTAGTGTGTACCTTGGAGGGCTACTACATAGCTTCTTAAATACACAGAAGTGTGACTAGTTTTTAAAAATGGGAACTTGATCCACATTTCATTTATAATGAAATATGACACTTAAGAGTGGCATATTCATTGTATCTCCTTGGCCAAAGTGAATCAAAGCCATGCAGATTAACTTCCAAATAGCAATTTTGTGAGTGCAAATACAACACATAATCTTTTCATTCCTCGCTGTCTCTTTGTATTGTTAAGTAGTCTTATTTCACTTTCAGAGGCCAGACATGTGTTTTGTGCCTGTTCTTTTTTATGTTTCAGGACTTAGCTTGTAGGCCAGTTTGCCCAAAATAGAAGACAATCCTGGATATTCTGTGCTTTCATAGTACTTTGTATATTCATTCTGTTATTATAATTGTTACAATGATATGTTTGGAAATTAATGTTCCCACTAAACTGAAATCCTTTACAACTGGAGGTCAAGGCAGGCGGATCACTGGAACCCACGAGTTTGAGACCAACCTGGGCAAGATGGTGAAACCCCATCTCTGCCCAAAATACAAAAATTAGCCTGGTATGGTGGAGTGCGCCTGTAGTCCTAGCTACTTGGGAGGACTGCTTGAGCCTGAGAGGTTGAGGCTGCAGTGAGCCATGATTGGGCTACTGCACTCTAGCCTGGGTGACAGAGTGAGATCCTGTCTAAAAAATTTAAAAAATAGAAAAATCCTTTATAACTGGACCTTATTCTTAGCATCTAGCACCACATGGCTAATAGAATGAATTAACAAATTGGCTTTGTCAGTAGAAGCAGATCTATTTACTAGGAAATTTAAAATGCCTAGGGAGTCTCTTTTATGTTTATTTCCTGCTTTTATTCCAAATTTTTTGATAAGCAAAGCAACTTTTAAGTAACCCAACTTGCTTTTATTATGGAATGTACTCACAAACTTTCATTATTTTTAAAATTAAAAACTATATGTGACACCTTAAGCAAGACATAGTCAGAGGACTTTTTTTTTGATTCTCTTTGAAAAATCATAATTTATGCACCAGGGTCTTACATGCAGATATATACTGCTGAATGTGTGCTCACCCAGTCATAGCAACCATCATTTTTGGTGATGCTAAAGTGTTATTTTGTGAAGTTCCTGATGTCAGTTTAATGACATTTGTACTTTTACCTCTCAATTTTATTTATTAACAAGTATTAACTGGACCACAGAGAGAAAATTTCTTCAATGACTGGGGCAGTTCACTGGGGATAGCTGTATAGAAGCTTGTCCTGCTGGTGTCTTCCTAAAAATGAATAGGAAATTATCTAAGTTTTTTCTTTCACACTGTTGGTGAGAGGACCTCAATCATTACATTGTTTGCACATTTTTCAAATTGCATCATTAGAGGTGTGTTAACTACATTATTTTAATTTAGTTTGGTTTGGAGAGTGTGTGCGTTTAATAGATGCTAGAAAATACAGCCTAAATAAATCTTAAGTACACCTTAATAAGATGAAGGTATGATAAGGAGGTCAATATCACTGGAAGTAGAGGGAGGAAGGGAAAAAGAGAAGACAATGAGATTGCATAAGTAAAACTTCTGTTTAGACTTAAAATAAGAAGAAAACCAGTCATAAAAAGGAAATATTACAAGATTATTTAATGGCTGATTCAGCAGTCAGCAGACAAGACTGCAAAATGAGGAAGTTTGCTTGTATTTTTAAAAAAGTTTGGTTTTTATTTTTTTTTATTTTAAAATCAGTATATTTTCATTTAAATAAAATTGGTAAATACAAAAAAGTAGAAAAGTATCTTCTTAATTTCCTTAATGAACATAATTCTGCTACTCAGAGATAGTTCCTGTGAATATTTGACTGTTAAGCAATTTGTTTTTGTAATGAGACACCATACAAAAGACAAACTTTTGGGAGGTTTTGACCAGGTGTTCTTTTATGTTTTAGCTTCTTGCTGCTGACAGTTGCTCTCCTGGCTTCTTACTCAGTCCATCTTCTGCTTAGTATGTGTATTCAGACAGGTGAGTAAAAATGTTATGCTGCTTCATTTAATAAAGGAGTCTCTTGAGTTTGTATCTACATATAGAACTGGATGTCTCAAATCTAATATCCAGTGAGCATACATTTTTATTAGATAGGGTGATCGGAATGGAGAATTTGAAAAACCAGGATATACAGACCCAATACTGTGGGGGAATATCCAAGCACAGGATGGGAGGAGGTAATTAGCATTTTTACCTGCTTTCCTCCACAACACAACCTAATTTTCTGGAGTAGAGTAGATCATGGGAGGGTCTAAAAGGTGTTCAAAGGATCCAAACCTTATGCTTATGGAGAAATCATTTTCTCAAGGAGAGAACACCTTCTCAGAGCTACTGTTGCCTTCCCTGCCCCCATCTGCCTGCTAGTCAGAGGTAGGGATGGCAGAATTAGGATTGTAGGAAGTAAGGTCACAAAGCTTTAATTTATTTAGACACATTTTGTATTTTTAATTGCAAGTCTAGAATAGGGTAGTTTTTTCCTAAGAGAAATAAGTATGTGCAGTTAATTCAATATATTTGTGTATATACTTTTTCCCATTTGGAATTTTATTATGCAATTCAGTCATGTATTGAATAAGTTCTTTTAGGATCCAGTAAATAAAAGTATATGAATTATAGAAGTGCTTTTCTAAGATTTTCCTTTTGTCATTAACAAATATTCTATGTTCATCAGTCCTGGTCTTTTTATCTGTCTAGTCTCTTTTGTCTTTGGATTAGGTCAGCTTTGATGCCAAAATCATGGGTTTAATTCTTATATGGATGAGTTCGTTTTGCTTTATCTGGCCTTGTGATGTTCAGATTTTAAGAAGAAAAGTAGATACACAAAATAGATAAAAATGGATTTCTTAATTCATTTAGTGTTTCTATAAAAGAATACCTGAGGCTGCATAATTTATAAATAAAAGAGGTTTATTTTGCTCATAGTTCTACAGGCTCTGCAAGAAGCATGGCCCTTCTTATGAGGGGCTTTTCTGCTCCATCTGCATCTAGTAAGGGGCTCAGGCTGCTTTCATTCATTGTGGAAGGTGAAGGGGAGCTAGGATATGCAGAGATCACATGGCAAGAGAGGAAGCGAGAGAGGAGGGGCATGCCAGGTTCTTTTTAACAACCAGCTCTCATGAAACTAATAAAAGTGAAAACTCACTCATTACCCCAAGGAAGGCACCAAGCCATTCATGAGGGATCTGGCCCCAGGGCCCAAACACCTCCCCTTTGGCCCTACCTCCAACACTGGGGATCTGATTTCAACATGAGATTTGGAGGGGTCTGACAAACCAAACTATATCAGTGAGACTATTCTGTGCTGAAACAGGTGAGTGAAGCCCAGTGATGTTTCTTAAGAATTTTAAGACTCTTCAGAATAATTCTGAAGCCACTGCTCTAGTTTGTTTTCCTAAAACCTGTCCATCATCAGAAATACTCATAGATCTTTTTATACACAGAGAGCTCTAAGCCTCAGGGATTCTAATTTCAAAAATCTGAGGTGAGACTCAAGAATATGTTTTTAACAAGGCAAAACCAGTTTAGGATCCATAGTTTATAGCTCTAACTTGTACCAGTGCTTTGGCCAGCCAGTGCCAGATATGTTTTTAACAAGTCCTCCAAGTGATTCTTATGCAAATCTAGTTTAGGATTCATAGTTTATAGCCACAACTTCTAACAGTGCTTTGGCCATCCAGTGCACGCCTTTGCTCTCAAGGGGCTTGGGTGAATGTGCAGACAGATGAAAATACTAGGAAGCAGTACAAATATTAATCCTAAAGTAACAGGTTGTTCATAAAAGCATCCTGAATTTAGGAATAATAGCTTTAGATAAATATATTTGTAAATCCTGCTGAAACTTGAATTTTAATTGCATGTATTGAAATTTTGCTGAATGTGAAAAAAATTTTACTTAATTGTGATACTTTAACATCTTGGTAGATTCTTTCAATTCATTCTGTTAAAAGATTAATACTTTAGTCAACTATGTGGCAATTATGTCTTTCAAGCTTCATTTTAAAACTTCATTTTAGTTTTAATTTAAGTAAAATGTTTTATTTCGGTTATGTGGGAGTAGTATTCAGTGTGTGGAGATTTCTAAGTAATTTTAATTTTTTACTCCTTCGGTTCACATGTATTTAACTTTAAGATTCTGACACTGTGTTTGTTCTTTTCTGTAACTCTGGGGCGTATGAAGTGAATATATCTGTTTCTCTTCTTTTTTCTTTTTCTTTGATTTCTGTAGCCTACTTGGGCCCATGAACTAACTACTTCATGGTTCTGCCTGCACATTGACTCACCTGTCTTCCGTTGATTGAATTCCTTCAATCTTTGTAAAATTCTCTGTGGAGGTAGGCTTTTCCTTTTTTTTTTTTTTTTCAATACATACATTCATATATAAAGACTAGAGTATAATACGTAACTAACTCTCTCCCAACAGTTTGTTGGACTGTCATAAAGGATTATTATGCTCAGATTGAATTCATTGGTAAGAGAAAGAGCTATCATGAGTTTTTATGAAATAACTTCTTCATTTATTTGCTGGTGGTAAAGGGTAAAGAGAAATTTTCATCTTTATAAAAGTAAAGGATTTCTTCACATGAAATTCTACTTTAGATTTTATGGAGCGTTTGGGGTCTATCAGGACTTTTCATGGGAGCTGAGGTGGAATGTAAAGAACCTTATTCTCTCTAGCCTTCGTTTGTCATCTGTAAAATGGCAATGATAACACTTCCTTCTTGGAATTGTTCTGAGAGTGAAATAAAATAATGTATATGAAATGTCAAGTCCTTGGCAAATGAGTGCTCCCTGGGGCAAAAATGCCCACTGGGGCAAAAATCCCTAAAGATTGCAGGGTGTTGTACACACTACTATCTCAGAAATAGTTGGTTCGTTGCCATTCTTTTGGAATACTTCTCATGCTCTGATACTAAACCCACAGCTCCCCTCCACTGGCTTCCATGTCACTGTCAACTGGAGAGAGTGAGAGTCCTAGAACTCTGCATACCTCTGGCCGAACCACAACTCCCTAGTCGTTGATCCCTACTACTCACTGGATTGTCACCATTATTTGCCTTGAGACCATTTGGATTATGACATTATACCATCTATCTCAATTTGTGTTAGTCATTTCAAGTATATTAGGTTATCTTTCATTTCTCAGACTCATCCCATATGGCTGTCATCTGTTTCTGACCTCGTCTTCCACTGCTCTCTAACTCCTGAAACCCTTCCACTGTGCTCTCTGGAACTCACAGTCAATCATCAGCAAAACTCACATGTCTCTAATTCTCTTCTGAACATTTCTGTCTGTTTCTTACACTACGAGAACCTCCTCTGAGGCTTCCCTGTAGTTCTCTCAAGTGGTCAGTCTTTTCTCTTTATGTCTCTCATACTAATTTGAAGATGGTATAGGTGTCCTGTTTGTCCCACATTTCTGCTTCTCAACCATCTTCCTCTCCTTGAACCCCCCAGCTTTTAATCTCATGAATGTATACCATCTACGGCTCTCCTTACTATTGTCATCTATAGACTCCTAGACCATTTCCTGTCATTTCATGAAAGTTTTAGCTAAATTTTAGCTTCTACTCACCTTTTAGTTCTCTTCAGTATTACCCCTGTTATAATTCTGGATGATTTCAATATGCATGTAGCTAATCCTTCTAATGCTTTCAGTTCCTGAACCTCTTCTTCTCTAATGATCATATTCTCTACCTACACTGGCCACTTATTTTCTCCTATGGTCATACCACTGATCTTGTCATTACCAAAATAGCATTTGTTAGTATCTGCCCATCTGCCACCACCATCTCCTTTGTTTCTAACTCACCCTCTCAAGTACTTCAACTCTGACAGTTTTCACCCCTACCAAGACTTCTATCAATTCATTGATTCTACCACCTTTGCACTGACCCCCCACACTCATTCTTACTTCCCTCTTTATCCAGTTGAGGTTTTGTAGTATGTTATTTAATCCCTTGCCTATCCCTTGAACCATCATATTTCCCTGGTAAAATTCCAACCATAGTTAAATATAACTCTGCCTGCTTCACATTTGCACCCATGCATTTGAATCTTCCTGAGGAAAAGCACAACCATGCAGACTGATATCACTATAATTCAACGTCTAGTGTACCTATGATGCTATCACACAATTCTGGTTCACTTCTTTGGTTCATCACTTCATTTAGCTCATTCATCTGCTATCTAGGAGATTGCTTTTTTATATCTTCTCCTGTCAAACCTTCGACACTTTTTTCTTTGATTTCACCCATAACTGATATTCTTCGCTTTCTGTTTCACTGAAAAAATAGAAGCAATCATAAAAGAATTTTATAAGCTCTTGCCACCACTTATTTATCTGTGCCTATATACTCTGTTCCTTGGGATGAATTCTTTGTGTTTATTTCTAAGGCCTACCCCCCAACTTGTGCTATGATCCCACCTGCTCTTGCCTACATCACTCCAGCCACTTTCTCCCTTCTTTCTTATTTCTTGGCCCTTTTCTACCATTTCCTTCCTATCATTTTACAAATAGTCTAATTTCTGTCATCATAAAAATCTCTTTTACTTTGCATCTTTTGAATATGCCTCATGTCTTCATGACAGCACTCCTTAAAATAATTGTCTAAACCAGGCCAGGTGTGGTGTCTCATGCCCGTAATCCTAGCACTTCGGGAGGCAGACCCAGGAGGATCACTTGAAGTCAGGAGTTTGAGACCAGCCTGGGCAACATGGTGAAACCCCATCTCTACAAAAAAAAATACAAAAATTTGTGTGAGGTGACATGAGCCTGTAGTCCTAGCTACTGGGGCAGCTGAGGCAGGAGAATCACTTGAGCCAGGGAGGCAGAGGTTGCAGTGAGCTGAGATCATGCTGTTGCACTTCAGCCTGGGGGACGGGAGTGAAACCCTGTCTCCAAAAAGAAAAAGAATTATCTAAACCAGATGTCTCCAGTTCCTCTCCTCCCACTCCTATCAGGCTTTTCCACTGAAACTGTTGTAGCAGTGACTTCCACATTGCTAAATCCAATGATCAGTTCTCAGTCAGCAGCATGTGACAGAGCTGATAACTCCTTGCTCTCTGAAAGACAAGTCACGCTTTCCTAGTTCTTCCTGTTTCATCAAACACTCCTTTTCTCTTCTGTTGAATTCTCTTAATCTCCCCATCCTCTAAACATTGGTGTACCCCTGGGACTATTCCTCTGATCTCTTTTCTTTTCCCTTCTTTTCTTTTTTTTTTGAGACAGAGTCTCACTCTGTCACCCAGGCTGGAATGCAATGGTGTGATTTTGGCTCACTGTAACCTCCGTCCTGCAGGGTTCAAGCGATTCTCCTGCCTCAGCCGTCTGAGTAGGTGGGATTATAGATGTGTGCCACCACACCCAGATAAGTTTTGTATTTTTAGTAGAAACAGGGTTTTGCCATGTTGGCCAGGCTGGTCTCAAACTTCTGGCTTCAAGTGATCCACCCACCTTGTCCTCCCAAAGTGCTGGGATTACAGGTGTGAGTGATCTCTTTTCTTTTACACTCATTATCGGGCTCATGGTGATTCTGAAATTTATATCCCTGGCCTGGAACTCTCCCCTGAATTTCAGTCTCATCTCCAGCTGCCTCCGTGACATCTCCACTTGGATGTCTAACAGCTCAGATTTGTAAAACTCCCCATCTTTATACTACCAATCTACACTTTCTACTGTTCCCATCTAAGTAAATGGTAATGTCTTTCTTCTAATTGCTTAGGCCAAAGATCTTTAAGTTATTCTGTATCTCCCCTTTTTCCCCTCATCCTGCATGTTCAGTCCATGCCATACTGTTCCCTTCACTTCAAAAAAAATTTTTTTTCGAGATAGTGTCTTGCTGTGTGGCCCAGGCTGGAATGTAGTGGCGTGAACATAGCTCACTGCAGCCTCGACCTCCTGCCTCAGCCTCCCGGGTAGCTGGTAATCACAGGCACACATCACCATGCACGTCACCACACCTAACTAACCTCAGCCTCCTGAGCAGCTGGTACTACAGGCTATGTGCGTCACCACACCTGGCTCATTTTTTAATTTTTTGCAGAGATGGGCTCTTACCACGATGCCTAGGCTGTTTTCCAACACCAGCTCAAGCAATCCTCCTGCCTTGACCTCCCAGAGTGCTTGGGATTACAGGCATGAGCCATCGTGCCTGGCCAAAAAATTAATAATCTGATAATTTTCTCATTTAATTGCTACCACCCATCTTCAGTTACTATTACCACCATCAAAAGTAATAGTTTATCTTTTTGTTTTTACTTCCACTCTTACTTCCTGCAGTCTATTCTTAACAAAACAACCATAATGATCTGTTAATGTAAGTTAGGTCATAGCATTCCTTTGCTCAAAATCCTCCAGTTGCTTCCCAGTTCAATCAAAGTAAAAGCAAAAATCATTACAAAGTCCAACACAAGTCTTCTGCCCTTTTTATCTCCTTGATTTATCTTCCAGTACTCCCTCACTGGTTTCAGTCACACTTTTAATTTTTATCTTATGTAACATATACTTATATAGCACTTAGCATCATTCTAAGGACTTTATGAATATGAATATTCATTTAATCTTCATAATAATATTATGAGGTACGTATCAATATTATTTCCATTTTTTGAAATGAGGTAACTGTGGCACAGAGAGGTTAAAGTAACTTGTCCAAGAGAGGTGAAAGTAACTTCCCAGTTAGGAAGTATAGGAGCCAGGATTCAAACCCACACAGTCTGGCTCTAAAATTGTGCTCACTCTTCCCCAGTCGTGCTGGGTAGTCTCCTGCTTCCATACCTTTGTGCTTTCTGTGCTCTTCTTGGACGTTTCTTCCCCCAGTTTCCCACATGACTTTGCTCACTCATCACCTTCAAGGCTTTGACAAATCTTACCTCTTCTGTGAGGTCTTTTTATACAATCTCATTTAAAATTACAAACAGCAACGGTTGATCTACAGTGTCATCAAGGAAGGAGGATCTACCTTTCTGTTCCATTATTCTTGTGTGTGCCTTCCCCATCCTTGAGGTCTAGGACGACTTGTGGAGTGCAGACATCGCATCCGTGTTCTAGAGAGCAGAAAGAGAGAAAGGGATGCCTACCAGCTGAATCTCACTTAAGACTCCATTTTCTTGTTGCCAGAACTTAATATGCCCGATGGCCATACTAAATTGCATAGGGACCTAGAAAATGTAGCGTTTATTAAAGGTGGCAATGAGCCCAACTAAAAGTCAGGGTTCTGTTACTCAGGTAGAAGAAGGGAAGAGACAACCAGCAGTCTCTACCCCACCAGGGTTCCATCTTTATCCGTACTTGTACTTTACTATCTTTGAATAACATTATAAACTTTTATAGCTTAGCTACCAAAAATAGGTTGACGACTCTCATCCATGCTGCCGAAACATATCAGCTACCTCTGATATTGGAGATCTCCATTTAGATGTTCCAGAGGCTTTGTGAGCTCAACGTGTTTAAAATTAAACTTATCTTTCATCTTTAATGGCTCAAATGTGCTCCTCTTCCTGTACCGTACCTCCGTGAATGGTACCACCAGTTTATATCTCCTTCACCTCGTACATTCACCCAGTTATAAATTAATTTTGTAAATATTTCTCGGATCTGCCTAATTCTCCTTCCTTATTGCTACTGTGTAGATCACGCCATAACCCCTCCCCAGGATTACAGTAGAGTTAAATCATAACAGGTATTTAAGTTCATGTCATTTTAATTCATACAGTTCAAAAGTGGGGAAGAAAATAACTTTAAATAGTGCTGGGTAATCCTGCCTGTATTCTACTCAGTGAACATATATTCATCTGGGGACTGAGTGTGAGGTGGGAAATATAATAATGTTGCTCCCTCTGTTATATTTTTTTTCTTTAAAGATAACTTTTTTTTTTTTAAGACAAAGTCTCGCTCTGTTGTCCAGGATGGAGTGCAGTGGCGCGATCTAGCCAAACCGCAACCTCCGCCTCCTGGGTTCAAGCAATTCTCATGTCTCAGCCCTCTGGCATCTTAAGAGACTTCCTATGAGTTCCTGCCTCCAAACTTTTTTTTTTTTTTTTGAGGCAGTCTTGCTCTGTCGCCCAGGCTGGAATGCAGTGGTGGATCTTTGCTCGCTGCAACCTCTGCCTCCCGGGTTCAAGTGATTCTCCTGCCTCAGCCTCCCAAGTAGCTGGGATTACAGGCACCCACCACCACATCCGGCTGATTTTTGTATTTTTTAGTAGAGACGGGGTTTTACAGCGTTGGCCAGGCTGGTATAGAACTCCTGACTTCAGGTGATCTGCCCACCTCGGCCTCCCAAACGGTTGGGATTACAGGCGTGAGCCACCGCACCTGGCCAGATAACATTTTTTAGCATACTGTCTTCATGGTGCTGTTTTAAGAGATTTGCATGTATTATTCTCACAATAGCAATGTGAGGTAGAAATTGTTACATCCACTTTAGAGATAGGAAACTGAGGCACTGAGTGATTAACTAGCTTGCTTAAGGTTGCACAGCTAGCTAGTTAGAAGAGCTAATATTCGATTTAGGCAAGCTAACTCCAGAGTCCACTTTCATAACACTGTGCTGCCATTTCCCCACTATTATAGGAACCTGGAAGCTTATTTTCTGGAGAAGGTAAACTAAAAGGACTCAGCAATCATAGATATTAGGTGTAGTTAAGGCCAAGATCACCTTACTGAAAACAGGGAGATTAAGTGAAAGTCTACTAACTGAAGGAGAGTCCCAGTTAGTAGGAGTTCTGAGACTGCTGGCAGCAAGTCTTCTACTTTCACTTAAGGGATTGGAGGAATATTTTCAACAGAATTTCTCCTGCCCAAGAGAAAAGACCTACAGGTAAAAATAGTTGAGGGCCCTTCAAGAAAGAGCTGAGTACCTCCTGTTTAATCATCATATAGTTAAGCATACCACTCAATAAGCCTCTTCTGTGTACACAGAGCTTGTATTTAGTCTTTTAATGCATCACACTTACGTCAAGAAATAGCCAAGTATCACCAGATATTTCAGGAAAACCTTTAATGTGAAAGATATATACTAAAACAGCCACATACACACACACAAGCCAATAATGAGATACCTCTACACATGTATTAGAATGACAAAAATCTGAAACACTGACAATACCAAATACTGGCGAGGATGTGGGACAACAGGAACTCTCATTCATTGCTGGTGGGAATAAGAAATGGTACAGCTACTTTGGAATACAGTTTGGCAGTTTTTTAACCAAACTAAATATAATCTCATCATAGGATCCATCAGTAGTGCTCCTTGGTATTTACCCAAATGAGTTCAAGACATATTTCTACACAAAAACCTCCATAAAGATGTTAATAACAGCCTTATATTTACCAAAATCTGGAAGCAACTAAAATGTTCCTCAGAAGTGAAAGAATTTTAAAAACTGATATATTTGTACAATGGGATATTATTCAGCACTAAGTAGAAATGAGGTGCCGGAGCCTTGGCTCACGCCTGTAATCCCAGCACTTTGGGAGGCCAAGGCGGGCGGATCACCTGAGGTTGGGAGATCGAGACCAACCTGACCAACATGGGGAAACCCTGTCTCTACTAAAAATACAAAATTACCTGGGCGTGGTGCTGCATGCCTGTAATCCCAGCTACTCAGGAGGCTGAGGCAGGAGAATCGCTTGAACCCGGGAGTTGGAGGTTGCGGTGAGCTGAGATCAAGCCATTGCACTCCAGCCTGAGCAACAAGAGCAAAACTCCGTCTCAGAAAAAAATTAGCTGGGCATGATGGCGGGCACCTGTAATCCCAGCTAGTTGGGAGGCTGAAGCAGGAGAATCGCTTGAACCCCGGAGGCGGAGACTGCAGTGAGCTGAGATCATGCCATTGCACTCCAGCCTGGGCGACAAGAGCAAAACCTCGTCTCAAAAAAAAAAAAAAAAATACCCAGCATGGTGGCTCACGCCTGTACTCCCAGCACTTTGGGAGGCCGAGGTGGGCGGATCACCTGAGGTCAGGAGATCAAGACCAGCCTGGCCAACATGGTGAAACCCCGTCTCTACTAAAAATACAAAAATTAGCCAAGTGTGGTGACACACACCTGTAATCCCAGCTACTTGGGAGGCTGAGGCAGGAGAATCACTTCAACCCAGGTGATGGAGGTTGCAGTGAGCTGAAATCGTGCCACTGCACTCCAGCCTGGGCGACAGAGCAAGACTCCATCTCAAAAAAAAAAAAAAAAAAAAAAGAAGAAGAAATGAGGCATCAAGCCATGAAAAGTCATGGAGGAATCTTAAATGTATACTGTCAAGTGAAAGAAACCATGTGATCCAGCAATTCCTCTTCTGGGTTTATACCCAAAGGAAATGAAATTGGTACCTTGTAGAGATATCTATGCTCCCATGTTCATTGCAGCATTATTAACGATAGCCAAGTTAGAGAAACAACCTAAGTGTCAGTAAGTGAGTATATAAAAAATTGTGATATGTACGTACAGTGCAATATTGTTCAGACTTAAGGAGATCCTGCCATTTTCAACAACATGCATAGACATGGAGAACATTATGCTAAATGAAATGAGCCAGACACAGAAGGAAAAATACTGCATGATCTCACATTCATGTGGAATCTAAAAAAGTCAAATACATATGAACAGAGTAGAACAGTGGTTATGTGGGGGATGGGAAGATGTTCATCAAAGGGTATAAAGTTGCAGTTATGTAGAATGAATAAGTCTACAGAGCTAATGTACAGCATGATGACTATATGTAATATTGTTTACTGAAAATTTGCCAAGAGAGTAGATTTCAGGTGCTTTTACCACAAGGAAGGAAGAAAGGGAGGAGGAAGGGCAAGAGGGAAGGAAGGGAGGGAGGAAAGAAAAGATAACTGTGAGAGGGTAGATACGTTAATTTGCTTGACTCTAGTAATCATTTCTCTGTGTATATCAAAACATCATGTTGTACACCTTAAATGTATATAATAAAACAAAAAAATCTGAAAAGGCTACATACTGTATGATTCCAAGTATGTGACATTCTGGAAAAGGCAAAACTATGCAGAAAATAAAAAAGATCAGTGGTTGCCAGAGTTTAGCAGAGGGAGCGTGAATAGGCAGAGCACCCTCACCTTTAGGACAGTGAAATGAATCTGTATGATACTATAAAGTGGACACGTGTCATTATATATTTGTCAAAACCCATAGAATGTACAGCACTAAAAGTGAACCCTATAATGTAAATTATGGACTTTGTGTGATAATGACATGTTAATATAGATACATTGATTGTAACAAATGTACCACTCTGGTGCAGGATGTTGATTGTAGGGGAAGCTGTGCATGTGTTGGGGGCAGGAGGTATATGGGAACTCTGTACTTTCTGTTCAACTTTGTTGTGAACCTAAAACTGCTCCTAAAATTATTAAAGAAAACACAAGGAAAGAAACAGACTCAGAGGAAAAGAGGAAACAGACAATACAAGACCAGATGAAAACTTAAAAAGCTACATTTAATAACTTTAGAGAACTAAAAGAAGATCCTGCATTCTTGAAACAAAAATAAGGAATTATAAAAAGGGTATATTCAGAAAACCAAAAGTCCTAGAAGTCAAAATTAGTTCAATTGTTGGGTTGGGAGAGTTACAGAAGTTTCCTGGGGGTGGAAAAAAAGAGAAAGCTTGAAAATGGGAGAGAAAAGATAAGAAAATTAGAAGATCAGTCCAGGAAGTCCAACATGCAAATAATAGAAATTCTGCAACAAGAAAAAAGTAAAAGGGATGGTAGAAAATTATTAACAAAATAATACAAAAATTGATGTAACTGAAGGAAATTAGTTTCAAGATTAAAAGTTTTCCTCCCGGTATCCAGTATAATACTTGTAAGATAATTGTTACCCAAGACATACTGTGAATGATCAGAAATCCAGTTATATAGATAATATTCTAAAAGCTTACAGAGAGAAGGAACAAACAACACAAAAAAAATTCCTGCAAAGAATCAAGAACCACAGTAGTGAAAGTCTTCCTAGGAGCAATACTGTAAACTAGATGACTATAAAACAATGCCTTCAAAATTCCTGGGGGGAAATGATTTTAATATAGAATTCTATAACTAGCCAAACTGTTGCTTAAGTGTGAAGTTTGAACAATGACATTTTCATATATACAAGGTCTCAAAAATTTTTATTCACCCTTACTTAGTGAACAATAGAGTATACCCTTTACCAAAGTTAGAGAGTAACAAAGAAACAAGGAATCAGGCACAGGAAAGAAGTGGAGGGAATTCCCAGGACATAACTAAGCAGCAGATCTAAGCACCATCTACAGATTGGAGTTGTGAGGTTTTTTGTGGTTTTGGGAGGGGGTGTTTAGATGGGATCTCACTCTGCTGCCCAGGCTGGAGTGCAGTGGTGTAATCTTGGCTCACTGCAACCTCCACCTCCCAGGCTCAAGTGATCCTCCCACCTCAGCCTCCTGAGTAGCTTCCCACCTCAGCCTCCTGAGTAGCTGGGACTACAGGTGTGCACCACCACACCTGGCTAATTTTTGTACTTTTTGTAGAGATGGGGTTTCACCATGTTGGTCAGGCTGATCTGAAACTCCTAAGCTCCAGCGATTTGCCCACCTCAGCTTCCCAAAGTACTGGGATTATAGATGTGAGCCACTGCCTGGCTGGAGTTGTTCTTTTCACAAAGGCACAGTCCTCGCTCCAGGTCATGCCTGCCCTCTGGATTGTGTTCAGGATGGAAACTCTTTTCTTATTCCTCTGAGTAAAGGGATTGTCTTTCTCATTTGTCGGTCTAACTCTTAATTTGTGTTAACAGTGCTTGAGTAGATTAGCAGTCAGGCCGGGCTGTTAAAAAAGTCAGAATAAAATAGGGATTGAACCAAGGTAGTAATAAGGTGAATAAAAGAAAGAAACAGGTTAACAAATGGTGGGGTGCAGCAGAGTTCCAGTTGAGAGGAGCTGATATCTGAGTAAATGTGGACAATAAAGGAGAAGTAGATGTCTGGTGTATCTCCCAGGTTTCCGGCTTGAGCCACTGGATTAATGATAGTGTCATCAATGAAGATAGGAACACAGTAGGAGGAGGTTGTTCAAAATAAAAATGAGTTCAGTTTTAGACTTATATGTAGGTGGACAAGGCTTAGAACTGAAGCACAGGCTAGAAATTCATTCATTCAATACTCTTGTCTACTAATAAGAAAGAGATAAATAAGAGCCAGTTACTTCCCTGAAAAAGCTCATAGTCTAATAGGGGAAACAAATACATAAGCAAATAATTTATATCTAGTATGATAAATTTAACAGTTTAAATATGTATAAGGCATAGTGATATCTTAGAAGAGAGAGTGACTTTGATATGGGCAGGAGGCAGGGAAATACTGGGTAGAAGAGGGTGGTTCCCCAGCAAAGGCCCCCACCCCCCAAGCCTGGAAACCCATGGCCCTAATTGGGAACAGGCATTTCTGTTTTCATGTCCAAATGTTGCCTTCTGCCTGCCATCCCCGCATCCTGTACCCATATAAACCCCAAATTCCAGGTCCACAGGCAGGAGAGCAGACAAACAGAGGAGCAGAAGAGGAGCACAGTAAAGGAGAGAAGAGAAGGAGTGTTTGAACGTCAAGGAGAGGTCGGTTGGGGACAGCTGGAGAGGAGATTGGCCATGGGACAGCAGAACTCCAGGGGAAGATCATCTTCCCACTCCATCCCCTTTCCAGCTCCCCATCCATCTCACTGAGAGCCACCTCCATCACCTAATACAATTCCCACATTCACCATCCTTCAAATCCGTCTGTGACCTGATTCTTCCTGGACACAGGAAAAGAATCTGGGTACGAAGAGGGCACTGGGCTGGTTAATACTTAAGCAATCTGTGGAAGGCAGAGCTAAAAGAGCACTGTAGCATGCCCACTGGGGCTTCAGGAGTTGCAGGCATGTATTCCTAGATGCTGCTGTGGGGCTGGAGCCCAAAAGCGCTCTCCCCGCCCCCTACACCTGCCGGTCTGCGAGCTCCGCCTCCTGTAAGGGGTTTGAGAGTGCAGCAGCCGAACAGAACAGACAAGCCACAGCCCTGTCGCAGGCCCTGCCCTTCGTGGGGGATCAGGGGACTCTCCCGTTTCAACTTTCCCTTAGTTGGAGGGTGAGGGTCAGTAAATGTTCATGGACAACTAAGCTGAAAAGGAATTTGACTAGCAGACAAGGCAAGAGAGAATATTCCAGCATGTGCAAGGATACAAAGCCATATACTACCTATTGTATTCAAAGTACCAAAAATAGTTTACTGTTATTAGTAGTACATAAAGTACAAAGGAGAAAATTAAACTGGAGAGTTAGACAAGTCTCAGATCCCAAGGAATTTGTAGTTTTTGCTGAAGCAGTGAGAAGCCACTGAGGTTGTTGAAAAAGAGTCAAAGTAGATACTGGAATCCACTGTTGGTTGCTTCCAAAAAGAATTTTGGTCCTTTCTAGTGCCCAGAACATAATCTCTTTCTCTGGCAAAGAAAACGTAGTCTTCTGTCTTCCTTTTCCTAAAGAAGGTTACAATTATTTTATGAAGATTGTAATTTTGAGTAATGATAATGGAATAAAGAAGGAGTGAAATGGCCTTTGTGTGCTCCTCATTTTTTTTCTTTTTTAAGGCAAAAAGGTTTTAAAACCCTCTGGAGCACTGATTCTGAATACCTTCTTTTTATAACATTTTCTAAATGCTCCCTTTACTATATGAAATGAAATTCCCATAGGTATTATACCCTACTGCAGTGAGCTGAGTAATGCTTCCCGAAAAGGTAGCCACATCCTAGTCCCTGAAACCTGTAATTGTTACCTTATATGGCAAAAAAGAACTTTGCAGATGTGACTGAGTTAAGATGTTGAGATGGAGAGATTATCCTGGTGGACTCTAAATTCAGTCACATGTATCATGGAGGGAATATCATAGAGGAGATGCAGGCAACATGACCTCTGAGGCAGAGATTGGAATGACATGACCACAAATCAAGGCATGCCAGCAGCTACCAGAGACTGCAAGAGGCAAGGAATGGATTCTTTCTAGAGCTTTCAGAAGAGTGGCCCTGTGGACACCTTGATTTAGACATCGTGAAACTGGTTTTGGATTTCTGGACTTTAGAACTGAGAAAGAATAAATTTCTGTTGTTTTAAGCCATGAAGTTTGTGATAATTTCTTACAGCAGCCTTAGGAAACTAATACACTACTTACATAATATAATGCCATAACAATGAAATAAAGAAGACACAAAAAGTAAATGTTAGTGATGTGACTTTCCATTTAGGAAACAATTTTTTGCAAAGTTCCAAACAAAACAAATTATAGTCTTTTCTGCATTTACATGGTAATTGTATTTCTGGAAAATTTAATATATATTCAAACCATTAACCAATGTTTGTAGCATCTGCCATGTGCTTGACACACAGAGAGTATTTAATAAAAGCTGGATACATGGGTGATGAATAGATGGATGTATTAAAGCTACAAAGAGAGTACATAAGTTCCAAAATAAACATGCAAGGCAAAAATTATGTGTAGTCAAACGTATCTTTAAAAATTCTTGGGCAGGCCCAGTGGCTCACGCCTATAATCCCAGCACTTTGGGAGGACAAGGCAGGTGGATCACGAGGTCAGGAGTTCGTGACCAGTAGCCTGCCCAACATGGCGAAACCCATCTCTACTAAAACTACAAAAAATTAGCCGGGCGTGATGGCGGGCGCCTGTAATCCCAGCTACTCGGGAGCCCGAGTCAGGAGAATCGCTTGAACCCGAGATGCAGAGGTTGCAATAAGCTGAGATTGCCACCACTGCATTCCAGCCTGGGCGACAAGAGTGAAACTCCACTTCCAAGGGAAAAAAAAAATTCTTTACATAGCTTATCAAATACAGTGTTCAATATCTACATGACGTACTGGACACTGACACATACCATTTCTCAATAAAGAGCTGACAGCCCTCTCTCCCCATTCCCTCAGCATCGTTTGGGTATCTTATGAAGGACATGAGTTGTTTTAGGGATGTAATGAATTCCATTCAGCACTATGAGGTACTCTCACCGACAATCACAGAAGAATTAAAACTGACTGAAAGGCAATAGATATGTTTCCCATTTCAAAGCTCACTGTGGACATTTTCTTATGGTTTGGAATGGTTGTGAGCTGTCCAAACTATATTTTGATGTGTTTTTCTTCTTTTGATCAGGGATCATAGTTCAGTAAACCCACAGTTAAACTAAGTGGGCTGATCGTATGGGTCTATCTAAAGTGAATTTGTGTACTTGTCTCATCCTTCTTATTAATGAGTGGTTCTAAACTGGACTTGGTTTTTCTCCCATGGGGCATTTGGCAATGTCTGGAGGCATTTCTGATTGTCACAGCCGGGGATTGGGGAGGGCAGGGTGAGGCAAGGGGCTATTGGCAGGTAGTGGGTAAAGGCCAGGAATGATGCTAAACATTCTGCAATACACAGGACAGCCCCCAACAACAAATAATGATCTGGGCCCAAAAGTAGTGGCAAGGTTGAGAAACCCTGGCAACATTATGTGTGTGCTCCCCTTGTGTAGTGATTCCTTTGTAGTGTTTGCCTTGACATTAGATTAAGTGTTCCCTTAAGCAGAAGCTGAATTTTTTGTTATTGAGTTGCAGTGAAGGATGGGTGTGAATCTCTGCAGGGTTAAACATTTTTACATTAACCTTTCCTTTTTATTTTTATCAAAAGTAATATATGGTTACATGTATGTGTGCATGTGTGCACACACTTATGCAGAACTTAGAACAGTTCCCCACCCATTCTTCCCTAGTTTTATCGCATTTCCCAGAGTTAGCAACATGTAAAGAGTTTTGTTTTTAATTTTTTTGGTGATTGCCTCTCTAAGTCTAAATAATAGCTTTTGGTTATCTATTGATTTAAGAGATTATCTATTGACTCTTCACTGCAGAAGGTTAGCAAAAGCTCAGCTACACTAATCCCTCCCCTTCTTCCTTCTAATATTCATTAGTTTATATTCGATTGTCCTTTCATTGATTATTTTGTAATTCTAAATTAAATACATATAAACATTTAATTTTGTTCCATCAACTTTAGTCAGTATCTTTTTATCTTCTGCCTTTATTATACTAGCGCTTCTGTTCTTTCACCTTCCTTATTCCTATTTCCTATAGTCTGTCTGCTGTACCTTTACATTGTCAGATTGACAATATTTACTTTCTGTTTTATAATTATATTTGTTTGTTTTTATCCATAGGTTGAAGCCAAAAGTTGAAAACTATTACCATTTATAGGATATAACTGTAAATATTGTTCACTGAAGAGCTAAGTAGTATACTGAGATCCCAGAATCATCTCTATATATGCAATATCACATCCTCTGTGCCATGAGAAAGAATGTTCCTAGTATTCTAGCATTCTGTTTTCTGTGTTGAGTGTTTTAAAATCATGCCACATTCAGTTGGCACACTGGCATCTAAACACATACTAAGAAAGATCAGAAGTGTCAATGAAATTGCATAGTGAATATTCAAAAAATGAATGACCTGCATGGGCAAATAATACAAAAAAAAAAGATCAGAGGAAAATGATAGAAAACACAAGAAAGACAAGAATTTCAAAATAATAAGGGTACATTCCCAATGGCCAGCTTTCTGAGAGTTGAACTGTATTTGAATAACTCATGTCCCTCAACCCAGATCCAAAGATAATATTGCTGCTGCTGAAACCTGGGCTCTTTACTATGACCAGAGTTTATTAATTGTCCTATTTCATTGAGGAAAAAATGCAAAACAGAACACTGGAATGACTAGCTGGAAATATTCCACTATTTCATGGGAAGCAGGTTTCTAAACGATTCCTGTGGAGGCCAAACTCTTGCTCTCGCCAAAATATTATAGCATTAAAGTGTGCCTTGATGGTACATTAAGGAAGAAATTTTCCCCGAATTTACTTAAGATTTATAGCCTTTCTGCTCTCACAAAACGTAGCATTGATTTCTTTAATATCAAAAAAAGTTTCCTAAAATAAACTGCTAATGATTGCTTTCAGTCATTTGTTTACTTGAGGTCAGTCATGCCAAGTACTGTTTGTATCAATTCTTGTAAAAGACTCAATTAATTTTGTAATTGTCATAATTACTGTTATTCCTGTTCTGTAGGAATATGCTATTAATGTAACTGGACATCACCACATCTTATTTTTGTATCTCTCAAAACATCTTTCATAAAACTTTGATGGTAGGAAAGAGCTGAAAAAAAATCTCCTGTTAGTAGACCAAGTAGTACTTCAATTACTAAACACCAGAGAAAATTAAAATTACACCTTAAATAAAACCAACCAGATATTTGGTAGAGAAAATGGAACTGTACAAAAATATGGTTTTTAAAAATAAAATTCTACCACTTGTATTATATTCATTATAGACTATTGGAAACCGTTCCCTGCCAAAAAAAGAAAGAAAAAGAAAAAAGTTTGTGACCATTTGTAATTCATTTTAGTCTTTTTATGTATTTTTTTCACCTAAAATAATATGGGCATTTAAATATTTTAAATATAGTTTTAAATGGCTACATATTATTCTATCAAAAATACCTACCATAATTTATGTAACCACTTTCTCATTGTTGAGCATTTAGGTTAGTTTTGTTTTTCCAGTTGAAACAATACCCCCTGAGTATCTTTGCATATAATGATTTCTCTTGATTTTAGTTTTAAGACAAGCTCTTAGGGGTCAAATGTTTTAAATATTTTAAAGGTTCATTGTTCAAATTGCATTTCAACAGTCAATACCAGTTTACACTGTTTTCAGCATTTTAAGAAATTGCCCAAATGACAGAGCAGAATTTTAAAAGTATTTCCCTAGTGTTGATTTGGTTTATATGCTGAGATGCTGCAGATTTTTTGTTGTTAAAAAGTGAGTATGTGGAGATCAAACATTTGGCTGACTGTGTACACATTTTATTTAGTAAAGCCTCAATGTTAAGCAAGAAGCCATTACTCATATTCATGTTGTCTCAGGAATGGAAAAGTGCTTCTAATTTTTGCAACAAAAGAAGTCTGATGGCAGTGACAGAAAGGAATGACTAGCTAGATATGCTGACCGGAAAGCTAGAATTAGGATTTGACCATTGTAGTCAGTCTCCATTTAAGAGCCTAATGGTTTTTTCTTCTCAATTTGGAAGTTTGCTGCATTTAGAGATATTCTTATAAAACTAAAAAAAATAGACCCAGGGAGCAAGTTTGAGGTTACTAAAATGTATCCCATTATTGTCAGAGTTGCATTTCAAACTGTCTTCATTAAACTGTTAGTTTGATTACATTTTCTCAAACAGTAACTGTTGTGTTTTAATTTTTTAAATTAAAAATAAGTTTTAAATTTCAGGTAATTGAAAGACCAATTCTTTTTGGAATCTTTCAGTATTATGGTTTTGGTTCACAGCGAAGGTATTTGCTTGCTACATTTGCTAAATATACTATCTATACTTCATTTTGTTGCATAAAAATAAGACATACTCCGGTTAGCCTTTTTGATGGGTATTACCTTGATGACTTGCTCACTGACAGAGAAACTGATGTAAAATAGGTCATTTGAAAAGCAGGTGTTTGATATATCCCCATATGTAACACTGAAAAGCCTTCTTGCTCTAGATTTTTGGAAGGAAAGCTTTCTTAAGAAAGAACGGAAAAGAGAGAAGAACCAAATAGACGCAATAAAAAATGATAAAGGGGTTATCACCACTGATCCCACAGAAATACAAACTACCATCAGAGAATACTACAAACACCTCTACGCAAATAAACTAGAAAATCTAGAAGAAATGGATAAATTCCTTGACACATACACCCTCCCAACACTAAACCAGGAAGAAGTTGAATCTCTGAATAGACCAATAACAGGCTCTGAAATTGTGGCAATAATCAATAGCTTACCAACCAAAAAGAATCCAGGACCAGATGGATTCGCAGCCGAATTCTACCAGAGGTACAAGGAGGAACTGGTACCGTTCCTTCTGAAACTATTCCAATCAATAGAAAAAGAGGGAATCCTCCCTAACTCATTGTATGAGGCCAGCATCATCCTGATACCAAAGCCAGGCAGAGACACAACCAAAAAAGAGAATTTTAGACCAATATCCTTGATGAACATGGATGCAAAAATCCTCAATAAAATACTGGCAAACTGAATCCAGCAGCACATCAAAAAGCTTATCCACCATGATCAAGTGGGCTTCATCCCTAGGATGCAAGGCTGGTTCAATATACGCAAATCAATAAATGTAATCCAGCATATAAACAGAACCAAAGACAAAAACCACATGTTTATCTCAATAGATGCAGAAAAGGCCTTTGACAAAGTTCAGCCCATTCATGCTAAAAACAATAAATTAGGTATTGATGGGACGTATCTCCAAATTAGAAGAGCTATCTATGACAAACCCACAGCCAATATCATACTGAATGGGCAAAAACTGGAAGCATTCCCTTTGAAAACTGGCACAAGACAGGGATGCCCTCTCTCACCACTCCTATTCAACATAGTGTTGGAAGTTCTGGCCAGGGCAATCATGCAGGAGAAGGAAATAAAGGATATTCAATTAGGAAAAGAGGAAGTCAAATTGTCCCTGTTTGCAGATGACATGATTGTATATCTAGAAAACCCCATTGTCTCAGCCCAAAATCTCCTTAAGCTGATAAGCAACTTCAGCAAAGTCTCAGGATACAAAATCAATGTACAAAAATCACAAGCATTCTTATACACCAATAACAGACAAACAGAGAGCCAAATCATGAGTGAACTCCCATTCACAATTGCTTCAAAGAGAATAAAGTACCTAGGAATCCAACTTAGAAGGGATGTGAAGGACCTCTTCAAGGAGAACTACAAACCACTGCTTAATGAAATAAAAGAAGATACAAAGAAATGGAAGAACATTCCATGCTCATGGGTAGGAAGAATCAATATCATGAAAATCGCCATACTGCCCAAGGTAATTTATAGATTCAATGCCATCCCCATCAAGCTACCAATGACTTTCTTCACAGAGTTGGAAAAAACTAAAGTTCATATGGAACCAAAAAAGAGCCCGCATTGCCAAGTCAATCCTAAGCCAAAAGAACAAAGCTGGAGGCATCACGCTACCTGACTTCAAACTATACTACAAGGCTACAGTAACCAAAACAGCATGGTACTGGTACCAAAACAGAGATATAGATCAATGGAACAGAACAGAGCCCTCAGAAATAATGCCGCATATCTACACCTATCTGATCTTTGACAAACCTGAGAAAAACAAGCAATGGGGAAGGGATTCCCTATTTAATAAATGGTGCTGGGAAAACTGGCTAGCCATATGTAGAAAGCTGAAACTGGATCCCTTCCTTACACCTTATACAAAAATTAATTCAAGATGGATTAAAGACTTAAACATTAGATCTAAAACCATAAAAACCCTAGAAGAAAACTTAGGCATTACCATTGAGGACATAGGCATGGGCAAGGACTTCGTGTCTAAAACATCAAAAGCAATGGCAACAAAAGCCAAAATTGACAAATGAGATCTAATTAAACTAAAGAGCTTCTTCACAGCAAAAGAAACTACCATCAGAGTGAACAGGCAACCTACAAAATGGGAGAAAATTTTCACAACCTACTCATCTGACAAAGGGCTAATATCTAGAATCTACAATGAACTCAAACAAATTTACAGGAAAAAAACAACCCCATCAAAAAGTGGGCGAAGGACATGAACAGATACTTCTCAAAAGAAGACATTTATGCAGCCAAAAAACACATGAAAAAATGCTCACCATCACTGGCCATCAGAGAAATGCAAATCAAAACCACAATGAGATACCATCTCACACCAGTTAGAATGGCAGTCATTAAAAAGTCAGGAAACAACAGGTGCTGGAGAGGATGTGGAGAAATAGAAACACTTACACTGTTGGTGGGACTGTAAACTAGTTCAACCATTGTGGAAGTCAGTGTGGCGATTCCTCAGGGATCTAGAACTAGAAATACCATTTGACCCAGCCATCCCATTACTGGGTATATACCCAAAGGACTATAAATCATGCTGCTATAAAGACACATGCACACATATGTTTATTGCGGCACTATTCACAATAGCAAAGACTTGGAACCAAGCCAAATGTCCAACAATGATAGAGTGGATTAAGAAAATGTGGCACATATACACCATGGAATACTATGCAGCCATAAAAAATGATGAGTTCATGTCCTTTGTAGGGACATGGATGAAATTGGAAATCATCATTCTCAGCAAACTATCCCAAGGACAAAAAACCAAACACCACATGTTCTTACTCATAGGTGGGAATTGAACAATGAGAACACATGGACGCAGGAAGGGGAACATCACACTCTGAGGACTGTTGTGGGGTGGGAGGAAGGGAGAGGGATAGCATTAGGAGATATACCTAATGCTAAATGACGAGTTAATGGGTGCAGCACACCAGCGTGGCACATGTATACATATGTATCTAACCTTCACATTGTGCACATGTACCCTAAAACTTTAATAATAATAAAATAAAATAAAATAAAAGAACAGACCAGATGCAGTGGCTCACACCAGTAATCCCAGCACTTTGTGAGGCCAAGGTAGGAGGATGGCTTGAGTCCAAGAGTTTGAGATTAACCTGGGCAACATAGTGAAACCCTGCCTATACAAAAAGTAAAAAATGAAAAGTTAGCCTGGGCCTGGTGTATTTGCATGTGCCTGTGGTCCCAGCAACTCCAGGGGCTGAGGCAGGAGGATTGCTTGAGCCCAGTAGTTCAAGGCTGCAGTGAGCTGTGATTGTGCCAGTGCACTCTAGCTTGGGTTACAGAGTAAGACCCTGTCTCAAAAAAATAAGAATGTACATATTTAATTGTAATATGAAACGGATGCTGAAAATGAACACCGATATAAGTGACATATCAGAGATGCTCTGGAGACTTGGTTCATATAATATGGAACAAAATTACCTTCTCAATGCCAAATTAGAAAATGATATGTACATAATTTTCAGGTTTAAAATATATATACCAAGGCTTTGGGATGTTAAATATAAGGAATGTTGCCCATGTATAACATTATCAATTAAGCTTAAGAATATTAAAGATTTGTTGATTAAAATAATTACTAATTTTTGTGATAGCTTTTACTTTAGAATATGTGATTTGAAAAAAAAGAATGTTGACATTTCACATAGTTGGAAAAAATTCTAGTTCTTAGTTTTGTAACTTAATTTTATGTTCTAAAATATGTCTCAAATCCACCCTTGTAAAATTATTAGTCTTTTATTATTAAAGCATAAAGTTTGCTACTCATAAATCAAATTATATATCTCAAATTCAAAGCTAAATTGCCCTTGTGCATTGTTTAGCAGTATGTAAATACATTTTAGAAAAGGGCTGTATCATTCATGAAGTTTCCAAATTCGTTGATCAATTCTGATAATAAAGTTAAAATTTTTGTTCTTAATTAGTAGATCTCATTATTTTTTCAGCATTCCACTGACTTCTTTCTAACTTTGTAGTAATGATAGGTAAAGACTGTATCTGGCTTAAAAAATGCTTATTTTTACATACATGTAGGTCTTTGATTATGAAAGTACCGAGGAGTTCTTTTGTTTATACAGTGGCAGTTGAAAGAAAACCCATGTATATCTTGAGAAGATTTATTGGAACTAGCTTTGAGAAATGATGAGCCATATCTTTAACTCAATAAAAGATATGTATTGCTGTACCAAGCCTTGGTATCTGCTATTCTCTTTAGTGTAAGCACTTTTCAAACTATAGGATTATACAAATAGTAGCATCACTAGTTAAAACATAAAGCTATATGATCTAAAGACATAGTTTTGGTTATTTTTTGAGCCATTTAATTTTCATCTTTTCTGTGACCACATTTATTAAACATGTGACATGAAAATGGAATACTCTTTTATGATGACAAAAGAAAGTATATGCCCAGCCAATTATGGGATAAGAGTATTATTTTTTGTGAACACATTATCATCATTCTAGACACCTGGAGAAGTGAATATCTCTGAAAGTATCATACATTTATACTTTAACTTTATTTACATATCCAGTTTTCAGAAACCATTGCCAATGAAACATTTGGACAATGTGGTATGCAAGTACTGTATAGTAAGAAGTAGGGATGTTCTTGAGTAATTGTTCCATTTGAATTAATCCAGCATGGGTAGTTGTTAGACAACCATGAAATGTGCTAAGCTTTACCTATTCTAAGAGGACTCTATTCTTACAGACCATAAGCGTTCAAAAGTTTTCCAAGAAAAAAAGGTTACTTCTTTAAATTTAGTCTGCCCATTCAAAAGCTACAATAAGGCAGGTGGATTAAACTGCTAGGAGTTGCAATGTTAGTATTGAGAGCATTTAAGCAATTTAAAATCTTTCAGAATGCCTAAGATCACAAATTTACCCCTGATCAGCCTACACAGATTAACTTAAAATACATACAGAGAGATGTCAGATAGCTAGAGGGTCATAAATTAGTGACCAAAATTACATCAATCTGCATGTTGACATTGTTTACCTTATATTGATTAGAAACTTTTGCTTAGGAAAAAGGGGAAATAACTTTTATTTTAAATTATACTTTAAGTTCTAGGGTACATGTACACAACGTGCAGGTTTGTTACATATGGATACATGTGCCATGTTGGCGTGCCGCACCCATTAACTCATCATTTAGCATTAGGTATATCTCCTAATGCTATCCCTCCCCCTCCCCCACCCCACAGCAGGGATGTGTGATATTCCCCTTCCTGTGCCCATGTGTTCTCATTGTTCAACTCCCACCTATGAGTGAGAACATGTGGTGTTTGGTTTTTTGTCCTTGGGATAGTTTGCTGAGAATGATGGTTTCCAATTTCATCCATGTCCCTACAAAGGACATGCACTCATCATTTTTTATGGCTGCATAGTATTCCATGGTGTATATGTGCCACATTTTCTTAATCCAGTCTATCATTGTTGGACATTTAGGTTGGTTCCAAGTCTTTGCTATTGTGAATAGTGCCACAGTAAACATACGTGTGCCTTTGTCTTTATAGAAGCATGATTTATGTTCCTTTGGGTATATACCCAGTAATGGGATGGCTGGGTCAAATGGTATTTCTAGTTCTAGATCCCTGAGGAATCACCACACTGACTTCCACAATGGTTGAACTAGTTTACAGTCCCACCAACAGTGTAAAAGTGTTCCTATTTTTCCACATCCTCTCCAGCACCTGTTGTTTCCTAACTTTTTAATGATTGCCATTCTAACTGGTGTGAGATGGTATCTCACTGTGGTTTTGATTTGCATTTCTCTGATGGCCAGTGATGATGAGCATTTTTTCATGTGTTTTTTGGCTGCATAAATGTCTTCTTTTGAGAAGTGTCTGTTCATATCCTTCGCCCACTTGTTGATGCGGTTGTTTTTTTCTTGTAAATTTGTTTGAGTTCATTGTAGATTCTGGATATTAGCCCTTTGTCAGAAGAGTAGGTTGCAAAAATTTTCTCCCATTTTGTAGGTTGCCTGTTCACTCTGATGGTAGTTTCTTTTGCTGTGCAGAAGCTCTTTAGTTTAATTAGATCCCATTTGTCAATTTTGGCTTTTGCTGCCATTGCTTTTGGTGTTTTAGACACGAAGTCCTTAACAGCCCATGCCTATGTCCTGAATGGTATTGCCTAGGTTTTCTTCTATGGTTTTTATGGTTTTAGGTCTAACATTTAAGTCTTTAATCCATCTTGAATTAATTTTTGTATAAAGCGTAAGGAAGGGATCCAAGTTCACCTTTCTACATATGGCTAGCCAGTTTTCCCAGCACCATTTATTAAATAGGGAATCCTTTCCCCATTTCCTGTTTTTCTCAGGTTTGTCAAAGTTCAGATAGTTGTAGATATGCGACATTATTTCTGAGGGCTCTGTTGTGTTCCATTGGTATATATATCTGTTTTGGTACCAGTACCGTGCTGTTTTGGTTACTGTAGCCTCGTAGTATAGTTTGAAGTCAGGTAGCGTGATGCCTCCAGCTTTGTTCTTTTGGCTTAGGATTGATTTGGCAATGCGGGCTCTTTTTCAGTTCCATATGAACTTTAAAGTAGTTTTTTCCAATTCTGTGAAGAAAGTCATTGGTAGCTCGTTGGGGATGGCATTGAATCTATAAATTACCTTGGGCAGTATGGCCATTTTCACGACATTGATTCTTCCTACCCATGCGCATGGAATGTTCTTCCATTTGTTTGTATCTTCTTTTATTTCATTGAGCAGTGGTTTGTAGTTCTTGAAGAGGTCCTTCACATCCCTTCTAAGTTGGATTCCTAGGTATTTTATTCTCTTTGAAGCAATGGTCAATGGGAATTCACTCATGATTTGGCTCTCTGTTTGTCTGTTATTGGTATATAGGAATGCATGTGATTTTTACACATTGATTTTGTATCCTGAGACTTTGCTGAAGTTGCCTATCAGCTTAAGGAGATTTTGGGCCGAGATGGTGGGGTTTTCGAGATATACAATCATGTCATCTGCAAACAGGGACAATTTGACTTCCTCTTTTCCTAATTGAATACCCTTTATTTCCTTCTCCTGCCTGATTGCCCTGGCCAGAACTTCCAACACTATGTTGAATAGGAGTGGTGAGAGAGGGCATCCCTGTCTTGTGCCAGTTTTCAAAGGGAATGCTTCCAGTTTTTGCCCATTCAGTATGATATTGGCTGTGGGTTTGTCATAGATAGCTCTTATTATTTTGAGATACGTCCCATCAATACCTAATTTATTGAGAGTTTTTAGCATGAATGGGCTGTTGAATTTTGCCAAAGGCCTTTTCTGCATCTATTGAGATAATCATGTGGTTTTTGTCTTTGGCTCTGTTTATATGCTGGATTACATTTATTGATTTGCGTATGTTGAACCAGCCTTCCATCCCAGGGATGAAGCCGACTTGATTATGGTGGATAAGCTTTTTGATGTGCTGCTGGATTCAGTTTGCCAGTATTTTATTGAGGATTTTTGCATCGATGTTCATCAGGGATATTGGTCTAAAATTCTCTTTTTTTGGTTGTGTCTCTGCCAGACTTTGGTATCAGGATAATGCTGGCCTCATACAATGAGTTAGGGAGGATTCCCTCTTTTTCTATTGATTGGAATAGTTTCAGAAGGAATGGTACCAGCTCCTCCTTGTACCTCTGGTAAAATTCGGCTGTGATTGCATCTGGTCCTGGACTTTTTTTGGTTGGTAGGCTATTAATTATTGCCTCAATTTCAGAGCCTGTTATTGGTCTATTCAGAGATTCAACTTCTTCCTGGTTTAGTGTTGGGAGGGTGTATGTGTCAAGGAATTTATCCATTTCTTCTAGATTTTCTAGTTTATTTGCATAGAGGTGTTTATAGTATTCTCTGATTGTAGTTTGTATTTCTGTGGGATCGGTGGTGATATCCCCTTTATCATTTTTTATTGCATCTATTTGATTCTTCTCTCTTTTCTTCTGTATTAGTCTTGCTAGCGGTCTATCAATTTTGTTGATCTGTTCAAAAAAGCAGCTTCTGGATTCATTGATTTTTTTGCAGGGTTTTTTGTGTCTCTATTTCCTTCAGTTCTGCTCTGATCTTAGTTATTTCTTGCCTTCTGCTAGCTTTTGAATGTGTTTGCTCTTGCTTCTCTAGTTCTTTTATTGTGATGTTAGGGTGTCAATTTTAGATCTTTCCTGCTTTCTCTTGTGGGCATTTTGTCCTATAAAGTTCCCTCTACACACTGCTTTGAATGTGTCCCAGAGATTCTGGTATGTTGTGTCTTTGTTCTTGTTGATTTGAAAGAATGTCTTTATTTCTGCCTTCATTTCATTATTTACCCAGTAGTCATTCAGGAGCAGGTTGTTCAGTTGCCATGTAGTTGAGCGGTGTTGAGTTAGTTTCTTAATCCTGAGTTCTAGTTTGATTGCACTGTGGTCTGAGAGACAGTTTGTTATCATTTCTGCTCTTTTACATTTGCTGAAGAGTGCTTTACTTCCAACTATGTGGTCAGTTTTGGAATAGGTGTGGTGTGGTGCTGAAAAGAATGTGTATTCTGTTGATTTGGGTTGGAGAGTTCTGTAGATGTCTATTAGGTCCACTTGGTGCAGAGCTGAGTTCAATTCCTGGAGATCCTTGTTAACTTTCTGTCTCGTGGATCTGTCTAATGTTAACAGTGGGGTGTTAAAGTCTCCCATTATTATTGTGTGGGAGTCTAAGTCTCTTTGTAGGTCTCTAAGGACTTGCTTTATGAATCTGGGTGCTCCTGTATTGGGTGCATATATATTTAGGATAGTTAGCTCTTCTTGTTGAATTGATCCCTTTACCATTATGTAATGGCCTTCTTTGTCTCTTTTTATCTTTGTTGGTTTAAAGTCTATTTTATCAGAGACTAGGATTGCAACCCCTGCCTTTTTTTGTTTTCCGTTTGCTTGGTAGATCTTCCTCCATCCCTTTATTTTGAGCCTATGTGTGTCTCTGCACATGAGATGGGTCTGCTGAATACAGCACACTGATGGGTCTTGACTCTTTATCCAATTTGCCAGTCTGTGTCTTTTAATTGGAGTATTTAGCCCATATACATTTAAGGTTAGTATTGTTATGTGTGAATTTGATCCTGTCGTTATGATGTTAGCTGGTTATTTTGCTCGTTAGTTGATGCAGTTTCTTCCTAGCCTTGATGGTCTTCACAATTTGGCATGTTTTTGCAGTGACTGGTACTGGTTGTTCCTTTCCATGTTTAGTGCTTCCTTCAGGAGCTCTTGTAGGGCGGGTCTGGTGATGACAAAATCTCTCAGCATTTGCTTGTCTGTAAAGGATTTTATTTCTCCTTCACTTATGAAGCTTAGTTTGGCTGGATATTAAATTCTGGGTTGAAAATTCTTTTCTTTAAGAATGTTGAATATTGGCCCCCAATGTCTTCTGGCTTGTGAAGTTTCTGCCAAGAGATCAGCTGTTAGTCTGATGGGCTTCCCATTGTGGGTAACCCGACTTTCTCTCTGGCTGCCCTTAACATTTTTTCCTTCATTTCAACTTTGGTGAATCTGACAATTATATGTTTTGGAGTTGCTCTTCTCGTGGAGTATGTTAGTGGCGTTCTCTGTATTTCCTGAATGTGAATGTTGGCCTGCCTTGCTAGGCTGGGGAAGTTCTCCTGGATAATATGCTGCAGAGTGTTTTCCAACTTAGTTCCATTCTCCCTATCACTTTCAGGTACACCAATCAGACGTAGATTTGGTCTTTTCACATAGTCCCATATTTCTTGGAGGCTTTGTTCATTTCTTTTTATTCTTTTTTCTCTAAACTTCTCTTCTCGCTTCATTTCATTCATTTGATCTTTCATCACTGATAGCCTTTCTTCCAGTTGATTGAATCGGCTACTGAGGCTTGTGCATTCATCACGTAGTTCTCGTGCCGTGGTTTTCAGCTCCATCAGGTCCTTTAGGGACTTCTCTGCATTGGTTATTCTAGTTAGCCATTCGTCTAATTTTTTTTCAAGGTTTTTAACTTCTTTGCCATGGGTTCGAACTTCCTCCTTTAGCTTGGAGTAGTTTGATCTTCTGAAGCCTTCTTCTCTCAACTCGTCAAAGTCATTCTCCATCCAGCTTTGTTCCATTGATGGTGAGGAGCTGCTTTCCTTTGGAGGAACAGAGGTGCTCTGATTTTTAGAGTTTCCAGTTTTTCTGCTCTGTTTTTTCCCCATCTTTGTTGTTTTATCTACCTTTGGTCTTTGATGATGGTGACGTACAGGTGGGGTTTTGGTGTGGATGTCCTTTCTGTTTGTTAGTTTTCCTTCTAACAGTTAGGACCCTCAGCTGCAGGTCTGTTGGAGTTTACTGGAAGTCCACTCCAGACCCTTTTTGTCTGGGTATCAGCAGCAGAGGCTGCAGAACAGCGGATATTGGTGAACAGCAAATGTTGCTGCCTGATCGTTCCTCTGGAAGTTTTGTCTCAGAGGAGTACCCGGCCGTGTGAGGTGTCAGTCTGCCCCTACAGGGGGGTGCCTCCCAGTTAGGCTCCTCGGGGGTCAGGGACCCACTTGAGGAGGCATTCTGTCCCTTCTCAGATCTCCAGCTGCGTGCTGGGAGAACCACTACTCTCATCAAAGCTGTCAGACAGAGACATTTAAGTCTGGACAGGTTTCTCTGCCTTTTGTTTGGCTATGCCCTGCCCCTAGAGGTGGAGTCTACAGAGGCACGCAGGGCTCCTTGAGCTGTGGTGGGCTCCACCCAGTTCGAGCTTCCAGTCCACTTTCTTTACCTATTGAAGCCTCGGCAATGGCAGCGCCCATCCCCCAGCCTCGCTGCAGCCTTGCAGTTTGATCTCAGACTGCTGTGCTAGCAATGAGCGAGGCTCCGTGGGCATAGGACCCTCCGAGCCAGGTGCGGGATATAATCTCCTGGTGTACCATTTGCTAAGACCATTGGAAAAGCGCAGTATTAGGGTGGGAGTGACCCGATTTTCCAGGTGCCGGCTGTCATCCCTTTCTTTGACTAGGAAAGGGAATTCCCTGACCCCTTGCACTTCCCAGGTGAGGTGATGCCTCACCCTGCTTCGGCTCATGCTCGGTTCACTGCACCCACTGTCCTGCACCCACTGTCCAACACTCCCCAGTGAGATGAACCCGGTACCTCAGTTGGAAATGCAGAAATCACCCATCTTCTGTGTCCGGAAATAACTTTTAATATGTACAGCTTGAGAGAAAGAATCTTTCAGAAATGAGATAGAGAAACATAATAAAAGAATCCTTGGTGATTTTCTTAAAAAGTAAAAACCGTCACTACTGAGAAAAAGACATGTTTTACAAAGACATCTGAAAATCATAGGTATTGTGGCTTATGTTTTGGGATGGAAATGAAAGATTTGATGAAAATTACCAGAGATTTTTACATAAAACAGCTGATTAAAGCCAACCATCCTTTTTAGTGTTGCCTTTATTTGAGGATGTTAGGGAGAATTTTCTCATTTTGTGTTTAGTCCTGATTGGCCTGGATCATAAGAATTATACTGTATTTAGTTTGTAGTAGGACCTGCTCTTCTCTTTAGGACCTGACACATAAATAGTTTTGTGTAAAAGTGAACATTGTAATTTCTCTTAACAGCTGTAACATCTTATGAAGATCTTGGACTCTTTGCATTTGGATTACCTGGAAAGGTAATTTTTTTTCCTCCTCATTGTGTCCAAAACCCAAAGTGGCATTTTTCCTTTTGTTTCAAGTTAAAAGAGACAAGTATATACAAGAGGAAGACATTAGAGGAATAAAAGGAAACTAAAGTGAGAAAAGAGAGAATGATAGGAGCAGGCAAAGAAAGAGAAGTCTTTGTGTCCTTCCTAAAAATGCATCAATACATTTAATTCAATGCTTGAATCTTTTAATATTTTTCATCCTAATAAAGTAGCACAATGACTTGAATGACTTTAAAAGAGTAACGATGACCTGTTTTAAGTTGTATTAATTTTGATTATGTACTCATATGAGTAAACCCTCATAAAGACAAGAAAAGAAAAGCAACATCGAATTCAAATTGTAGCATGGCTATTTACAAAACCAGTAATCAGAAGATCATATCACTTAAGAATTGAACATTGCTACAAGATTATCTAGCTATCCTCTCATTTATAGGTGAGGAAATTAAGGACCAGAGAAATTAAGGGACCTATTTGTCAACTATTATATAAAGCCAGTACCACATCCTAGAACTCTAGATCTACTGCTTTTCTTACTCAGAATAAGAGAAATAACAGCAGTATTTATGGGGCACCCACTTGCAATAGGGATACTACACTAGTTTAATAGGTAGAGAAAAATAATTGTCTTCCACCAGTAATCAGGAGTTGAACGTTACTGTTAGTGCTATAGTATATATATTTTTTAATTTCTGAAGAACTACTATACTTCTAAAATTCATATTCATTTTGGCTCCAAACAGGAATTCTTTTGTTTGTAAATCTGTTGTTTGTGTTTTTATGTTTTCGATTGACAAATACAAATTGTATATATTTATTATGGACAACATGTCATTTTGAAATATGTAAACATTGTAGAATGGCTAAATTGACCTAATTAATATTTGCATTACTTCACATACTTACCATTTTTTGTTTTATTTTTATTCTAAAAGGATACTCTATCTGTAACTGGCTAAACTAACTTCTGAAAGTGAGTCTGGAGGAAATATATATAGCTATACAATGGAAAGAAAACCTGTATTTACATTCCAGTTAACTTTGGTGGAGTTTTTTGTTTTTGTTTTTTCAGACAGAGTTTCGCTCTTGTTGCCCAGGCTGGAGTGAAATGGCATGATCTCAGCTCACCACAACCTCCGCCTCCCTGGTTCAAGCGATTCTCCTGCCTCAGCCTCCTAAGTAGCTAGGATTACAGGCATGTGTCACCAGGCCTGGCTAATTTTGTATTTTTAGTAGAGACAGATTTCTCTATGTTGGTCAGGCTGGTCTGGGCCTCCCGACCTCAGGTGATCCACCTGCCTCGGCCTCCCAACGTGCTGGGATTACAGCGTTAGCCACCGCGCCCGGCCCTAACTTTGTTTTTAAAGTACAAAAAGGAATGCTTAAATCATATACTATATAGCATCATGGCTTGGACCTTAGTCACCTGAAACTTAAACAAAACAGAATATGTTACTTGAGGGTAAAAGGTTTTGTTAATCTTCCTTAGTAGCAATGTTTCTGTTCTAGAGGATTAGGATGTTTGGTGTAGCCAGGGATCAGTTTCCTCCATCTAGTTTAAACAAAGAAGAAAATATTTTTTGTATGAGAAAATTCCACAATTAATATAACATAACCTATAAACATAACTCTAAGTATCAACACTGACATCACTGTCATTTCATGTTCATATTTCCTGCGTTGCTTGTATAGCAGCAAAGTTTAAAGAGTAGGGACTGCTGAGAGTCTTCTTTTCCTAAACCTCTTAGAGTAGTTGTGTTGTCATTTTAATACATGCACCAAAAAAGTTCATAGTAGGCAGGAACACTAGACAAAGCATACTCTGAATGAGGAGTTGTTGTTTGGTTGCTTGTTTAAATTTTCTCCACACTTCCACAGTTGGGTTGAAACTTAACCATTTCCTTCTATCCAGATGTTATATAGTTATAATATGGGATAATATTATGATAAAGAAATTTTTTGAAATGTTTTGAACTTGTTAAAGATTTATTTCAATGTCTATAAATTGGTATTTATTCACCAGACAAATATTTATTGATCAAATACTTTGTACCATGTACTGTGCTAGGCATTAAAAATATAAGTAGGTAGGCAGGTGGGTAGATAGATAGATATTCTAGCTTTCAAGATATTAAATGCTTAAATTCAGCCAAAGAATGAAAGAATAATCATCAATAAGTTAATATTACTGTTTTTTGCAATATATTAATTGAAAATAAAACCAAATTTCATGTATACCTACTACTGACAGTAGGTATCATTTGTACTGAAGATAGTATACACAAGTTCAAAATAGTCTTTTCACAAATAACTTCGACATTTTGGAACTAAGTTTTACATAGGCTGAAATGCAGAATTTTTTCTGGAGAGCGTTCAAGTGGCAATCACCACATCTCCAAAGACACTTTGCCAGATTTTCATATCATTAGCCCTCCTCTGCAAACCTCAAGGCTCCTAGGTCCTAATAACTTAGATTGTTTTCAGTGTAGGCAAATGCTGTGCCACTGATAGAATTCCTAACAAAGATGGGCATGAAAGATTATCTGTTCCCAATTCATGTAGAACTGAATGATTCTAGACAGCTAGTCAGCTCCAGGCATACGTTGGGGTTCCGATCCATTAAGACTTGAGTGATTGAAAGGCCCACATGGAAGCACAGTGTTTTACTGTTTCCTCTAAGCATATCTGATTACCTTGAGTTCCCCAGGAATCTCATCAAAGATGATAAGCTAACAAGCCTACAGACTGAATTTAGTCCTCAGGCACATTTTATATGGCTCAAATATTTTTTATTTTTAACTGATTACCAACTAAGCATCATTAAAGTATGAAAAAATTTCATTTCTGACTTTCTTTGAAAAATCAGATCTGGCTACATTGGATCCACATTCTCACATATTATCAACTGGCCAGAGCTGAGTAGCACCTGCCCCATTGAAGGGGGAGGAATTCTCCAATATCCTACAGTTCTTGCCAACTCCCATTGTCTTATATTCAGCTTAATTCACATTATTGAGTTTGGAACATTTTGCCTATATTTTCAGGGTTTGAGAGTAATTGGGCTCTAGACTTTATTAATCTCTGGGACTGGGATGCTCAAAGTCTGGGATGCTGATATAGTCAGAAAACTTATATCATTTCCTTTTAGGCAATATAGCATTGGCATAGCACACCCAGCCGGTCTTTTTCTACTTATTTAAGCAGTGTGATAAAACCAGCAAGAAGGGAATGAGACACCACTCCCACACTTTTAATTTTTATACTTGATAATCATCGATTACTAGCTTTTAACACTTTTAACAATTTAAAAGTGACTGCCAAGAAAAATTTCAAAAACTTCTTTATAGTAACTTTGGAACTATTAAAGAAATACTTTTTAATGTGATGATTATTAATTTTATGTATTTCAAATGACTGGCAGATTTCTTTTTAGTTTCTCCTCACAACTTCTGCATCTGCTTTTTTAGTAATAGTTACTGGATTTTAATAAAATACTGATCCTTTTATATTGTTTCCCCTTCTATCTTCTGAATATTTCTGTTCTTTTACAGTTGGTGGTGGCAGGCACCATAATAATTCAGAATATTGGAGGTAAGCAATTGCAAGTGCACTGTTTATACATAAATGTGATGGCAATAATGTCCTTTGAATTGTTATCTTACTACAGATCTAGCTGGGAACTTCTGTAGACATAGCTATCTTCAGAAGCCTGTGTGTTGGCCTCTTTACTCTTTTTTTTTTTGGATCCTTTTTAGCAGCACTTGTGACAGTAGCTTCTAAATTCAGTTTGAGCTAAACCCTGATTGCAGTCGTGTTATTAGGTCTGCAACACACCTCTAAAACATTGGCTTTCTGTGATTCTGAAGGTAGGATACAGTCTGGAAAAGCTCTCCTGGTGATTTTAAAATATTTTCCCTCTACTTTTGTTCTAATCACCCTATTGGCAGATACTACTTTAGAGGGATTAGTGTTCCGTGGGCTGTGAACAAGCAAGTATGGACAACAGTGTCCTCTTGTAACCAAGAATTTAAAATGACCAAGTGGTTTAAAACATAAATAAATCTGAGATAAATAAGCATTCTCACATTTATCCTGTATCTTGTTCCTATTAATAACCAATTCTAGAAATGATCTCAATATTGAGAACTATGTAGAAATAAAACTACTGTTAATTATAGACAGTTACTGAGTAAATGTATTAAACATTTAAATCCAAAATATGGGTATCATGTGTGTATATGTTGTAAAGAAGTTGCGTAGTGCTGAACAATATCTTCGTTTTCTTTTATCATTGACTGGAGTGCTAAATAAATGCTCTTAAAGGAAAATACACAGAAAAGTTTGACATGTACTTTGGATCTTATACAGGATTGTATAGTCAGAGGACATTTTAATCTTATTTTTTACATGTAACAGTTTAATTCAAAGATGACAGTTTTAATAAACTTCAGCTCTCATAATCAAGAGGTCTGAGCTATATCACTTTAAGTATTGTTCAATCAAATTCCATCGTTAATAGGTTTTTTTGGTTAAGGAAAAATTGACATTCCACCAGTGAATTGTGCTGCCATTGTTTTAGAATCCTGTTTTAATTCTTTGAATTTTCATGAAAAAATATGAATAAAAAGAATGCTTTCTTGCATGCCATACCAAATAATTTTCTCCTAACACACACTACTTCACACTTCACAGTAGAAAGTCAAGAAAACCAGTCTCTTCATTTATGAATTTATTATAGTCATTGATTTTAAGATCTATTTTGGAATAATTTATTTAGCAACTAAGTATTGCTTAACTGTGCACTGATAATGTTTCTGAATATGATGTATATTTTTATATTTTTAATCCCTCTTTATCCTCTCTGTATAGATTCTAAGAACTATCACATATTGTTTAGGTTAGATTGAACCATTGTTTAACAGTTTATGTAGACTGTTCAGTTCAGCAATTTAGATCCAAATTTGTGACCCTGGCACAAGGCCCACTGTTGTATTCTTTGTCCCTTTCACCTTGATTCCTTCCTTGTTCTCTAATCTTGTTTATAACTGTTATTGGAGATGGCTATACTGTAGCACTTGGCTGCTACTAGATTTAACTTCTCTGTATGTATGCTCCTGTACCCCACTATATTGTTAAGTTCCTTTAGCTCAAAAGTATGCCTCATTTCTCTTTGTACTCCCAGCACCTATTACACCTGGGAATTGATAAACTTGTTGAGCAGAATAGAGCTGAAATGATTTGTATAATCTCTTTCTAAGTACCTTAAATATTCTAGATATATTTATCAAGAAGAGAAAAGGGAAATGCTAGACCGGCATCTAGCTTCAGGTATTTGAAAGACTGAACATGAAATATAAAAAAGACACTAGACTAATTCAAGTATTGTTCCAGAGGGCAGAACTGGTGCTAATGTATAGAAATCTACAGAGAAGCTGTTTTGGGTTTTCTTATTCGGAGTACCCTTGTAACTAAGCTGTGTGATAATGAGGATGGCCTACATCCCTTTGAAAATGCTCCTTAGCCCTGAAAACATTCAAACAGAGCTGGTTGGTCAGTTGCCAGAATTCTAGAAAGGATTCTTGCATTTGGAGGTGGATAAATCATGAGTTTTCCCAACTCTTAATTTTGTTGGTTTGCTTGCTTGCTTATTTTAGAACTTTTTTTTAAAAAGGTGATTTAGAGTGGTCACAGCAGTTTTTAATGTCCCTTAAATTTAGAAAAGCTAGTAATGCTTATTTAGTTTTTAGAATGATATCCTCATGATTTTCTTCACATTGGTTAAAAGTGTATTAAGTGCCCAGTCAGTAATAACCAAATACATATTTTCAGAGTTTTTTCTGTCTTTTTTCGTAGCCAGATGTACATAAACCATTTCTTTATTATAATAGAATTGGAAGCTTGCTCTTGTGAGCAGAACACTAGATTGGAAGTCAGATACCTTGAATTCTGTCTACTCCAGTCTCTGCCATTGGGTAGCCATGTGTCTTGTGGAAATCCCTCACTCTCACTGTCTTGGCTTCAGTTCCCTCTTTGTTAAATTGTTGGACGGTAGAGTGGGAAGCAGGGAGTTTAAGGTCCCTTCTTACCCCAAAATTTGAATTCAAATTTGGCACATTGGGAGGCATATTAATTATTTTAACGTATTAACGTATTTTATTACAGGAAAGTTCAATGCGAGGGTTATACTTGGTTCAAAAGATGATTTGGCCCTTTCTTAGGTATCTTTAACAAATCAATAACTATTGCCCTAAAAGCATTCATGGATGCTATTTTTTGTCACTAAGCAAAAGGGAACTTCAGTTCTTAGGACTACCCTTTAGAACCTCCTCTTAGGTTAAAGTCTAGGAACCCTAGCCTTAAAAAGTAGTTTCTTGATTGATATATACAGAATCTGTGGAACTTCTAGTCCATGTATGCTTGCAAACAACATACTTATTTGGGAGGATATTTAATATACTGTGTCATTATATTAAATAAGTATATATATATATATACAGTTTTATTATAATAAATAAGTTAATCGTACAATGACCAATGTTACTTCATTAAAATGGATTTTGATTATTTTCTTTATTAATTGGAAATATATTGGATATTTAAAAGATTATATTAAGTGTAAATCAGATTGAATTTTTACACATCTTAAGTGCCTGTCTGCAAATAATGTAGTTCAGATAACTTTTTTTTAAAAGAATGTTTGTTAGTATAAATTATCTGACTTTTGCAGTGGTTGTTTACATTAAAACTGAAAAATAATGTAATAGATTCTATTTAGGTCAAGCACTCTACTAGATACTTTAATTATAACAACTCTTCAATATAGATATTATCTTCATTTTATAGAGAAGAGATCAGTGTGCAGTGGAGATAAGTAGCTTGCTCACATTTATCCCATAATGAAGCTTGGATTCAAACCTTGCTCAGTTGGCCTTTATTCTTTCTGCTATGATATAGCAAATGTTTGAAAAATGTGAAAAGATTAAATGTTGAAGATTTTCTAACTTCTTGGGGACAGGAACTATGTGTTTTTATTTGTTTTCCTAACTTTACCTAGTTTCTGAGAAGAGCTCAATAAGTAGTATTTGTTGAATGAATTGGACAGTTTTTAAAGTTCTGCTTAAAAGCCTAAGATTTTGCCTCAAAGAGACAATTGAATATACTATGTAAGTGATAAAAAAAGAAACTTGAAAGACCATAGAATGACTTCTAGTTTAGAATTATATAAAAATTTAAAAGTTCAAAATACTGGGGAGAGTTAGATCTCATTTATGTAAAATGGGTTAACAATATATTGAAATAGGCTGGGTGTGGAGGCCCACGCCTGTAAGCCTAGCACTTTGGGAGGCCAAAGTGGGAGGATTGCCTGAGCTCAGGAGTTTGAGACCAGCCTGGGCAACATGGTGAAACCCAGTCTCTACTAAAAATACAAAAAATTAGCCAGGCTTGGGGTTGTGTGCCTGTAAGTCCCAGCTACTCAGGTGGCTGAGGCAGGAAAATCGTTTAAACCCGGTAGACGGAGGTTGCAGTAAGCCAAGATCTCGCCACTGAACTCCAACCTGGGCAACTGTCTCAAAAATAATAATAATAATAATAATAATAATATATATATATACACACACACACACACACATATATGTAAAATATCTATTATTTTCAGGTTAAGAAAATCATATCTTAATGTTTCTTAACTCTCTTATTCTTTGTAACATTTAAATACTTCTCAGTTTTCATGAGATACAATTCCTGTGGTGAATCCATGAAAAAAATTGAAATGGAAGGCCTTTAAAAGCAAAATGACCATGGATTGCCCTTGATCAATATTTGTTTCATGTGTCTTTCGCCAAAGACCCAGTTTATTTCCCACATTTCCATATTCCATAAATCAAATTAATGTGCTCATTTATTTACATCCCTAGTACTTAGCACATAGTATACATTTAGTAAATAACATTTATTATAGGAAGAAAGAAAGGACTAAGAGGGGAGAGGGGGAAAAGCTAGTGACCTGGCTTAGTACTCCTTCAAGAGCAAAAAGAGAGTTGATTGACCAGGAAGAGAAAGCCCAGTATATGTAAGTGAGCATATAGTTTTTAGGAAAGCGTCTACTGTTAGAACTTCACAGAAAATCGTTTTTCTCCCCCAAGATTAATCAGGCACCAAGTATTAGTCACAAGGCTCTAGTGTGGTCTGACAAATTGATTGAAAAAATCTACTGTCTGTAAATCTCTAAATTTTATAATGGAAAAAAATGCAACACACTAGATTTAACACTCTTATTCTAAGGTTATAGAAATCCTTGGCTTTGGAAATTTGGGAACCATATAGTAAATTACTACTTAAAAGCAATTCCTGATATCTTCCCAATACTAATGAATAACAGGCTCAACATTGGCTAGAGCCAGAGGTAACCCTCTGCAGCCCATTTCCTCAGGTGCTGGAGTAGCATTTGTTGAGAGCCACTGCTACTGGGACCCAAAGTCAGAAAAGATGTGTCTGGAAGTTTTAACATTTAATGCTGTTATAGGGGACAATTCTGGCTTAGAGAGTTTGAATTTGGCAGCCTAACTAAAGATAAAAGATTAATAACTGTAGTAGAAAGTAAGTATAAGGTAGTTTTCACATAGTTCCTGTAACAGTGTTGTATTATGTGATTCTTTTCTTAAAAACTAAGGTAAGTAGTTGGTTTCACATTCATTTGAACTCCTGAAGTAAACCATTCAGTAGGCTAGAATTATCACTAGAAATCAAACACTACATCCCAATCATCTTCTTAGTCAAGCCAGAAAAAGTCTTATTAACTCTTACAAGCACATGATAACAGTGAAGTCAATTGATGTTATTTCTGGTTTCACAACTTGCCCAATTCAAAATGTGGAAAGATGAGTAGCTCCTAGGGGGATGTTATATTCTTATTTTGCTCTTATAAATATGAAGGATTACTATGAATAGCATATGCTTTCCTTAATTCTTCAAAGCCCCAGTTCTTTAAAGGAGATTAAAAATTTAATCATTACTACGTTTTGTGAAAGGAAAACCATAAACATTAGTAGTCTTACTGAAACCTCCTGAAATTGCTAGAATGACCCAGATGTTTCAGTCTGGCACAGAATCCACACACCTTACTCTTGCAGCCTTTATTAACACCTCAGTTTGGTAATCTATGGACTCGGGTAACCCCATTTCTAAATCTCAGAAAGGTATAAATAAGATCATTTTCAATTGAGAATTATAAAAATCTCAAATTCTCAGTATTTGAAAAATTCACAATATTAGATGCTAGAAACTACTTGGATTTGCTTTCTTCCTGTATATTCATTCATGCATTTTATTTATTTACTTTTTGGTAGGCTAGTAAAGTACTAAGAGTGTTTCAGATATACTAGTTTGTATTGTCTCTTGGGAAACTAGGATTGGGCGCGCAGATACATCGCCATCTGCTGGTCAGTTTATCTGTGGTGAAACTGCAGCTTTCTTGAGACTTGTCTAGAAATTCTAGAAAGCACTGCCTTAGAATAGGAGAGGTACAGGAAATTTGGAGAGTCTTTTTCACAAGCACTTCATTTGACAACATTTACTGGTAGTGTATCTTTTTTAAGGTTTTGAAAATATTTTTCATAGTAATTTCTATTGAAAATTATAAAATTTTCAGAACAGTAGATATTTTGGTCATTTTTTAATCAAATTTAAGATCCTGAAAATGATAAGACAAAGATATACATTTTTTTCTAGGGTCATGGGGGAGCATTTTCCCCCATATATTTTGATTTTCATTTATGCATGTGTTCTGTACTATTTGAGTGCATATAGAACTTCAGTGGCATTTAGATATTTTGTGGGACCACCAGATTAATGAGACACATTGAATAGAATAAACCAGTTAGTATCCATGACTAAAAACATGTTTGAAATAAAATTGAATCTCTCTGAGACAGAAAGGCAAACTTATTTTTTCCCCGTAGCACATCCGTTTGTTTAGGGCTGAGTAATCCTTTAAGAATTGCTGAACTTCCCCCAAGTGCTGAAAACCTAATTCTGTTTTAAAAATAGCTGTAAGTAATTCTGTCCTCATACATATATTTTACATGTTTAACAAAAAAGATTCTTATCTTCATAAACTGTAATGATGTCTTAGGCCCAAACTCCAATTAGGGTTGGTTTGTTTTTTTTAAGTTTGTATGCTTAATAACGACAACTTGGGAAGCATTTTCAGAGTGCTGCGAAAAATAACTCATAAGAATACAGTATTTGGAAGCACAGAGACTGATTTTTATTTTTTGGATTTCAGTGGAGTGTTAATATTTCAAATACGTGAGAATAGGAAACTTCCTCTTCAGAACTACAATCACAGCCGTAAATACAGTAGAGTCATAGCAGTAGATGCAATAGAATCTCATCATGAAACTCCATGAATTTTGAACTAATCACATCACCAAAGGAGCTCCAATACTGAAAAATGAAATACATTGAAAATATATCTCAAGATGAAATGAAAATTCTAAGTGTTACTAAAGCTTCTGACTAATGTTCTCTGTGATATTCATTTCCTTTGAAGTCAACTGTTAATCTCAGCATTCAAAAGTAGTTTGTTTAAATACTGATTTAAAAAAGAAAAATAATTCTGAAGAGTGGTACTTCTGGTAGACTTTCCTTATTTGTCTTTGTTTTGTTGGTTTACTTTTTCACTTTGCTCCTGCACTTTCTCATGGCATACTAGTTAATAGAACGAGTTTCTCAACCCAGGCGGGCTGTTTGCACCATCACTAGCTTGGGCAAGTTACTTCTTTGTGCTTCCTTATATTCTGTGAAATAAGTAATATGTACCTCACAGGTTTGTGTAAAGATTAAGTGAGGAAATAACTTGTGTAGAATACTACCAAGCATACAGTAGGCATCTAAAAAACAAAGATGTTAGCTGTTTTCATGGATCTCTGCCCAGAGTCCCTTCCCTGTTTCTGTGTTTCTAACATCTCTCCTCTCAACCTCCCGGGCCCAATTCATTTATTTCACTTTATAATTAGATCAGCAGATATTAACACCTTGCAACTTGCTATTACCTAATCAGATTTTACCCCATTTTAGTCACTTTTTAATATTACTGTTGCTTCTCCATGTTGTTTTTAAAGAGTGCTTTCAACTTCTGTGTTTTCAGTTGACAGATGTTTTATTTTTTCCCAGAGAAGTTTCTATTAAATGAGTTATATTAGTTTAAAATTAAGTAGAAAAGAATACCTATTTAGTTAATGTGCTAAAACTAAGTGATTTATAATGGCTGAATACCTGACATCAAGGTATATCTTCTGGCACTGATTTTGGCTTTGGTGGTTTGGGGCCACTTAACTATATGCATGGCTCTTGTGGATGACCCAGTTGCAGCTATTAATTTAGAGTAGAACATGGTGTGTCTTGTTTTAGGAATCTATACTAGGTGTCCATGTCACCCAAAATCATTTGCAAATTTTTGCTTATGATTGGTCTGTAAGATAAGTGCTTAAACACTTTCTTATGCCATTTATAAAAGACATAAGACAAAAACTGTGGCAGACAGCTATTTGATCTAGTAAACCTTTTAGTTAAAAACAAAGGCAATATGAGCATTCCTATCAATAGTATATCTTTAAAACTTTTCCAGTTCATTTTATTGAGCTGATTGTTCTTTTGTATGAATTTAATTAAGATATATTTCCTAACTTAATGTGTATTTGGTAATCTTTTTGTTTCTTTTCTGTATTATATATAATATAATGTGTTAAAGTGCTAGCTAGTTCTTACATGAAAGTTTACTTGTGATTAAGAAAAAAATAATTTTCATAGTGAATAGAATGGTGGTGGCCTTTGTTTTACTGGCTTAATCCGTGTGGGTTTTCCCCTATAGTAAGTTCTGTGGTTGTATACTCTTAAAATATATACTAACATTCTCTAGAAAAGAAGCAATGTTTTGCATGTTTTATTATATTTGTATCTTGTATGTGAGGTCTTCTTTGAGAGAGAAACACGTTTGGTGAGTTCATATTTCTTAAAATATACATGATTCTTCAGACTGGAATCTAATGAAATAGTACTCCCATTTGAAAACCAAAGAGTTGAGGGTACAACAAAGGATAAAAGTGATCAGATGATTAGCCAGGGGCTAATAGAAATTCTGGAAAGAATGACAGATATTATATTAGAAAGAAATAGGATCTCATATTCACTGAAGCTTTCTACAGCTAAAGGTCCAAAAGAAATAATAGAAAATTACTGAAAGAGATGAATGTCTGAAACTTTAGAAATGCATGTGGTGTTGGATTAATCCAAGCAAGAAAGAAAGATGGGCAGATAATAAATTACATTTTATAGGAAGTCTGCTTTCCTTGTTTTCAAAGTATTTTGTCTTTTTTCTTTTCTGTCTCTCTCACAAGATATATTTAAGTAAGTCTAGGCCGGTTTCAGAAAATTCAGTTCACAATTTTTATCTTTGCACCATATGTGTAGAGTTCTTTGGAATCGGTAAAATATTATAAAAACTCCAAATCCTTGAATGGAGAAGGTTAGTCTAAACCTTCCTTCTGTTCTGTGCCAAATTGATAGCATTTTTCCTTACGAGAATATGAACAATACAGAACACATTTTCACATACAATCAGTTGTAATACCCCATAACTAAAAGATTTTGCAGAAATGTCTCAGTGGATTTTAGTCAACCCACTGAGACATAGCTGTACTTCTGCTAGGGAAAAAGAAATCGTTGTAAACTGAAAAAATATGTATATGTATATTTTCATCACAGAGAAGTGATTATTTAACTGTTCTAAATTTTACTTTGACATAAATACATGTTATTTTACTAAAAAAAATTGAGAGTGTATGTTTTTGTGTCTATAGTATTATCTATCTCCATACAAATTTACACGCAAAGTAGCATGTATCCTTTTTTTCCTCAAGTTAAATGGTCACATAGCATTGTAATCATGAAGTTCAGCTCCTTTCAAATGATGTTGATTGAGAAATATACATTCTTCTTAAACTATTTGAGCCTTTTAATCAATTTTTCCCCAGATTTTTGCCATTGAAACTTGACTTTCATTTTTGTTCTTAGCTTTTGTAAGTTTTGTAAGGAGAAAGTGAAATGTTTCCTGATATATAAATAAGTAATAAAATTAATGTGCACACAAAGTATACTCTTTATTCTTTTTTTTTTTTTTTTTTGAGGTGGAATTTTGCTCTTTCACCCAGGCTGAAGTGCAGTGGTGCAGTCTCGGCTCACTGCAACCTCCGCCTTCCAGTTTCAAGCGATTCTCCTGCCTCAGCCTCCCAGGTTAGCTGGTATTGCAGGCAACTGCCACCACGCCTGGCTAATTTTTGTATTTTCAGTAGAGACAGGATTTCACCATGTTGGCCAGGCTGGTCTCGAACTCCTGACCTCGTCAACCGCCCGCCTTGGCCTCCCAAACACTCTTTGTTCTTCATGGGCGTTTCCTTTTTGGCCCCAACACATACACACAAACATAATCTCTGGGAGGAAAGAGAATCTTACTCTGTTAAATTGAAGTTCTGACTACAAATCTTCTGAGTTTCTATATATTTAAGCTTAAACTCAAGTATTTACATATGAATGAGTTCTGTATTCTGTAACCATATTAAAACTTTTCCTAGTATTTTTATAGAATTTGTTTTTATAGCTACATCAGAATTAGGATCGTTATTAAAGTGCTATAAAAGGTAGTTATTTATCGGACTCTGTTAGATTAAATGTGAGAAATAATGCTAGCTTCAGGTTATGATTACATAATATAGATGAACCCTGTTAATAAAATGGAATAAAAGTTGGAAGTTTTGTCTTTTTAATATATTTAATGGTTTATATTGAACTTTCTCTAATCTTTTTAGAGACTAATTTTAAATGTAATTCATTATGTATTCTTTTTTATCCTATAATTATATGTGTTCATAATGCAGGGGTGGGTAGTAGAGAGAGGAAAAGAAAGGGACAGAGGGAATGAGACTTCTCTGTTGTGGGGAGGCATCTTTCTCTAGTAAGAAGGAACAGATAATCCAGTTACTAGCCATACCTATTAAACTTCTGTGTCTATGTCTGTTGTTGCTAAACTAACCTCTAATGCCTTAGACGGAGTGATAACATATAAGAGAGTTTTTGTAAAACTTTGTACAAAATTTCATTTAAAAGTAGCCTGTAATCAAGACTGTTTCTCTTACCTAGTTTGCTTTGGACTTGAAATGTAAACAAAAGATACTTAATGAACTTAACAATTGTTATTCTTCTCTACAGTTACTTTTCTGTGTGTGTGTGTGTGTGTGTGTGTGTGTGTGTGTGTATGTATCTTTGGTATAGTGTGTTATATGTTAATCTTCCATATGTTGTCATAGCTCTAATGGACATCTCTTTTCCTAGATGGATTATTGTTTAAATGGTTAAGAATCATAGAATTCTAATAGGAACACTATTTATTCTTTTGCAGCTATGTCATCTTATCTTTTAATTATTAAAACAGAGCTTCCTGCTGCTATTGCAGAATTTTTGACTGGAGACTATAGTAGGTAAGAAAAAGTATTTTACATTGTGTCCGTTCATGTATTAATTTGATAAATATGTATTAAGCTGTAAATGGCAATACTTGTAGTGGCAGGTAAAATAAATGTAGTCCTTGCCCTCAAGACAGTTACAAATTAGGCAGAAGTGAAGCAGTAATAGAATAGAAACTACTCAGCCAATGTTTGATTACCCATATGAAAGCGCTGTTCTGTGAACCATATGAAGCACCAGATATAATCCTTGCATTCCTTGGGGGTGTGAGATAGGCTAAGACAGGTCTGAGATTGAGATGCTCTTAAGGAGGAATAAAGGGTAAATTTCTGGGGATATGCAAGACACAGGTTGGGGATGGGAGAAGGTTGAATATACTGACAGTACGGGTCTTAAACAAAGGAGGGGAGTGAATGATATTGCTGTCATTTCTCAGCAAATCATAGTGATAAAAAATGTGGCAGTTACAACTATACCTGTTTGAAATTCCTATTATATACCATGGCAAAAAAATAAATTATTTGCAAGGACTTAATTGTTTCATTTCCTGTTTTTGAACAATATTATAAACAATACTAAACTACATTGTATCTCTTTTATCTTTCTTTAAAAAATGCATCTTACATTTTTGACTCACCTCTTTATAGGGAAAAAACAAAATTAATTGTACTTTTCACTGTGTAGAACAAGAACATTCTAGAAAAAGGAACTTGAAAAGACAGAATAAATCATTTTAATTGCCATCAAGTTATTTCACATAGTTAAGTTTCAAACCACAGTACAAAACCTGTCAGACTTTTAGATTTGAATACTGGGTTGTTCTGCTTCAATAATTGAACTTGTTCTGGAATGCAAGGAAAGGTTTCAAAAATTAGTTTTTAGCTTTTACATTTCAGCTTCCATTAAAGAATTCTACTTAGACAACTGCAAATACATATTTGTAAGAAAAGTGTGGTGTACTTTAGATCTGAATAGAAACCATCAAGAAAATGTAGTTAAAAAAAGACAAGTAGAAGTCCTAAATGATTTCTCTTCATCAGAAGATATTGTTCCTTTGTATGATACTTTACAGTTAATGAGGTTTCCACATGCATTATCACATCTGATACTCAAAACTACCTTATTTTATCTACAGCTTTATCTAGTTACATTTTGATTTTATGCTTAGGTTGATAAACAATTCCTATAAGAAATAGCTATGTGAAATTCATTTTTGTATCTGCTGTAAAAAACATTGAGGGCACCTTCTATTACTCAAATTCTATGTGAGAAATTTATATTTTAGGGTTAAGAACTCAAGGCAATATGAGGTAGAATAAAGAGGGCTAGACTAAGAGTAAGGAGATATGTGTTCTATCCATTTAATATTCAATAATCTCAGGAACTTAATTTAACTTCTTTTGACTATATAAAGTACTTGGAGCCTTAGGTTTTTTTATGTGATATAATGGGGGTACCAATATTGCCTTCTCAATAAAGTTGCTGGGATGATCAAGTAAGATATATATACACATGCTAATAGCATGTGTATAAACAAGCATGTGTGTACACAAACTTACAGCACAGTGTGGAGAATTAAGGAATTCTAATAATTACTATATTAAACGTGGTGTTTCCCTTTTTGCCCTGACTGCCAGGAAGCTCAGAGTCAAATGTGACACATTTGAATTAATATAACTGTGTTAATTCCAACAGTTGTCACAAGTGTTTTCTTTTTTCTTGATCCTGAATTTGGTGGCTCCTATTTATATTCTTTTATTGTCATATGTCGGTGGAAAGAGGAGGGATTAGAAATATATGTAATATTTTAGAAATAATTAAAGTAGTATGTGGCAGAACTGGTATTGAAATTTAGGTCTTCTTTCTCTAAAAGTGATATTTTTACCGTAGCTTCATTTTAAATAATTGGCAAATGATTTACATTGTTGCATTGATTTTTTTGTTTTTTAAATAAAAATTAAAATGAACTTCCATCTCATTCATATTAATAGAAAATTGATTAAAATGTTATTTTTACATGTTAGAAATACATTTTTAAAATCATATACTTCAAAATACTGTGGTCAGTTTGCATCATCTCTGTTATGTTTTAAAATTGTACATCTTTTTAACAACCTTATCTTGTTTTAAATGTAATATATATTCATTTATTTTTGGCTAATTATATTAACTTACTTGAATGCAGATAAATCATTAGTCTTGAAAGCTTGATGCTAGAAAATAAGTAAGAAACAAAATATGATAATTGACTTTACTATCCATAAAGGACAGTTTTTTTCTAGATAGACTTACAGTAGGCAGTATTTCTTCTATGAGAGAAACATGATATTGATAAGCTTTTATTTTAGGGTTTGATATACAATAAATTTTAATTAAGATCTTTCAGGTATGCTAATTTTCTGGGTTATCTGCGAGCTTGGTGTACCTTTGAAATATAAATCTTTATAAAGATATCAGAATGAAACTGTGTTCATAATATTCTAATAGAAGTCAGAAGCTATAATACTTATACTGAACTTTCATGATATATCTATATATTTCATAGAATAACTTACATTTTTAAAATCTGTGGCTGTTAAAGTTGGAAGCTCTCTGTTAACATTTAATGATCTTGTCGGGGAATATGATTGACACAATTAAGTTGTCTTGCATTTTAGTTACATAATTGATATGGGATGTGAGTAAGATCCTAATTCAGAACATATGATACTCTTGTTCCATTCCTTTCGAGAATGAAATTAAAGCGACTTATAAATAAATCTGGTTTTCATTAAAATATGGAAAAAAACATCTGCATGCCAAAGCATTTGCAATACAGCTAAGGATTTATACTCTATATTTCATACTTGGAACATTTTTATCATACAGGATTAAATCCACAGATCAAACAAGTTCTCTAGGAAGTATAAAGGTTTTTACTCTAATTCTTTTGGCTTAAAGAGAATGTATATTTAGATCACAGTAGGAAAACAGGAGTTCTGTTAGATCGTTCTTTATTCCCCCCTTAGGAAAAAATTAAAGTTAGTACATTCTTCTGAAATGCTTATTTACAAAATAAATGTATTTAATATGTACTTTTTGAGATTTCTTTTTACTAGTTTGTTTTTCTCAGGCAGCAGTTTTATTTTGTAAGTTTAATAATTTCTGTTCTTTAGAAAATATCCATTGAGAAACACAATTCATTTGTCTGTGACACACATGTGAAATCTAAACTAATTTTACTGTGCTTTACTGTGTTGCCTTTATTGTTAATGAATGGTAAAGAAAAGCACTGTATTTAAAATTGGCTTTATTAAGATGAATTATTAAGGATAAGAAATGATTAACGATAACCAGTAGCCAAGACAAGGATAGAGAAATTACATTTTACAGTATAATTATTTTTATATTAAGAATTTAAAGTTCAATCCTATGAAAAGGAGAATGCAAAGCATGATCTTGAAATAAATGAGGTAGTATCTGAAAGTATTTCCATTGCTACTGTCACCTTCCTTTTGCTGATTTTACAGACATATAAAATGAAGTTGTTGAGCCAGATGATCTCTAAGGTCTCTTCCAGCTCTAACATTCCATAACTGTGATTCTGAGTTACTGCTGGGAGGAGGTAAAGTTATCTTCAGTCCCACAGTTCAGTGCTTTGGTCAGTTATATGACTTTTATGGACATAAATGAATTGTGATCTGAAATAGTATAAAGTAACTGGTGTACAGAATTTCAAAAAGTGTTCCTTTATTCCTGTGCAAGAGAAAAGAGTCCTGGTCCTGGGGATTAAATGCTCCCTTTTGTACAACTTTAGCTTCGTGACATTTTTTTTTCTTTTAAAGAGTGAAATTGGCTTATAATAATTTTTTGTTTTATTTTATTACGGTAAGAACACTTGACATGAAATCTGCACTCTCAACAGATTTTCAAGTGTATAATGCGGTATTGTTATCTACGAGAGACAGCAAAACTAACAGATGGAATCTCCTTTGGTACTCCTTTGGGCATTTTTCCTCCTGGCACTGCAACTGTCTGGGTCTAACATTGGGTCCCAGAAGGAAACACATTTCAGACATAGAGCCCTGGGCCTTTTGCCAGCTTCAGAAATTTGGTTGCCAGGTGTTCCTCAATGAAAGATCTTTTGAAGTTTCTGTTTTGATTCTTACTCAAGAGTGACTAGAAGATAAACACGTTGAGTATCATTTTTGTATTATTGATATGTGTACTCTTTTAGTACTTCCTGCATACCAGGAATTGAGGGGCATGTGCAAATGGAGAGAGCAAAGCTTCAGGTCCACTAAAGCTGTAAATACTTATGCATAGGTTATAGTTTCTGGCATATGTATTTCCTAATGATACAAATTAGGGTGGAGAAGGGAAAAGTGTCATCATGGTGCTGTTTCTGCAGCTGCTCCTTCTCTTGTTCTGTTAAAGAGGAAGTTGTCAGCACCCAACAGTAACAATTAAGTTCATGTTAGAAGCCACTGGTTGAAATCCATGTAGAAGACCTTTGCCTAATTTAACATGGCAGTGGGAGACTGGTATCTGGCAGAGAATGAAAGAGGATGCGTTATTGCAAAGTGGGAATTTTGAGATTATCTACCAAACAATTTGAAAAAGTCCCTATTGGTCTTTGATGCCCCAAGCTCCCATTTTTGCATAAGTTTTACTTTGTTACTATTGTGCGTGTGTATGTATGTGTATACACTTAAGTGTAAATATCTGACAGCTACGATAAAGAAAATTGAGAAAAAAAAGCAAAGAAAAATCATGCATAACATCTCTAACCTAGTCACTGTCCTTTTAATTCTTTTGAATTTTTCGCAAAAGCTTTCAAAACTATAGTTAATAATTATATTTATATCATCATCATTTTCCATTTTATTCATTGTGTTTTTTCTTAAAGCCACGTAACATTCCATTGAGTATGCTGTTCTAAATATTTTCAAATGTTGGGTATATAGAGTTTTCCTCCAGCTTCTCAATATTATAATAATATATTCAACAGCTTCACATACATAGAATTTTCTCTATTTTATTTTCTTAGATTGCCACTACATTTTTATTGCTCTTGCTACATATAATCATTGTTTTTCCAAGAGATAGTACTAATTGGCACGATCACTAGCAATGTATGAAGTCCAGTTGTGCCACATCCTTGAATATTTTTGTTTACTAATTTTGCTAGATTAATTGAAACAGTCTCATTATTTCTTTAATTAGCACCAGTGATTGGATTTTCTTCATGTGTATTTACTAGTTGTATTTCTTTCATGAATTGTTTCTCCTTTGCATACAAATCTATTGAGGTCTTGGGAATTAACTTTAACTTTTAAAAATGTCTACATATGTATCTCACATATTGCTCATATTGCTATCACATAAAAATATCTACTTTTTGGTATTTTAAGTATATCCTTCTGGCTTTATATGTGCATCCAGTTTTGTTTTTTTCAATGAACAAATACAAAATCACGTTAACCTACCTTTTTCTCATTCTGTATTCTAATGCCTTTATATGAAAATTTTAATATTTTACAATTGGTGATTAATGCCCTTTCCTGAAATTTGGAAAAATGTATATAGAAAACTATAAAGAAGAAAAATGACCTATTATTTTACCACCCAGAGATAATGGCTATCAATATATTTTAGTTCCTTTCCATTTTTAATGCATCCATGTTTTTCCTCAAAATTATCATGCTATATACACACAAATATATGATGTTTACTGAATATTCAGTATATTGTTATTTCAAAATTATCATGGTCTTGGAGGTTTGTTTTCAATTTTTATTATTTTAAATGTTTTCAGTAAACATCTTTTTATAAAAGTCTTTGTTCTTCAGGAACAGAAAACCAAACACCGCATGTTCTCACTCGTAAGTGAGAGTTGAGCAATGAGAGCACATGAACACAGGGAGGGGAACATCACAGACTGGGGCCTGTTGGTGGGTGGGGGCAAGGGGAGGGGGAGCATTAGGACAAATACCTAATGCATGCAGGGCTTAAAACCTAGATGACGGGTTGATAGGTGCAGCATACCACCATGGCACATGTATACCTACGTAACAAGCCTGCACATTCTGCACATGTTCTACGGAACTTAAATAAAATAAAAATTTACAAAAAGTGTATGTTCTTATTATTTTTAATAGTCTTTTATAAGTGTTTTCAAGTATATAATTATTTGAAAATTCTTTATATCTATTGCCAAATTGCTTTCCAGAAAGGTAATTTATATAATTTGCATTTTCACCAGCTTTTTACACACCTCATCACTCCTCACTAATGTTGACTATTATCTTATTTTTAAATATTTATTAATTCAGTAGTTGGAAATGGCATCTCTTTGTTTTTATTCATTTCTAAATGTCAATTCATTAATAAGAAAAATAGGATCCCACAAGAACATTTTAATGAAAGGAAGTAGGCTTTTCCTAATAGCTGGTTGTAATGGTTATAACTCTGTGTGTGTGTGTGTGTGTGTGTGTGTGTGTGTGTGTGTGTGTGTGTCAGAACAAACACTGGAGTCCCATGCCTAAAGTAGAACTTTTTTTATAATAGATATTGGTATCTTGATGGACAAACACTACTAATAATCATATGTGTTGGCATTGTGTTCCCTCTTGCACTTCTTCCCAAAATAGGTAAGTCTTTATAGAGCACATTATTTGTTTAGAAAAAGGAAAGAAGGGAGGGAGGGAAAGAGAGACAAATATTAAGGGGCTTTAAAATTTCACAGTACCACATTTTTGGCAGAAGGATGGTGGTTGTGTATAATTTTAAACTTGGCCTTATTTTAGGTTGTTCAGCCTTCAGCCCTGCCTAGTTAACCTATTACTTGGTTTGCAGTAGTATTTTGTCTGCCCCACTAAAATAAAATCTTTACAGCGGAACATTAAAGAGCAGCCTTTCCTTACAGTGTACCATTAGTGGTAAGCCAGTTCCAATTCTGCTGTACAGAGCTACATAAATGATCTGTGACAGATAGTTGGAATGTTGTTATTCTGAGCCCTAAGCCCCAGATACCAACCACTATAATAGAAAACATGCCTAAGATGTATAGCTTTAGTTGTACGTTAAAATCGCTTTCCTTATAAATTGCTTTTTATTTTACTGTTATTTTACAGGCTTTCTTGGCTACACAAGTAGTTTATCATTTTTCTTTATGATGTTCTTTGCTCTTGTGGTAAGTTTAAAATATAATACATTGCTTATCTCCTCACTAAAATTGGACTCATTGTGTTAGTCTTTTTTACTTTTAACTGTTTTGTGTTGGGAAGGGTATCTCATTTTATTTCACTGTGTTATTAAAAGCACTTTTGTTCCATTAAATTATTTCCTTCATTGTATCTATTTTGAAGAGGCTTAGCTAGAACAGCATTTCAAATTCAGCATTTCTTGTGGTTAACTAGAGAGGAGAGCGTGCCAATTCTGTTAAAATCCTAGATGGAGTGTAATTCTTTGTGTAGGTGTGTAAATTTATTCCTGTACCATACTGTATGAAGAATCAGTCTGGTTCTAATCTGTAAAATCTGTTTGAGACTAGTCATCTTAATTTTGAAACTTTATTCCATTAATAAAAAAACAGAGCTTCTGGTACTACATTGAGGAGATCTAGTAAGAACTGGGTTGACTGAATTCTATTTTGTCTGGTTTATTCAGCATAGATAAATTCTCATAAAAACACTACTACAAATATTTTTCTTCACATGTGGGATATATTCCTTATTTTTTAATTAGCTCATTTTTATTATATAAAAATATCAGATGGTAAATTTAACTTATTTTGATATTATAAAATAATATAAAGATAAGAATTTAAATTTATTTCCTTCTAATTCTTCTAAAACATCTTAACATTCTAAAGATAGTACCTTTGTGTGAAATTTTTTAAGTCTTTTTTCTTTGTATAGCAGTTTATTCCATAATCAGTATCTAAATGTCAAACCTTAAGTAGAAATAAACATTTTTAACTTTCCAAGAATATACATGTCCAAATGAGCTTTTCATAAGCTTGGTTCAACTCTTTCTTGTTTTTGAAAATGCATGAAAGAAACAGCCATATGTAAGAGCAGAACAGCACATCAGTAGTTAAGCCATATTAAAGATCCAGATTTCAAAGCTGTCAAAACAACCTAGGGTGCATTTAACTTAGGCTAAGCTATCTTCTGAGACACAGGGATAAAATAACTTTAAATTATTTAAACAAAGTGGAAGTGACTCTGATTTTAGTATATATAAGCATTTATTCTCTATTGAATGCTCTTAAAACTAAAAACATTTAACAGTGTTTACATTTAATCATTTGTTGAATTTAACAACATTAAAATCATTCCTCTTCTTCTCTCCCCAGTTGTCTGACTTATATCTTACAGATAAGTGAATTGAACATACACTTTGTAGGCTCCATATTGAAAAAGAAAAAAACTAAATATTTCCATCATCATTTGATTGTTGAGAAGTGTGGTTAGAAGTGGCCTACATATGCAAATGAATGTATGGATATTAAAGAGAATCAGTATAGATAACATATTGAATTTTTCTCTCACAGATAATTGGCAATGCAATCATTGCATAGATAGGAGTAATTTAGTTTTCATAGCCAATAGCTTAAAGCAGGTTAAATGTATTGATATGATATGTCTACTGTAGTTTTGTTTCTGTCATGACAGATACTCTTTAATTCAATGCAGATTTCTAATGTAGCAGCCATATGGAAATAATACCCATATTCTACATTTATTGTAATGCCTTATAAACCATCTGCTCAGATTTTTACCTGTGAGCACAGTTTAATCTACAGTGGGGCAATGAAGAATACTCTGTATGCTTTTTTAAATACTCTTTTTAATTGGCATGTTTATTTTATTATTTATTTATTTATTTATTTTGAGACAGAGTTTTGCTCTGTCACCCAGGGTGGAGTGCAGTGGCACGATCTCAGTTCACTGTGACTTACATCTCCTGGGTTCAAGCAATTCTCCTGACTCAGCCTCCCAAGTAGCTGGGATTTCAGGTGCATGCTAATTTTTTTTTTTTTTTTTTGTATTTTTAGTAGAGATGGTGTTTCACCATGTTAGCCAGGCAAGTCTTGAACTCCTGACCTCAAGTGATCCACCCACCTCGGCCTCCCAAAGTGCTGGGATTACAGGCGTGAGCCACCGTGCCCAGCCACCATATTTATTTTAGATTCTCTGAATGTTATCTTTTAAAATACATAGTGGTTAGGAAAAGGAAACGTATATATATTAACCCAGAATTTTGGAAGGATACCAGTTTTTCATTTATTATTCTTGTCAATATGTGTTTGTAAATATGTATAGCATTTATATCATATTTTTTAAAAATCAGTTCAGGAACTATTATTTTCTTATATTCTTTGAATAATATAAACTAAAACCTATATTTTATCTGTTCTCCCAGATCTGTATTTTCATTAAAAAAATTTAACCTAAATTTTTGCCCCCTCTAAAATATTTTGCAATTTTAAAAATAAATTATATCTGTCTCAGAATGATACCATCAAGATGGATTTACCTTTTTTTGGTAAATTTACTTTTTTTTTGGTGTATTTTAGAGCACAAGCGGATTACCATTCGTTCTAAAAGTTCTATCTTAAGTACAGATTAGTATTCTAAGCAACGTTTTAATACGTCGGTAATCCAGTTAGACAACTTTTTTTTTTAAGAGACAGAATCTCACTCTCTCCAGTCACCCAGACTGGAGTGCAGTGGCATGATCATAGCTCACTGCAGACTCAAACTGCCGGGCTTAGGTGATTCTTCTGCCTCAGCTTCCTGAATCACTAGAACTACAGCTGCATACCACCACGCCTGGATAATTTTTTTTTTTTTTTTTTTGAGATGGAGTCTCACTCTGTCACCCAGGCTGGAGTGCAGTGGCGCCATCTCGGCTCACTGCAAGCTCCGCCTCCCAGGTTCACAGCATTCTCTTGCCTCAGCCTCACGAGTAGCTGGAACCATAGGCACCCGCCACCACGCCTGGCTAATTTTTTGTATTTTTAGTAGAGACAGGGTTTGACCGTGTTAGCCAGGATGGTCTCGATCTCCAGACCTCATGATCCGCCCGCCTGGGCCTCCCAAAGTGCTGGGATTACAGGTGTGAGCCACCGCGCCTGGCCAGATAAATTTTTTTTTAAATGTTGGTAGAGACAGAGTCCCATTATGTTGCCCAGGCTAGCCTTGAACTCCTATGTTCAAGTGATCCTCCCACCTTGGCCTCCCAAAGTGCTGAGATTATAGGCGTGAGCCACTGCACTGGCCTGAAATAGAGAATTATTTAAATGGTTTTTAGTCAGAAGCTTTGCTTCTACTGAACACTATGTTAGGCATTTTAGGATGTGGAAATTTAACCTGGACACTAGTCTTAAGGATCTGTCAATCTAGTAGGGGAGATAAATTTCTTTTCAAACATGGAGAACAGTGTGTGCAATATATAAATAAGTATTGATATATTTGCTTCAGAATAAGAGTCTCAAGAGTTGAGAGGAGAGAAGGCTCACTGAGAGCTAGAGTAAAGAAGGATTTTAGAGGAAATACAACTTGAGTTGAGCCACAAAAGAAGCAAAGGGCTTAGAGCAGAGAGAAGGAAGGGAGGCCTTTTGTGCAAGTGAACAAATATTTTTAATACTTAGTCTCCTTTTTCCCTTTGTCATTCCAACCCCAAGACTTACCTTCTTACCAACCTAAGCAAGGACTTCCTGTTAATCTTTCCTCTCTGTTGTTGGGTCTCGTTTCACTCCCGTTCTGTACTTCTGCTTTGTGGGACATCATCTCTATCCACCCCATACCACCATACAGGCTTGGAGTTGGGATGGATCTTTGCAGAGAAATTAGCTGTAGTAACTGAACTGTCTATTAATATAAAATCAGGCTACTTCTTATTTTTTTCAAATTAATAAAAATTAATGATAATATTGCACTTTGGAGCATTGCTTTGAAATATTTTGATTTGAAAGCTTAAGAAATAACAACTGATAAATGAGGCAGCTCACATACAGAGTTTATCTAGGTACCTGGTGCACAGCAAGTCCTCAGTAAATGATTTTTTCTGCCAACACTACCACTGTTAGTTAGGGGAAAATATAAGAAACTGAATTTGGGCCTGTGCAGTGGCTCACGCCTGTAATCCCACACTTTGGGAGCCTGGGACAGGCGGATTACTTGAGCCTAGGAGTTTGAGACCAGCCTGGGCAACATGGCAAAATCTATTCTCTACAAAAAACACAAAAATTAGCTGGGTGTGATGGCCACACACCTGTAGTCCCAGGCACTCGGGAGGCTGAGGTGGAAGGATGGTTTGAGCCTGGGAGGTGGAGGTTGCAGTGAGCTGAGATTGTGTTACTGCACTCCAGGCTGGGTGACAGAGTGAGACCCTGTCTTAAAAAAAACAAGAAAAGAAACTGAATTTGGAGCAGTTTCACCCTCACCTCATCCTCATCGTTTTTTTTTGTTGTTGTTGTTTTTCTTTGAAAACCTATAAAGATAATGATGGTGAGATTATTGCTTTTGATTTTGTTATTTCCTTTTGGTAAGTTGACCGTTTCATTTTATGTCATATTGAAAACTTACCTAGAAATGTCAAAGCAGCTTGTCTAGTTTATCCTTCTACAGTAATTTTTTTCTTGGTGAGGTTTTTAATTAAGAGTGATTCTTTAGTTCACTCATTAACTTAATCCTAAAAGTATATGTTTTCCTTATATTTGTTTTATCACTGTGTAAAATTTTGATTAAATTAGTCAAAATCCAAAACTAGGTAAATACCAAGTAGGAATAGAAATTGTGTTTACATATTGGTCTCCTACAAAGAACAAATACTTCCTTTATTCTTTCTTGTCCTTTTGTGCACTGGGATTCACCCTGGAGCAAACATTTACAGAGTAATTATGTGCCCTGAAACAACAGCAACAATGGTAATATTGACAGAGCCACAGCTATAGGTCTGATAACAGGATGGCCACAATTAAGAGTAAAAACATGAAACATTTTCATTGATTAATTCTGGGAAACAGCATCCCTCTGGATTTCTTTTAATGTTTTTTTTGTTTGTTTGTTTGTTTTTACCAGCTGGAGTTCCCTAGCTATATGCTCCTATTCCAGCCAGCTTTCTCCACATTAACCAAAAATAATTCAGATCTGTAAAAGTAAGGAGGGGCAGCACTTAATGTGTACATCAGAAATCCCTGAGCTCCTTCTGAGTATAAAGTCTGTACTTATTTCTTCCTGTGGCCTTTCCATAAACTGCTGTTAAATGTTTCTCTATTCACTAATACCTACTCTACAAATAACCATATTCCTGTGTGACAGTCACTGAAAACATCATGTTCCTGTTTTGAGTTGCACTTAAAAAAAAATGCCTTGATGCTGTTGGAATTTTGAAAGTTGACACAGGAGTACCCTTAGTCTTTAATGGGGGAGATCTCTACTTAACACCCTGCAGTCTCCAACCGCCTCCCTACCACAGGTGACCATGTTAAATGTTGACCCCATTCTAACCGGGAAAAGTCACAGAAGCAGAGACTCTTCTATTAGCATCTTATTTAATTGAAATGATACTGACCTATTTCAATTCAGTTTCTTATTAATTTTATAAGAAATGATCTGAGTGCTGATTCTGTTTACTTTTTTAGGTAATAATTAAAAAATGGTCCATCCCTTGTCCTCTGACATTAAATTATGTAGAGAAAGGTTTCCAGGTAATAGCTTATATTTTCTTTTCAGTTTCTTCCTTTTTATTTTAACTAAAAAGAAAAGAAAGACTAATGATTCTTTTCTGATTGATGAAAAAGTAATGGCTATATTGCATTTTAGAACTTTGTTTTGAAATACTTTCATTTGAAAGCCTAGTAATAATAAATTCATCATTTTTATTGATATATTCTGAAATTTAATGGCTGTTGGTTTCTCTTTTTCCCCTCAATGCTCTTAAACAGATTTCAAATGTTACAGATGATTGTAAGCCAAAGCTCTTTCATTTCTCCAAAGAGGTGTGTAAGTTATTAACAGATACTTTTAGTTGATTTTTCACATTTCAAGTTTTAAGAGGTTTGTGTAACAGGGTCTCTTAGGTCTTTGTACCTGTGACTAATTAATTTTCATGAAAGTGCTAAGTATAGGATTGCCTACCAGAAGACTACTATTATTTAACACAGGGTGGCCTATTATGAAACAGCCACCTTTTTTTTTTTTTTTTTTTTTTTCCTGGTATGCCTTTGAATGGAGCCTGTTTTAAATGGGCCTCTGCCTGAAAGAACAGATTTACCGAATGTCTGGTCTGGCCAATAAGGTCCTCTGTGTATACCAACTTCCTGTTGCCCTCTGCACTTGTAAAGCTAAATAGCCAATTATATCAAAAACTCTTCCCCTGTGAGTAGAACCTTGGTCTGTAGCTAAACAGCCTCATCATTGGACTAGGGATTGAGCACTGCCAATATATCTTCTGGCCGACATTCCAAAGTTGAAATTCATGATGCCAGGAGTAGAGACTAGGAGACCAAGTCCCTTTGCCTTCCCTAAAAGCCATAGGATACTGGAAATGCCTGTAAGAGCCCCTGAGCATCAGCAGAGGAGACAAGAACTGTGACATGGATGGTCTCTGCTTTACCACTCTAGAAGAGCTCAAAGTCTTCCCTGTTGCTGCAGGCTTATTTGTCTATACTTTCTGACTCTGCTGAAATGCTATTTTGTATAGTTCCCAGATGCTAGAATCCCCCCTGCTCATGTAAAACTCTATTAGTGTAGAATGTTAGCTTGGTTACTCCACCATGCAGAATTTTCCTTTTTATCTCTAGTTTTTAAATGAGAAATATCTCTCTGGTCCCAAAAGGGAGATTACCACATCTTTTACATGGTAAAGACCTCCAGGTGCCGTAAAGATCTAGGTAGGATAATTGACAAGCCAGGAAACTGAGCAATATATGAAATGGAGAATTTGTGAATTAAACTCTCATTTTCCTAGTCCAGCCTCAGGAAACACTACAGCTTCCTCTCTCCTAACCCCCTTCAGATATTTTAAGACTCTAGGCATTATGTCCCAAGATAGGTCTTCATTTCTGGAATTTCTTTTGTTTAAGAGCCTGAAGTTAGTTAAGTGGAAATTTTTTTAGAGCAGAAAGGAGAAAATAGATCACCATCGTCTATTTGGTAAAGATGGTATTTTCACTTAAATGGTAACTTTTTTTGCTTTACTCTGACTCTTAAGTATTCTAATAATAAAAACAAAACAAAACCTTATATTTGTATATTACATTGGATCTCTTAAGAGTTTGTAGGTCTAGAATAAATGATATTCATTCCCATTGAAAGAGATCCTAATCAAAGATGCTGGCAATATTAAAATGTGATTAATATTTTCAGTATTCCCTTGGATTGAGTTCATGAAAGCAGGTTCAAGAGCATTAACTATTAGTGCTGCTTAGAGTAATAAGATACATTTAAATTGTGCGTACATTTAGAAGACAGAGAATTAAAAAAGAGCATTTCTAAAATGTTATTTTTATCTCATTTAAATATTATTTATCTTATGTAATTTTTAAAATCTTATCCAGATAATGTAGAAGTAGTGATTGTAGTAAAAGCAGCATGGTATGGGCAGCCAAATAAAAAATATTCTGGCTAGTACAGGCAAGCCCACTATCAAATAAAATATTTGCTGGATCACAAGTGTTTTTCTCTTTTAAAAAATTCTTATTTTATAAAGAGAAGACTCATTAAAGATGAAATAAATGTAATCAAATTGATTTTTTAAAGAACTGAGTTTGTTGTCAAATGAAATAATGGTTTCAGTAGAGTGGCATTTAATAATTTTGTCTCTTTAAAATTTTTTTCAGAGTGCTTATGCCTTACCAACCATGGCTTTTTCATTTCTCTGCCATACCTCAATATTGCCCATATACTGTGAACTTCAAAGGTACTGTAGAATCCTGGAATATTTTAAATATATTGTGTATCTTTTTACCTCTAAGGCTTTCGGATTGAATGACATCCTCTTTTATTAATCCTTTCCTCTCATCAGTGGATCCTAAGTGTTAGTTTAAAACAAAACAAACAAGAGTTAGTTCTGTCCAAGTTAAGAATGTTTCCTAGAAGTGTAATCTTTGAGGCTGGCCTGTAATCCCAGCACTTTGGGAGGCCGAGGCAGGCGGGTCACCTGAGGTCAGGAGTTCAAGACCAGCCTGGCCAACATGGTGAAACCCCGTCTCTACTAAAAATACAAAAAAAATAGCCGGACGTGGTGGCGGGCACCTGTAATCCCAGCTACTTGTGAGGCTGAGGCAGGAGAATCGCTTGAACCCAGGAGGTGGAGGTTACAGTGAGCCGAGATCACACTACTGTATTCCAGCCTGGGCGACAGAGCAAGACTCTGTCTCAAAAAAAAAAAAAGGAAGAAGTGTAATCTTTGTGTACTAATTTCGAATGAGGACTTCTAGTGTATAGTTATTGATGGAGTTGTTCTTGAATGAGGAATTCTCTCGACCAGCTTAGGACATACTTGTTTCTTTACATATAATTCAGATCACTTATTCTACCTTTGTCATTTTTGTCTTTTAGTCCTTCAAAGAAAAGAATGCAGAATGTTACCAATACAGCAATTGCTTTAAGTTTTCTCATTTATTTTATATCTGCACTCTTTGGGTACCTCACTTTTTATGGTAAGTACATTTTAAAATTATAGATGACAAAATAATAGTTACATAGATGGCCTCACGCCAATCTATAGACTTTACCTATGCCTTTTATTACTAAGTTAATTTGCTCAGATCACCAAATTACAATGCAGTACTGTGGTGGCTCTTGAGGCCTAAACAATTGGATTATCTTTCTTTTAGAAAGGTAGTTCAGGTTTAAGATTAATGACTTCTTATGAAAATTTTCTTAAACACTTAAGTAAAACTTCAGGCTTAGGGACATGATTCTTTCTATAAGAAAAAATGTGCAATTTTAATGATTCTGTTTTTCTTAAATTTTGAATTCAATATATTAGTCTAATTCAGAAGTGTGGGGGTTGGGTGAGTCAGTCATCTTAATTGCAAAAGAACAAGTTGAGAAAGGAAAGGGTTTTACACAGAACTATATCTGTATACTTAGATGTCAGACATCTCTGCCTTCAGATCTAATTATCACAGGATTCAGCAGATGTGCATTCTATGATGCACCATGACCTTCCTCCTTAATTATTTTTACAGGTTCTTTTAAATTTATGCAACAAAAATAAAATTGTGTTTTATTTCTTTTGCAAAAACTGTCTGCTTTGTATGTTGACTTTTTTTCCTCTTCTGATAAGAACCTCAAGAAAAAGTAAAGTTCTGTGTACACCATCAGGAAAAGCATTATTTCCAATGTGAGCATGGTGCCCTGCTAGAGACGCTACAAAGAAAGTTAAAACAGATTGTCAAGCTTTTCTGATCATCATTAATAAAACAAAATTACTTAAATATATAAACTTTATTTTTGGATGTTGGGTTTGTTAGTTTTTATACAGACTTGAACTCAATAAGACTTTTCTGTGTCAATAAGATACTGTAACAGGGTCTCTTGGGATCCAAAAATATTTTGTATAGTGGAATAGCTATATATTTCTTTTATTAAAATTGCTACCTGGCACAAACACTATTATATTTAGGGATCTTCAGCAATAAGAAAAAGTCCAAAAAAACTGACCTCCTTCTTCTCCCTATGGATAAATAGAACTATCTGGAAGAAACCTCAGATGGCTTGCCAATATCCAGGCTGGCTGAGAAATTGTTAGATGAATCACCATTAGGTGCTTAGAAACTGTATTAAATTGTAGCTGTATTAGATTGAAAGGGATGTGGAGGAAGGATGGAAGCTAATACATTTATTGAGCTAACATTTAAGACAGTGTCAGGTATTTTATATATACTCCCTAACTTAATCCTTATAACAATTCTGCAAGCTCAGTGTAGGTTCATTTAGGTTGAGTAATTAGACCAGATACTTGAAGCCAGTTAATAGTGGAATTGGGATTTGAATCTAGTTTTGTCTCTCTCCAAAGCCAATGCCTTTATTACTGTGTTGTCTACTCAGAAATTGTGCTATAGAAGCCAGATTTCCTTTATTCCAAGTTTTTGTTAAGGTGATCTTTTAGAAAAATATGACTCACTTAAGCTCTAGGCATCTATCTATGTATGTATCTATGTATAATCTATCTATCTAACATTGCTGCTTGAACACAAAGGCTAAAGGTTTTCATCATGTAGATGGCATGTTTCCTAGACAGGGATTTGTCTAATATCAAGTAAAACCATTATGTTGTCTCTGATTTAATCTCTTCTCCACTAATGCAAATTCTTCAGAGTATGCAAATTTTATATAATAGAGAAATACACATCTAAGAAAATCACATGGTAGGTAGGTATATGATTGATTAATAGGTAGGTGGGTAGGCAGATAGATGGGTGGATGAATAGATGATAGATTAGATAGATAGATAGATAGATACATACATACATACATACATACATACATACATACATACATACATACATACATAAATAGAATAAATGATACAAAAGTAGTAAGTTCTTCTCCAAAGACAGAAGAGGCAGATATTGATTTGCTCTTGGATTGTGAATCATAACCAAGAAAAACCTTTGATCATATCTTTCTACCAGGATAACAGGAGCTTTGTGTCATAGGAAGAAATTGCTGGTTGAACCTGAGATCTTATAAGGGCTAGCCTCAACTTAAGGCTTCCAATTCATTTTACAGATGAACAACTAAAGCCCAGAGAGGTGAAGTGACCTGTCACAGAATTAAAGGCAGGTTTCCTGAATACTAATCCAGTGTTATTTCTGCTACTTTGTGATAATCTTTGTAAACTTAATACCCTGTTTGACAATGTGTATTAAACAGGACAGCCTCCTGACTTCAATGGCATATATAACTTGCAGAGATCACCATTAGGCCCTTTCTGAGATTTGTAGAGATTTGTCTGAATCCAGGGAAGCATGCACCACTCTATCCCTCACATATGTTATGGCTCAGTTAAGAACACAGAGTGACTGGCTCAGAAGAAGTGTTTTCATCCTGGGAAAGTAGAAAGTGGACATGTGACATCTATTTTGAATTTGTAATAAATCTAGTTCTTCAAGATTCAGGAGCTGCTTTGGATCCTTTTATCCAGAGCTCCTAAAGTTTAATTTCTAAATTTGTCAGATTAAAGGGACTTATAGGTATGTACCTAGATTAATGATACTTGCTCTGATTACAGCTGTGAAAGGAAGAGAAAAGGGTTCCTCTGGTGAGCCAGGCCAGTGCCCAAATGTTGCATAATAACCAGGCCATTTAAAAAGTCTATGAGGTTGTTAAGCAAGAAGTGTTAATAGCTCATTTTATGATTCAGAAAATGGAAATAAAATAGTTTGCCATATTTCTCCAAAGACTCACAAGTATCTCACAGATTTGGAAATAGAATCCAGATTTCCTGGCTCTTCTTAGTCTCCTACTTAGTCCAAATCCCACATTGTGTAAAGTATGTTTTTGATACTTTGGACAATTCATTTCTCTCCTGTTTCCATTATCACTAGTCTAGTTCAGATTCTCTTTACCTCTCAGTGATTGTAACAGTAGCTGTTATGCCTGTTTGGGGTCTCTTTTTCTTCCAATCCGTACTCCTGCTTTAGTTCAGATCATAATACACTGTTCTTTGTAAGTCATTATTGCATTTCTGTGGCCTACCAGGTTGAGGCCACATCTCATGCAGAACTGTATTACTAGGTCTGAAATGCATTTCCAGCCCTATCACCCACACACTGTTTCATCCACTGTAGTACTTACTAGACCACTTATTTTCTCAGATGCACATTCCCTTTGCTTTGTTTGTGCTGCTCCTTGCTTCTAGAGAATCTCTTCCCCCACATCTTTGAACATCAGCACACATTCATTGACTCATGTAATGTTCTCAGTAACCCTATAGTTTAGTATATGGCCATCCCCATTTTAAAGATGTAGGAACTGAGAGACTCAGTGTAAGTTGCTAGTTACTGGTGGGGTTTGAACATGTTCTATGTCATCACAGTTTAGAATCTCCATAGCTCTTGTTTAGAACTCTCTGGCCACTTACATGTGTATATCACACTTTCTATCATAGCTATGTGTATTCATCTCATCTCTTCTTAAAGTTCCCTGAGAACAGAGGTATGTTTCCTTTTGTTTTTGGTTTCCCTCAAAGTATCCTTTCTGAAACACTCTCAAATTAAAAGGCACCATTCTATTTTAAGTACAAACTGATATTTTCCCACAAAACACTGATATCCAGTGTTTCTGAGCACCCTCAGTCTTCTTTCCCCTTGTCTGGGTTGAGGTTAGGGAGACATTGTGAGAATGCAAGAACACTGGAGCAAAGCTTGGTCGGCATGTATAAATCCTATTGCTGACCACCACACACTGGCCTACTAAGTAAGACATTTCCCTAACACTTCTCTTTTTTTCATAAAACATGAATCCACAGATGAAACGTAACATGCACCAAGCTCTGAGATTCTAGAAAACGTTGTGGTATTGAGGAAAAGATGCTGTCTCTAGCACCAAAAAGAAGTAGGTGTATGGCACTGCCCCTTTGTGTTATGTGATCTTAGGCAAATCATTTAACACTTTTGGACCTACCTGCGTATTAATATTGTTATCATGGGGACTAAATTCAACAACACGTGTGAAAGCACTTTATAAACAAACAGCACAAATGTTCAAACCCTTAGATTATGGAAAAGTTCCAAAGAGATAATTTAGTATACATATTCATTGTCATAATTTGAGAGGTTCTGCTTATTCTGGTTTTTATTAAAGGAAAAAGGGTGTTAGGTTTCAAGAAGATATTTAATTAATGTCTCTGTGTTTCATAGGCTAGGGGAAAGGCCAGGATTTGGTAATGGGAATCTAAAATCTGTTATCATCCATTAGTGCAAAGGAAAACAATTTTGTTACTATTGATACCTTAGTACTTTATAATGTGATCCTTATTATTTTATTTACAGACAAAGTGGAGTCAGAATTACTAAAAGGTTATAGTAAATACTTATCACATGATGTTGTTGTCATGACTGTGAAGTTATGCATACTATTTGCTGTGCTTTTGACAGTCCCTCTAATCCACTTCCCTGTAAGTACTCTTAAAGGGTTTTGTTGCCTAGTATAGACGCTTCCTAATAGGGAAACACTAATTCTTTGCAGAATAGAATGTTTGAATCACATCTAGTCTTGTATATCTTATTCACTTGTCAAGTAATTGATCAAAGACTTCATACTTGCATATGGCCCCGTAAAAGCATAAAAATAACAGTGAGCCACTAAGCTAATTTGTGCTTTTTGAGATTTAGTTTAGATTTACGTTCTCCCACAGCATTGTTTCCAATTTAGAAACTATAGTTCTTCTAAAGTTTTGGGTTTTTCCCCCCTTTAATTCTGTATTCTGTTTTCAAAAAAATGTGCATGAAGAGGAAAAAGTCAAGTCAGGAAAAATAAGCTCCTTCTGGGTTTATTGTAAATTTATTTTCACATAAGCATTCTAGTTCAATCTTGGTGAAAATATTTTATTTGCTCTAGAATTGTAATTTAAGGGGCAAAACAGATTTTCATTGCATCTGGTTGCTATACTTGAGAATCTTAAGAATTTCTGAGAAAAAGGGAACAAAGGCTTTGGGTATAAATGCATCTGCATGGATGTCTTGAATCTCTAATGCTGAGTTTTGTAAGAGCTGGGGCTTCAAGCCTCCTCCCTGTGTGGGCTGCAGTGCCAAGATTACAGCAGGGACTGGATAAATTTTTTGGCATGTGACCGCCTGCTGTGCTCTTAGCAATGGGAAGTGTAGTGAACTATTTTTTCATATTTACAGGCTGTGAAACATATAAAATAAAATAGTAAGTGGTATTTCTTTCCCATGGCATGATTTCTTTTTCTATTATAAATTGTCTGTTTTTTTAATCTGTTGCATTTAATGAAAATCATTCTTTGAGACTTTTTTCATATTTTTATTGTTGGTAATTTTAAAAATTATGCAACCTAAAAAAATTGCATGTGAAAACTTTTTCTAGCATTAAAGCTAAGTATTTTTATGAAGCTTACACAGAAAGGGTTAGTATATAAACAGTTTATGTGTATAAATACTTTATAATAATAGTTTATGCTGTATTTTTGAAATCTAAATGATGTAGGAGGCAAAAATATCATGGTTGTTGTATATGTTTCTCTCAGCAAATATCTGGACTTTGACATTTCCTCTTCGCTATATGTTTATTTTTCTGTAATACAGGCCAGAAAAGCTGTAACAATGATGTTTTTCTCCAATTTTCCATTCTCATGGATTCGCCATTTTTTGATCACTCTAGCACTCAATATTATCATCGTTTTACTTGCAATATATGTTCCTGACATTAGAAATGTATTTGGTGTAGTTGGTAAGTTTTCTGTTTCAAAAAGTTCACATAATAAAATTGATAAAATTGCTACCCAGCCTCACATCTGAATCCAGCAATATCCTCTCTTTTTTTTCCCTCCACTTTAAAGGTGCCAGTACATCAACATGTTTGATTTTTATATTCCCAGGACTATTTTATCTTAAACTTAGCAGAGAGGATTTTCTGTCATGGAAAAAGCTTGGGGTAGGTTGTTTTTGTTTCTTTCTTTCAAGACTTCTATTTTAAGAAATAGTTTGTCAGTTTATATTATTTTACCTGCATCAAGAAAGTCAATATATTTTAAAATATAGAATACATTATTGCAGAGAGTAGAGATTTAACAAATAATCCAATTGTATTTTTTTATCTTTTTTCTTTTATCTTTCTTATCTTTTATCTTTTTTCTTATTTCCACAGGCATTCGTTTTGCTCATCTTTGGAATTTTGGTTGGGAATTTTAGTTTAGCACTCATCATTTTTGATTGGATTAATAAATAAAAGAAATATTTTCCTACTTCTTACAAGAATAATATACCCCTAGTTGCAAGAATGAATTATTCCGGAAGACACCCTGGATGAAAAATAACATTTTAATAAAAATTATTAACAGAAAAGCAGAACAAAATGGCAGTGGGTATGGGGAAGTAAGAGTGTGGCAGTTTTAATCAAAAAAAGAAACAAACTCGAAATGCTCTTAAATATATTGGGTTGATCTTTTGTTTTTTAAATTAATATTTTTATGGTAGTTTTATGTTTGCAGAAATACTGAACAGAAAGTACAGAGTTCACATATACCGTTTTACCCCAACATACAGTTTCCCCTATTATTAACTCTTGCGTTCATGTGGTACATTTGTTACATTTGATGAGCCAATATTAACTATTATTATTAACTAAAGTTCATAGTTTACCTTAGGTTTCATTCTTGGCAGCCACTAGCAACCACTGATTTTTTTTTAACTTTTATTTTAGGTTCAAGGGTACATGTGAAAGCTTGTTACATAGGTAAACTCGTGTCACGGGAATTTGTTATACAGATTATTTCATCTCCCAGGTATTAAACCCAGTACTCATTAGTTACGTTTTCTGCTCCTCTCCCTCCTCCCACCCTCTACCCACCAGCCCCAGTTGTTTTTTTCTTTGTGTTCATAAGTTCTTACTATTTAGCTCTCACGTAGAAATGAAGACATGCAATATATGGTTTTCTTTTCCTGTGTGTGTTTGCTAAGGATAAAAGCCTCCACCTCCATCCATGTTCCTGCAAAAGACATGATCTTATTTTTTATGGCTGCATAGTATTCCATGATATATATATACCATATTTTCTTTATCCAGTCTGTCATTGATGGGTATATAGGGTGATTCCATGTCTTGGCTATAGTGAATAGTGCTACAGTGAACAGTGCTACAGTGAACATTTACGTGCATGTGTCTTTATGGTGGAATAATTTATGTTCCTTGGGGTATATATTCAGTAATGGGATTGCTGGGATGAATGGTAGTTTTGCTTTTAGCTCTTTGAGGAATCACCATAGTGCTTCCACGATTGTTGAACTAATTTACACTCCCACCAAAAGTGTATAAATGTTCCCTTTTGTCCACAACCTCACCAGTATGTTATTTTTTGACTTTTTATTAATAGCCATTCTGACTGATGGGAGATGATAATCTCCTTGTGGTTTTGATTTGCATTTCTCTAATGATCAGTGCTACTGAGCTTTCTTATGTGCTTGTTGGCAGCATGTATGTATGTCTTCTTTTGAGAAGTGTCTGTTCATGTCCTTTGCCCACTTTTTAATGGGGTGGTTTTTCTCTTGTAAATTTGTTCAAGTTCCTCATAGATGCCGGATATTAGACCTTTGTTGGATGTATAGTTTGCACATATTTTCTCCTGTTCTGTAGGCTGTTTGGTTTTTTTTGCTGTGCAGAAGCTCTTAAGTTTAATTAGATCTCATTTGTCAGTTAATTTTTGCTTTTGTTGCAATTGCTTGGTGCCTTTGTCATGAAATCTTTGCCCATTCCTATGTCTGGGATGGTATTGCCTAGGTTGTCTTCCAGGGTTTTTAAAGTTTTGGGTTTTACATTTAAGTCTTTAATCCATCTTGAGTTGATTTTTATATATGGTATAAGGAAAGGGTACAGCTTCAATCTTCTGCATATGGCTAGCCAGTCATTCCAGCATCATTTATTGAATAGTGAGTCTTTTCCCCATTGCTTGTTTCTTTCAGCTTTGTTGAAGATCAGATGGTCATAGGTGTGTGGCCTTATTTCTGGGTTCTCTATACTGTTCCATTGGTCTATGTGCCTGTTTTTATACCACTGTCATGCAGTTTTAGTTCCTGTAGTCCTGTAGTATAGTTTGAAGTGGGTTCATGTGATGCCTCCAGCTTTGTTCTTTTTGCTTAGGATTGCCCTGGCTATTCAGGCCCTTTTTTGGTTCCATATGAATTTTAAAATAGTTTTATCTAGTTCTGTGAAGAATGTCATTGGTAGTTTTATAGGAATAGCATTGAATCTGTAAATTGCTTTAGCCAATATGGCCATTTTAATGATAACGATTCTTCCTATCCATGAGCATGGAATGTTTTTTCATTTGTTTGTGTCTTCTCTGATTTATTTAAGCAGTGTTTTATAATTCTCATTGTAGAAATCTTTCACCTCCCTGGTTAGCTGTATTCCTAGGTATTTTATTCTTTTTGTGGCAATTGTGAATGGGATTGTCTGATTTGGCTCTCAGTTTGGTTATTGGTGGTGTATAGGAATGCTAGTAATTTTTGTACATTGATTTTATATCCTGAAACTTTGCTGAAGTTATCAGCTCAAGGAGCTTTTGGGTGGAGACCATTCTAGATATAGAATCATGTCATCTGCAAACAGAGATAGTTTGACTTCCTCTCTTCCTATTTGGATGTCCTTTCTTTCTTTCTCTTGCCTGACTGCTCTGGCTAGGATTTCCAATACTATGTTGAATAGGAGTGGTGAGAGAGGGTATCCTCGTCTTAACGCCAGTTTTCAAGGGAAATGCTTCCAGGTTTTATCTATTCAGTATAATGTTGGCCATGAGTTTGTCATGGATGCCTCTTATTATTTTGAGGTATGTTCCTACAATACCTAGTTTGTTGAGAGTTTTTAACATGAAGCAGTGTTGAATTTTTTTTTTTTTTAAGTCTTTTTCTTTTTTTTTTTCTTTTTTTTTTTATTATACTCTAAGTTTTAGGGTACATGTGCACATTGTGCAGGTTAGTTACATATGTATACATGTGCCATGCTGGTGCGCTGCACCCACTAACGTGTCATCTAGCATTAGGTATATCTCCCAATGCTATCCCTCCCCCCTCCCCCGACCCCACCACAGTCCCCAGAGTGTGATATTCCCCTTCCTGTGTCCATGTGATCTCATTGTTCAATTCCCACCTATGAGTGAGAATATGCGGTGTTTGGTTTTTTGTTCTTGCGATAGTTTACTGAGAATGATGGTTTCCAATTTCATCCATGTCCCTACAAAGGACATGAACTCATCATTTTTTATGGCTGCATAGTATTCCATGGTGTATATGTGCCACATTTTCTTAATCCAGTCTATCATTGTTGGACATTTGGGTTGGTTCCAAGTCTTTGCTATTGTGAATAGTGCCGCAATAAACATACGTGTGCATGTGTCTTTATAGCAGCATGATTTATAGTCCTTTGGGTATATACCCAGTAATGGGATGGCTGGGTCAAATGGTATTTCTAGTTCTAGATCCCTGAGGAATCGCCACACTGACTTCCACAATGGTTGAACTAGTTTACAGTCCCACCAACAGTGTAAAAGTGTTCCTATTTCTCCACATCCTCTCCAGCACCTGTTGTTTCCTGACTTTTTAATGATTGCCATTCTAACTGGTGTGAGATGATATCTCATAGTGGTTTTGATTTGCATTTCTCTGATGGCCAGTGATGATGAGCATTTCTTCATGTGTTTTTTGGCTGCATAAATGTCTTCTTTTGAGAAGTATCTGTTCATGTCCTTCGCCCACTTTTTGATGGGGTTGTTTGTTTTTTTCTTGTAAATTTGTTTGAGTTCATTGTAGATTCTGGATATTAGCCCTTTGTCAGATGAGTAGGTTGCAAAAATTTTCTCCCATTTTATAGGTTGCCTGTTCACTCTGATGGTAGTTTCTTTTGCTGTGCAGAAGCTCTTTAGTTTAATTAGATCCCATTTGTCAATTTTGGCTTTTGTTGCCATTGCTTTTGGTGTTTTGGACATGAAGTCCTTGCCCACGCCTATGTCCTGAATGGTAATGCCTAGGTTTTCTTCTAGGGTTTTTATGGTTTTAGGTCTAATGTTTAAATCTTTAATCCATCTTGAATTGATTTTTGTATAAGGTGTAAGGAAGGGATCCAGTTTCAGCTTTCTACATATGGCTAGCCAGTTTTCCCAGCACCATTTATTAAATAGGGAATCCTTTCCCCATTGCTTGTTTTTCTCAGGTTTGTCAAAGATCAGATAGTTGTAGATATGCGGCATTATTTCTGAGGGCTCTGTTCTGTTCCATTGATCTATATCTCTGTTTTGGTACCAGTACCATGCTGTTTTGGTTACTGTAGCCTTGTAGTATAGTTTGAAGTCAGGTAGTGTGATGCCTCCAGCTTTGTTCTTTTGGCTTAGGATTGACTTGGCAATGCGGGCTCTTTTTTGGTTCCATATGAACTTTAAAGTAGTTTTTTCCAATTCTGTGAAGAAAGTCATTGGTAGCTTGATGGGGATGGCATTGAATCTGTAAATTACCTTGGGCAGTATGGCCATTTTCACGATATTGATTCTTCCTACCCAAGAGCATGGAATGTTCTTCCATTTGTTTGTGTCCTCTTTTATTTCCTTGAGCAGTGGTTTGTAGTTCTCCTTGAAGAGGTCCTTCACATCCCTTGTAAGTTGGATTCCTAGGTATTTTATTCTCTTTGAAGCAATTGTGAATGGGAGTTCACTCATGATTTGGCTCTCTGTTTGTCTGTTGTTGGTGTATAAGAATGCTTGTGATTTTTGTACATTGATTTTGTATCCTGAGACTTTGCTGAAGTTGCTTATCAGCTTAAGGAGGTTTTGGGCTGAGACGATGGGGTTTTCTAGATAAACAATCATGTCGTCTGCAAACAGGGACAATTTGACTTCCTCTTTTCCTAATTGAATACCCTTTATTTCCTTCTCCTGCCTGACTGCCCTGGCCAGAACTTCCAACACTATGTTGAATAGGAGCGGTGAGAGAGGGCATCCCTGTCTTGTGCCAGTTTTCAAAGGGAATGCTTCCAGTTTTTGCCCATTCAGTATGATATTGGCTGTGGGTTTGTCATAGATAGCTCTTATTATTCTGAAATACGTCCCATCAATACCTAATTTATTGAGAGTTTTTAGCATGAAGGGTTGTTGAATTTTGTCAAAGGCTTTTTCTGCATCTATTGAGATAATCATGTGGTTTTTGTCTTTGGCTCTGTTTATATGCTGGATTACATTTATTTATTTGCGTATATTGAACCAGCCTTGCATCCCAGGGATGAAGCCCACTTGATCATGGTGGATAAGCTTTTTGATGTGCTGCTGGATTCGGTTTGCCAGTATTTTATTGAGGATTTTTGCATCAATGTTCATCAAGGATATTGGTCTAAAATTCTCTTTTTTGGTTGTGTCTCTGCCCGGCTTTGGTATCAGAATGATGCTGGCCTCATAAAATGAGTTAGGGAGGATTCCCTCTTTTTCTATTGATTGGAATAGTTTCAGAAGGAATGGTACCAGTTCCTCCTTGTACCTCTGGTAGGATTCAGCTGTGAATCCATCTGGTCCTGGACTCTTTTTGGTTGGTAAACTATTGATTATTGCCACAATTTCAGAGCTTGTTATTGGTCTATTCAGAGATTCAACTTCTTCCTGGTTTAGTCTTGGGAGAGTGTATGTGTCGAGGAATGTATCCATTTCTTCTAGATTTTCTAGTTTATTTGCGTAGAGGTGTTTGTAGTATTCTCTCATGGTAGTTTGTATTTCTGTGGGATCGGTGGTGATATCCCCTTTATCATTTTTTATTGTGTCTATTTGATTCTTCTCTCTTTTTTTCTTTATTAGTCTTGCTAGCGGTCTATCAATTTTGTTGATACTTTCAAAAAACCAGCTCCTGGATTCATTGATTTTTTGAAGGGTTTTTTGTGTCTCTATTTCCTTCAGTTCTGCTCTGATTTTAGTTATTTCTTGCCTTCTGCTAGCTTTTGAATGTGTTTGCTCTTGCTTTTCTAGTTCTTTTAATTGTGATGTTAGGGTGTCAATTTTGGATCTTTCCTGCTTTCTCTTGTAGGCGTTTAGTGCTATAAATTTCCCTCTACACACTGCTTTGAATGCGTCCCAGAGATTCTGGTATGTGGTGTCTTTGTTCTCGTTGGTTTCAAAGAACATCTTTATTTCTGCCTTCATTTCGTTATGTACCCAGTAGTCATTCAGGAGCAGGTTGTTCAGTTTCCATGTAGTTGAGCGGCTTTGAGTGAGATTCTTAATCCTGAGTTCTAGTTTGATTGCACTGTGGTCTGAGAGATAGTTTGTTATAATTTCTGTTCTTTTACATTTGCTGAGGAGAGCTTTACTTCCAACTATGTGGTCAATTTTGGAATAGGTGTGGTGTGGTGCTGAAAAAAATGTATATTCTGTTGATTTGGGGTGGAGAGTTCTGTAGATGTCTATTAGGTCTGCTTGGTGCAGAGCTGAGTTCAATTCCTGGGTATCCTTGTTGACTTTCTGTCTCGTTGATCTGTCTAATGTTGACAGTGGGGTGTTAAAGTCTCCCATTATTAATGTGTGGGAGTCTAAGTCTCTTTGTAGGTCACTCAGGACTTGCTTTATGAATCTGGGTGCTCCTGTATTGGGTGCATAAATATTTAGGATAGTTAGCTCCTCTTGTTGAATTGATCCCTTTACCATTATGTAATGGCCTTCTTTGTCTCTTTTGATCTTTGTTGGTTTAAAGTCTGTTTTATCAGAGACTAGGATTGCAACCCCTGCCTTTTTTTGTTTTCCATTGGCTTGGTAGATCTTCCTCCATCCTTTTATTTTGAGCCTATGTGTGTCTCTGCACGTGAGATGGGTTTCCTGAATACAGCACACTGATGGGTCTTGACTCTTTATCCAACTTGCCAGTCTGTGTCTTTTAATTGCAGAATTTAGTCCATTTATATTTAAAGTTAATATTGTTATGTGTGAATTTGATCCTGTCATTATGATGTTAGCTGGTGATTTTGCTCATTAGTTGATGCAGTTTCTTCCTAGTCTCGATGGTCTTTACATTTTGGCATGATTTTGCAGCGGCTGGTACCGGTTGTTCCTTTCCATGTTTAGCACTTCCTTCAGGAGCTCTTTTAGGGCAGGCCTGGTGGTGACAAAATCTCTCAGCATTTGCTTGTCTATAAAGTATTTTATTTCTCCTTCACTTATGAAGCTTAGTTTGGCTGGATATGAAATTCTGGGTTGAAAATTCTTTTCTTTAAGAATGTTGAATATTGGCCCCCACTCTCTTCTGGCTTGTTGGGTTTCTGCCGAGAGATCCGCTGTTAGTCTGATGGGCTTTCCTTTGAGGGTAACCCGACCTTTCTCTCTGGCTGCCCTTAACATTTTTTCCTTCATTTCAACTTTGGTGAATCTGACAATTATGTGTCTTGGAGTTGCTCTTCTCGAGGAGTATCTTTGTGGCGTTCTCTGTATTTCCTGAATCTGAACGTTGGCCTGCCTTGCTAGATTGGGGAAGTTCTCCTGGATAATATCCTGCAGAGTGTTTTCCAACTTGGTTCCATTCTCCACATCACTTTCAGGTACACCAATCAGACGTAGATTTGGTCTTTTCACATAGTCCCATATTTCTTGGAGGCTTTGCTCATTTCTTTTTATTCTTTTTTCTCTAAACTTCCCTTCTCGCTTCATTTCATTCATTTCATCTTCCATTGCTGATACCCTTTCTTCCAGTTGATCGCATCAGCTCCTGAGGCTTCTGCATTCTTCACGTAGTTCTCGAGCCTTGGTTTTCAGCTCCATCAGCTCCTTTAAGCACTTCTCTGTATTGGTTATTCTAGTTATACATTCTTCTAAATTTTTTTCAAAGTTTTCAACTTCTTTGCCTTTGGTTTGAATGTCCTCCCGTAGCTCAGAGTAATTTGATCGTCTGAAGCCTTCTTCTCTCAGCTCGTCAAAATCATTCTCCATCCAGCTTTGTTCCGTTGCTGGTGAGGAACTGCGTTCCTTTGGAGGAGGAGAGGCGCTCTGCGTTTTAGAGTTTCCAGTTTTTCTGTTCTGTTTTTTCCCCATCTTTGTGGTTTTATCTACTTTTGGTCTTTGATGATGGTGATGTACAGATGGGTTTTCGGTGTAGATGTCCTTTCTGTTTGTTAGTTTTCCTTCTAACAGACAGGACCCTCAGCTGCAGGTCTGTTGGAATACCCTGCCGTGTGAGGTGTCAGTGTGCCCCTGCTGGGGGGTGCCTCCCAGTTAGGCTGCTCGGGGGTCAGGGGTCAGGGACCCACTTGAGGAGGCAGTCTGCCCGTTCTCAGATCTCCAGCTGCGTGCTGGGAGAACCACTGCTCTCTTCAAAGCTGTCAGACAGGGACACTTAAGTCTGCAGAGGTTACTGCTGTCTTTTTGTTTGTCTGTGCCCTGCCCCCAGAGGTGGAGCCTACAGAGGCAGGCAGGCCTCCTTGAGCTGTGGTGGGCTCCACCCAGTTCGAGCTTCCCGGCTGCTTTGTTTACCTAAGCAAGCCTGGGCAATGGCGGGCGCCCCTCCCCCAGCCTCGTTGCCGCCTTGCAGTTTGATCTCAGACTGCTGTGCTAGCAATCAGCGAGATTCCGTGGGCGTAGGACCCTCTGAGCCAGGTGTGGGATATAGTCTCGTGGTGCGCCGTTTCTTAAGCCGGTCTGAAAAGCGCAATATTCGGGTGGGAGTGACCCGATTTTCCAGGTGCGTCCGTCACCCCTTTCTTTGACTCGGAAAGGGAACTCCCTGACCCCTTGCGCTTCCCAGGTGAGGCAATGCCTCGACCTGCTTCGGCTCGCGCACGGTGCGCGCACACACTGGCCTGCGCCCACTGTCTGGCACTCCCTAGTGAGAAGAACCCGGTACCTCAGATGGAAATGCAGAAATCACCCGTCTTCTGCGTCGCTCACGCTGGGAGCTGTAGACCGGAGCTGTTCCTATTCGGCCATCTTGGCTCCTCCCCCAAGTGTTGAATTTTATCAGAAGCCTTTTCTGCACCTATTGAGATGATCATGTGGTTTTTGTCTTTAGTTCTGTTTATGTGATGAATCACATTTATTGATTTGCATATGTTGAACCAACCTTGCATCCCGTATAAGTGTACTTGATCATGGTGGATTAACTTTTAATGTGTTGCTGGATTCAGTTTGCAAGTATTTTGTTGAGGATTTTTGCATCAATGTTCATCAAAGATATTGACCTGAAGTTTTCTTTTTTTATTGTGTCTCTGTCATGTTTTAGTATCAAGGTGATGCTGGCCTCATAGAATGAGTTAAGAGGAGTCCCTCCTCCTCAATTTTTTTGGAGTAGTTTCTGTAGGAATAGTACCTGCTCGTCTTTGTACATTTCCACTGATCATTTTACTGTCTCCATAGTTTTGTCTTTTCCAAAATGTCATATAGTTGCAATCCTATAGTATGTAGCCTTTTCAGACTGCCTTATTTCGTTTAGAAATATGCAATTAAGTTTCTTCTATGTCTTTTTGTGGCTTAATAGCTCCTTTCTTTGTAGCACTGAATAGTATTCCATTGTATGGATGTACCACAGTTTGTTTATCCATTCACCTGTTGAAAGATCTCTTGGTTGCTTCCAAGTCTTTGCAATTACAAATAAAGCTGCTCTAAGCATTCGTGTGCAGGTTTTTTTGTTTTGTTTTGTTTTGTTTTGTTTTGAGACAGAGTCTTACTCTGTCACCTAGGCTGGAGTGCAATGGTGTGATCTCGGCTCACTGTAGCCTCCATCTCCCAGGTTCTAGCAATTCTCATGCCTCAGCCTCCCCAGTAGCTGGGATTACAGGCACCCACCACTACGCCTGGCTAATTTTTTCTATTTTTAGTAGAGATGGGGTTTTACCATGTTGGCCAGGCTGGTCTTGTACTCCTGACCTCAGGTGATCCATCCGCCTCGACCTCCCAAAGTGCTGGGCATGAGCCACGATGCCCAGCCCCTGTGTAGGTTTTTATGTAGACATAATTTGCAGCTTATTTGAGTAAATACCATGGAGCACAGTTCCTACACTGTATGGTAAGAATGTATTTAGTTTTATGAGAAATTGCCAAACTACCTTCCAAAATGGCTGTAACATTTTATATTCCAGAGAGCAGTAAATTAGAGTTTCTGTTGTCTTACATCCTCACCAGCATTTGGTGGTGTCAGTGTTTTAGATTTTCACCATTCTAATTGGCATGTAGTGGTATCTCGTTGTTTTAGTTTGCAGTTCCCTAATATGATATTGAGCATCTTTTCATATGCATATTTGCCATCTGTTTATTTTCTTTGGTAAAGTATCTGTTTAGCTCAACTCTCTTTTGCCTTTTTTTTTTTTAAATACTGGGTCTTGCTATGTTGCCCCGACTGGATTTAAATTCCTGGGCTCAAGTGATCCCAGTGCCTCAGCATACTGAGTAGCTGGGACTGCAGGCACATACCACCATTTGTTAATTGTTTTCTCATTGTTGACTTTTAAGCATTCTTTTTAGATTTTATATTTCTGGGGTTTTGTTTTGTTTTTTTGAGACAGAGTCTCACTTCCGTCACCCAGGCTGGAGTGCAGTGGTATAATCTCGGCTCACTGCAACCTCTACCTCCTGGGTTCAAGCAATTCTAGTGCCTCAGCCTCCTGCATAGCTGGAATTACAGGCGCACGCCACCACACCCAGCTAATTTTTGTATTTTTAGTAGATAGGGTTTCGCCATGTTGGCCAGGCTGGTCGCAAACTCCTGACCTCAAGTGATCTGCCCGCCTCAGCCTCCCAAAGTGCTGAGATTACAGGCATGAGCTACCATGCCCAGCCAATTTCTGTTCTTTATATGTGTTTTGCAAAGATTTTTTTTTCCCCATTTTGTGGCTTGCTGTTTTATTCTCTTAACAGTGTCTTTCAAAGAGCAGAAGTGTTTAAATGTTCTTAAATATATTGGGTCAATCTTTTGTTTGTTTGTTTTAAGAAATCAGTGTATTAAATTTATATACAAAATTGATTCTTAGCTATGTTTTAATTTTGTTAGCATCAGTCACTAATAACAAAACTGAGATTGTTCTACTTGGTAGAATTTAGAGGGATTTTGCCCTCCCTCTAAATCCTATCTAAAAACTTTTATAACTTTCCTCTTCTGTTCATTATGAGATAGACCTGTGATGACTGCCTGTGTACTTCAAAGTCCTTTCTCTGAGTTTTCTTAGTTGGTCACTAAAACAGGCAACATTCTACTTGGCAGAGACAAAATGTTGATCATTTCTATAATATTTTGTTTGGAGGTTATAAATCATTGCAGCTTCTCATTGACATGGCTTATTTCAGGTTAGGAACCAGAACCTAGGGCTCTCCTCCCATGAAATTCTACTAAAGCCAGGGTGTATCAGTAAAAATGTAATCCTACCCCAGTACACATGTAAAGTAGAGAATTGCATGCAAAGTGCCGGTTTTCATATATGGAAATACACTCTTTTGCAGGTGCACCTTTGCTTCTCACTTAGGAAATAAGCCGAAAAATTGACAACTGAGCTTCTCTTTTGAGAAGATCAAGATATTTAGCAACTGGAGAACAGTGTAGTGTAATGGTAAAAGACCAAGCTCTTGGGTTAGAAAGACTTGGATTCAAGTCTCAGTGTAAGGCACACTACGTAACCTCTATAAGCCTCCATGTTCACATCTGTAAAATGGAGTTAATGCCTATTATACAGGGTCATATTGATAGAATTAAATGCTCTGTATAAATTAGGTGCAGACCAAAACAGACTCTTTTGATAGATTAAATGTTTATCCCCTTTGTCCATTCCCTTATCTGGACCAATGAAATGAGTTTGCTTTCCACTAAGGACATGGAAACATACCTTGAATTTCTTCATCTTGCATGAGAATTATTTTCAGAATCTTTCTCTAGCCTTCACTCACAGGGGAACTGGCCCCAGGTGCACGTTTTGAGTGCTTTCCCACAGTTTACCTCAGCTGTACTCTCCTACTAATAATGCCTTCCTGAAACTAGGCACTTAGAATGGTCCCAGGCCACAGCCAGACATGGCCTCCCATGTGGCTTCAGGTCAGCCAGAGCCAGTCAATCCGATATCCTACTACTCGTACCCTCTTCTTCTGTTTATGACATTATGGATCCAAATACAGATAGGTGTGCAGCTACTTAAATAAGTCTAACTCCAGTAATACCAAAATAACCCTAAATCTGCAACAGATGCAAGGATGCCCCCTGGGGGCAATTGTTAAGTGTGATGACAGCTGGGCATCAATTAATACATTTGTCACCTGCTCATGAGATAGGATCATGGGAGGTTTGGCAAAGGGACAGTCTGTTGAACACTGCACAAAACTTAGTAGCAAGAAAAATTATTTGTGCAGGTATTCATTTTTATTTTACTTTAATGTTCTGCCTTATCTAGTTGCCTGTTTTGAGTCACAACTTTCTCTGTGCATTTAGATGAGGTTAATAAGATGGCTGGTGAGAGCAGTGCCCCCTTCAGCCAAGATTACCAAAAAAAACCTTGTTCAAATGCCCCTCAGAATTTTTCCTGGGAAATATGGGCCTTCTCATTATGGGCTTAATGTTCATAATTTATTAGGTAATAACTATTTAAAATAAAACTAAGTAAAGCAGAAAATATATACTTTTCTAACATTTGGAGACTTGTTTGCTAAATTAAAAGACGAAGTGCCAAGACTATAAATTACTTTCGTATGTTGAGGGTGAATGTTTAAATTGTACTTTTTTATTTTTAACAGAATGTTTACTCATGAGCTTAGCATTTAAATGGTTAAAACAAGGCTTTGAAGTTAACACTCCATTAAGATGAATGGGGGTAATTCACACCTCTGCTTGTGCTATATTATTTCAGTCTGGTTGCAGAGAAAACAAGACAGCAGTAGGTTGATTTACTGTGTGAAGGCCCTTTAAACACCCAAGGTCTGGAAATCTTTGGGGTGTGTGTGTGTGTGTGTATGCTTTTCCATCTAGAAGCAGGATCTGAAATTCAATACAATCTAGGTATAGAATCGAGGTCTTGAAAATACTAAAGATTCTCTGCTATCCAGCAATTCCATATCTGGCATTTGACGGGTAGCACGTTACTGGATCAACCCAACCTCTCTGGCTTTGTTTGCTACTGTACTGTAGTGTTTCTTCCTACCACAGCATTTTTTAAACTTCAGCTTAGTATACTGGTAAATCCATCAGTGGAAAAGCAGAAACGAATTATCCATTTTCCGGTGAACTTTGTATGTGCCTTCAGATGGGTTATGAGCTAAGCATTGGTCTTCATGTGCTCCTTTTTAAAACATTTTCATCTTTGCAAAATCTCCTGTTCTATATTTACCTACATATAAAGCATCTACCTTTAAGAACTTTACAATTTTTTCTCATATCCCTGGGGTAGTGAAGTAAGCAGAGATCAGTTGAAAAAGAGACATTTCTTTCTCAATGTGTCCTTTAAACCAGTTCTATATTGTATTTGAAATGTGTATTCCACCCATTGGTGGAAGTGCTACAGCCATTTGACCCTGAAATGATTCATTTTAGGGCCTGGGAATAAGGTTATCTTAACACAAATGAAATGGCAAACACTGTATAAGATGTTAATGAGTTTGGAAGATCTATCTTTAAGGTAAACAGATTTTTCTCTTCTCTCTTCTCTGTCCTGCATGTTTGCAGGCTCAGGTTACTGGGTAATCTGTGGGTAGCTAGGTGTGGAGAGTACTTCCACTCTGGCTGGCTGTAGTGCTGACACTGCCAATACAGTATATACAGAGAGAAAATAGATGCTAGAAACAGAGGGACTCAAACTGAATTAATTTTAACCTGTTTTTCTTTTTGGCATGTTAACAGCTCTCTGTGGCTGTGTTAGAATTAGCCCTATGTTAAACATACTTTACTTCCTGCAAATTTTTCTGCCTAGATTTTAGGTGTCATAATTTTTGACCTTAGAACATTTCAGAATCTTTTTATTGTACTGAGAAATTTGTTTTTTAAAAAACTCAAATACACAATTTATTCTTCTGATAATCTTCCTGTATTTTTTCCATAAGGAGGTAGGAAAAGTAGGAAACAAAATTTTGATGGAGGATGAATAAAGATATTGTGGACATGGTTTCTTTATTGCAATCAGAATCCTTTCTGTTTGTCACCCTTCCTAAACAATCTGATAAATGTGTTTATTATCACAGTAATCTGTTGTCCTGCTTTGCCAAGCTGTCAGTCAGGACAAGCAATTATAAGGAACAGGAAGACTCATCTTGGCTGATGGCCAGGTGGGCAGGTGGGAATAAGAGGTTTATTCACCTGTGGTACAAAGTAAATGGGTAGAAAGGAAAATTGAGTTGCCAGGGAGAAAAAAAAAACACAAAAACAGATGGATGAAAAGACATTGTAATATGGGATGCTATAAAGAAAAAGACTTGCAGAGAAATGTTTCTCACTTGTTTGAGTGTACAGTCATCCCTTGGGGGATTGGTTCCAGGATCTCCCTCATATATCAAAATCCATGCACATTCAAGTCCTGCTGCAGAACCACATATACAAAATATCAACCCTGTGTAAACATGCGCAGATTTTGCATCCTGAAAATACTATATTTTTTATCCGTATTTGATTGAAAAAAGTCAACTGTTAGTGAACCCGTGCAGTTGAAACCCATGTTGTTCAAGAGTCAACTGTGTATATATTTTATCTAGTGTTCATCAGTGGACAGATACACAACACAAGCAAAAGGGCTGGCTAATTCATTCAGCAAATTCTTAGCACATATTATGTCCTAGAAGTTGAGCTAGTCCCAAGGTCATGAAACTATGTAAGACATACATACATCTTGCTTGAAAAAAGTTCAGATACAACTTTTATTTTTCTGACTGAACATTTTCAGACCAACTTGATAAGTGAAATTGCTTAAATGAAAAATTATACATGTATTTTTAATATATACATATGTTTTTAAAAAAAGATTTTGGAGTCAAAATTACCTGTGTTCGAATCCCAGCTTCTGTCTCTTTCTATATCTTTCTAATTTTGGACAAGTTACTATTCTCTGAACTTGCTGAAGACTCAATATTTGACTGGGTTTTCTCTCAACCAGAGGAAACTCTCCTTCAAGTGAGATTACATATTTGGGAAAAACTCGAGTAAGCCGTTAAGCATTGAATATACGTACACTTTTATTACTTTACTGTCCCTCAAATCACATAACTTCCAACCATGTTGTCTCTTCTGCCGTCTCTGCTTCAGACATTTAGTCAGCAGCCTGACTAGAAAACGGTATTCTAGAAATATCCTGACCAATGCATTTATTTTCACTACTGATGTATTTTTCCCCGGAAAAAGTAATTCTTGTAGTTTCATAGTAAATATTATCCACATATTTTGACTTTACATCAGCATTTTTAGCAATGACATTACACTTTTGGCTTATAAAGTATGTGGTCAGAAAAGCTGCAGGCCTTTTTTAGGTAAATTACCCTGGTTTCTAGAACCCTGTACTTGTGCTGTTGATTTACATTTTTTAAATATGAGGGAATATACATGCACACACACACACATATATATATATACACATATGTATAGGTACACATATACATACATACATATGTATCTGTTATCTATGTGTTAAATTTCATCCTGTTAGCTTCAGTGCACCACTTAAGCAGTTGAGATCTTTTTTTTGAATCTTGATTCTAGTGCATCAGTCACCATTCCCGCTTTTGTGACATTCTTCATCATACTTACATTTTTTCATCCCATTCACAGATAAAAATGTTAAATGAGACAAGACTAACCAGAGGGCCCTGCAGCCCACCGCTATCAGTATTTCTCTTGAGTTGTTATTAATCTATACTTTGGATGAAGTTGTTAATATTCCTGTAGTGTCATCTAACCTGCATTTCCTCACTTCCCTTGGAAGTGACCCCCAAATCAGTGGGTACAGCCTAAACTCCTATCTGTTTTCTGTATTTCTAGTTGCTTCAGAACATTTCTGCTTGGGGGCTCCACAATCACTTCAAACTTAACATGTCCAAATCCATTCCTCACTACAGTTTTCTCATATCTGTCAGCAGCCCCTGTTTTCATCCAACATCCCAACTGGCTTTCTTGCTTCCATTCCTGCTACCTACAGTCCACTTTCATACTGCAAAGTAGTTGTTTAAAAATTCAAATCAGATTATATTGCTACCCTGATTAATTTCCTCCAAGGGCTTTCCATCTCACTTAGAATGAAATCCATGCCATGGCCTACAAGGCTCAATTTTGTCTGTACCTACTTATTTCTCTGATGTCAATGTATCTTTCATTCTCCAGCCACACTGGCCTTTCTGCCCCTGGAACACACCAAGCTTGTTCCCTCACACTTACTGTTTTCCCTACTTAGAGCATAATTTTCAAAGACCTTTGCAAGCCGGGCTTCTTATTTAAGCCTCGGGTCAACTGTCACCCCCTCAGAGAGGTCTGCCCTGCCTGTCTTATGGTCATGACCGTCTTATGGCCCCCAACACATGGTAGTGCTTTTAACTTTACCCTGTTATACAGGTCACTGCTGGAAATCTTGTTTATGTGTTGTCTGTGTCCACTAGACTGAAAGTTTCATAAGAACTGGGACATAACTGTCTTATTTATAACCAAATCCTCAGAGCTTAGGACAGTGCCTGGTACTTTGGAGTGGCTTAATATTTGTTGAATGAATGCATAAAGGAATCTAACAGACTGTGTCCTTCTACTCTTTACCTCTAATCTGTCACAATGTCAGTTCTTCTTTGAAATGCCTCCTAGATTTGCTTTTATGCTGACCCAGCCTCCTGCCAGACTCCTATCTAAATCTCAGCCTTCATCTCTTTGTGCCTGAAGTATTGCAGTGATTATCACTTCAGGCTGTTCTTTGGCATCACTTGGGCAACTTTGCAAAAATTACCACATGCAGGTTCCACCCCAACCAATTAAATCCAAATCTCTGAGGGTTACGACCCAGGCATCGATAAACTTCTTAGAGCTTCCCAGATGACTCCAATGCACAACTACTGGATTGCCATATCTACCTGCTAGCAGATGTATGTCTTCCAGCCCATTTTGCCTGTTACTGTTCTCTGGTCTCCTTGGAATCCTGCTTTCATAGTATTACTCTCTTGCTCAAGAACCTATAATGGCTCACTACTACCCCCATTAATCCCAGATAATGGCTCACTGCTACCCCCATTAATCCCAGATAATGGCTCGCTACTACCCCCATTAATCCCAGATTCCCTTGCCTCATCCACTAAGCTATATTTGAGCCCTTTCTTACGTATGTTCTACAATACCCTTAAACTGTTTTTTCTGTCTAGCACTTGATTTGCCTTTTATTACCCTCTTCTATATTGTTACTCCTCTCCCTACTCCCACTTCCAGGTACATACCCAGAATGTGACTTATTTTCCACCTATCCAAATGCTTCTCATTCTTCAACACCCAGCTCAAATCCCACTTCTGTAAACACTTTATTCTCCACTCTAGTCTACCCCTTATTATCTGTATGATTATTTTGGTATACCATTAGTACCTTGTAAGATTTTTCGTATTTTTTTCATAAACTACTTTTGTAATTTTGTATTCAGTTTTTGAGTGGGTAATGTGCACATGGTACAGATTTTAAATTTACAAAAATACCCTCCCATCCAATTCTATCCCCAGCATCCAGTTTTCCTCCTTGGAAGCAACCACTTTTACAACTTTCTGTGTTCTTCCCAGTATATTCTATGCCTCTCTTAGAGAGAGAGAGAGAGAATACACAAACACAAGGAGAATACACGGATATACACCCGCAAATGTTGGCATACAACATGAAATCCTTTGCCCCTTTGACTTCTCTTTACTTAACATTATGACTTTTTTTAGTTGTGCTAAAACAAAAAATAAACAACACCTAACATGAAATCTGCCCTCTTAACAAACTTGTAAGTGTACGATATAGTGTTGTTAATTATATGCACATTGTATAGTAGATACCTAAAACTTTTTCATCCGGCATGACTAAAACTCTGTGCCTAATTGAACAGCAACTCCCTATTTCCCTGTTCCTGCAGTCCCTGGCAACTGCCATTTTACTTTTTGCTTCTATGAGTTTGACTGCTCTCGCCATCTTGTACCAAGGAATCATGTAGTATTTTGTCCTTTTGTGACTGGCTTGTTTCACTTAGCATATTGTCCTCAAGTATTATGCATATTGCAGCACATGGAAGAATTTTCTTCATTCTTTAAGGCTGAATAATATTCCATTGTATGTGTATACCACAATTTCTTTATCCATGAATCTGCCAATAGACATTTAGGTTGTTTTCACCTCTTGGCTATTGTGGATAATGCAGCAACAAACATGGGAGTGCAAATATCTCTTCCAAGATTCTGTTTTCAATCATTTTGTTTAAATATCCAGAAGTGAGATTGCTGTATCATATGGTAGTTCTATTTTAAATTTTTTGAAGAATCTCTATACTGGTTTCCTTAATGGTTGCACTATTTTATGTTTCTATCAGCAGTGCACGAGGGTTCCAATTTCTCCATATCCTTGCCAGCATTTGTTTTTTGTTATTTTGATAATGATCATCCTAACAGGTGTGAGGCAATATCTCATTGTGGTTTTGTTTTGCATTTCCCTGATAAGTAGTGATGTTGAGCATCTTCATATAATGTCTGGTCGTTTGTATGTCTTTGGGGAAATTTCTTTCATGTCCTTTGCCCATTTTAAAATTTAATTTTTTTGTTACTGAGTTGTTGTAGTTCCTTCTATATTTTGTATATTAACCCCTTATCAGATATGCGGTTTGCAAATATTTTCTCTCTCCTTAAGATTTTTATTCTGTTGATTATTTCTTTTGCTGTGCAGAATCTCTTCTGTTGGATGTTGTCCCACTTGTCTATTTTTGATTTAGCATTATGTTTTGGAGATTATTTTGTATCAGTATACACAAAACTCCCTAAATATTTTAACAGCTGCATAGTATTCTGTTAATGCATAGACCATAATTTAATTAGCTAGTTTCCTATCAATGCATATTGAGGGATTTTTTATTTTCAAATGTTGCAATTTTATATAATGCTTCAAATGTTATCTTTGTATACATATGTCATTTAGCACATATATTAATATATCTGTAGTATATATTTCTATCCATTTAACTGGAATTCTGGGTCAAAGGGCATGTGCATTTTTAATTTTGGTAGGTATTACTACATTGACCTTCATTAAAGATTTTATTGGCTGGGCACAGTGGCTCATGCCTGTAATCACAGTACTTTGGGAGGCTGAGGTGAGTGGATCACTCGAGCCCAGAAATTCAAGACCAGCCTGGGCAACATGGCAAATCCCTCTCTCTACAAAAAATACAAAAATTAGCCAGGTGTGGTGGCGTGTGGCCATAGTCCGAGCTACTTGCGAGGCTGAGGTGGGAGGATTACATGATCCCAGGGAGGTTGAGGCTGCAGTGAGTTGTGATTGCTCTACTGCACTGTAGCCTGGGTGACAGAGTAAAATCCTGTCTCAAAAAAAAAAAAAGGAAAAAAGAAGATATACTGATTTATATTCACAACAACTATGTAGGAATTACCCTTTCAATTTTGTGTTGTTATTTAGCTTTTCACATTTAAATACTTTACCTCTCTGACTCCGTTGTAATTAACCCAAAGACAGGAACTATGACATTACATATTAGCATCTCTCACAGTAGTTGGTGCTCAGTAAATATTTGTTAAATCTTGTGTATTTAGGGAGTTTTCCCATGAGTGGCGTTTCTGATGAGTCCCATGTGAGAATTGTCCCCTTTGCATGTTTGCTGTTTCCAGGAAAGGGTGTGATTGTGTGTGATATTCTTAGGCGAGATGCTTAGTCTATTTTGTGTTGCTGGAGCCTGGGAAATCCAATATCAAGGTACCAACACGTTTGGTGTCTGGTGAGGGCCTTGTCTCCACTCCCAAGATGGCCTTTGAATGTTCCACCCTCTGGAGGGGAGGAATACTGTTCCTCAAATGACACATAAGTGAAAAGAGAAAGCCCGCTTCCAAAGGCACTTTTATTTTATTTTATTTTTATTATTTTTATTTTTAATCTTTGTGAGTACATAGTAGGTGTATATATTTATGGAGTACATGACATGTTTCGATACAGACATGCAATGTGAAACAGTCACACCATGGAGAATGGGGTATCCATCCCCTCAAGCATTTATCCTTTGTGTTACAAACAATCCAATTATACTTAGTTATTTTTAAATGTGCGATTAAGTAATTATTGACTATAGTCATCCTGTTATGCTATCAAATAGTAGGTCTTACTCATATTTTCTATTTTTTTGTGCTCATTTACCATTTTCACCCTGCCCCTACTACCCCACAACCCTTGTCAGCCTCTGGTAACCATCCTTCTGCTCTGTATGTCCATGAATTCAACTGTTTTGATTTTTAGATCCCACAGATAAGTGAGAACATTTGATGTTTGTCTTTCTGTGTCTGGTTTATTTCACTTAACATAATGGTCTCCAGTTCCATCCATGTTGTTGCAAATGAAAAGATCTCATTGTTTTTATGGCTGAATAGCACTCCATTGTGTATATGTTCCACATTTTCTTTATTCATTCATCTGTTGATGGACACTTAGGTTACTTCCAAATCTTGGCTATTATGAACAGTACTGCAACAAACATGGGAGTGCAGATAGCTCTTCAGTATACCTATTTTCTTTCTTTTGGGTATACACTCAGCAGTGGGATTGCTGGACCATATGGTAGCTCTATTTTTAGTTTTTTGAGGAACCTCCAAACTGTTCTCTACAGTGGTTGTACTAATTTACATCCCCCCCAACAGTGCATAAAGGTCCCCTTTCCCCTTTTCTCCACATCCTCTCCGGCATTTATTATTATCTGTATTTTTTATAAAAGCCATTTTTATTGGGGTGAGATGATATGGCAATTTTGATTTGCATTTCTCTGATGATCAGTGATGTTGAGCACCTTTTCATATGTCTGTTAGCCATTTGTTTGTCCTCTTTTGAGAAATGTCTATTCAAATATTTTGCCCATTTTTTGATTGGATTATTATATTTTTTCCAATGGAGTTGTTTGAGTTCCTCATATATTCTGATTCTTAATCCCACTTCAGATGGGTAGTTTGCAGATATTTTCTTCTGAAAGCACTTTTATTATGATATTAAACCTACTGAGGAAGGTGGAGCCCTCATGGCCTAATCACCTCTTAAAGGCTCCATCTCCCAATACCATTACATTGGCAATTAAATTTCAACGTGAGTTTTGGGGGGAACAAACATTTAACCCATAGCAGACACCATTCATTTATATTTTTCTTCCAGGATCCTGTATTATCATTAACTCAGAAAGGCCAACTAATCCTTGGATCTATTATCAAATTTGGTTTGTTTGAATAATTAAGTATAAATTAGCTAAATGGAAAGGCTCTCCTCTGTAAGTTCTTTACCATCTTTTTATGATGAAAAATTTTAAACATGAATGCAAGTTGAAATAATATGCCCATATACCTACCACTGAAACTTAGCATTTGGTCGTATTTATTTTGTGACTCACATATAAATTATATTTATATGTAAATATACAGTTAACTTTAGAACAACATGGGTTTTCTAACTGTGTGGGTCCACTTATATGGGGATTTTTTTCTGCCTCTGCCACCCCGAGAAGGCAAGACCAACCCCTCCCCTGCCTTCTTCTCAGCCTCCTCAACATGAAGACAATGAGAATGAAGACCTTTATGATGATCCAGTTTCACTTAATAGTAAATATGTTTTCTCTTTCTTATGATTTTCTTAATGACATTTTTGTTTCTCTAGCTTACTTTATTGTAAGAAAATAGTATATAATACAAATAACATACAAAATGTGTGTTAATCAACTGTTATTGGTAGGGCTTACAGTCAACAGTAGGCTATTAGCAGTTAAGTTTTGGTGGGAGAGTCAAAAATTGTACACAGATTTTCAACTGTGTGGTGGGTGGGCACCTCTGACCCCCACATTGTTCAAAGGTCAACTGTAAATACATTTATATTTGCTGAATAATTTGCAAAGTAAGTTACTGACATTCCATGAAGCAGTAAGTAAAGTTGAAAATTATTTTTTGTAAAAGTCACCATCTACCTTAGCTCAGGCTACTATAACAAAATACCATAGATTGGATGGCTTAACAGAAATTTATTTCTCATAGCTCTGGAAGCTGGGAAGTCCAAGAACATGGTGCTGGCTAGAATTATTTTGGTCCTGGTGAGGGCCTCTTCCTGGCTTGCAAATGGCTGCCTTCTTGTGTCCTCACATGGTGGAGAAAGAGTGATCTCTGTTCCTCTTCCTATAAAGCCACTAATCCCATTATGAGGGTCTCACCCTCATCACTTAATCTAACCCTGATTATCTCCCAAAGACCCCATCTTGAAATACTTGTGGGTTAGGGCCTCAATATGAATTGAGGGGTTGGAGGAGACACAATTCTGTCCACAGAACTTTCTGTGAACAAGCCTATTATTCCCTCCCTCCCTCCCTCCCTCCCTCCCTCCCTTCCTTCCTTCCTTCTCTTTCTTTTCTTTCTTTCTTCTTTCACAAATGTTGTCCCTTTCTCCAAAAGGATAAGAAGCTGCTTGATGCAGCTGTCACCAGAACTTCTCTTAGTAAGGGAAATATCCTTAATGTCTTTTTTTTTTTGGTGGTGGTGGGGAATATCTTGATAAGTCATTTAGGTATGAACGGTGAATTCTTATACAGTGGCACAGCAATGTGAGTTTACTAAATGCCTGTGAATTGTATACTTTAAAGAGGGTCATTTTATGTTATGTGAATTTCACCTCAATCAAAAAAAATGTGACCCTATGAAAATGGTTGGCAAGAGGAGAGGAAGTGAGAGAGATAGCTAAACCACTCTGCATAAAAGAGAAAATGTGAATTTGGGAACTGGAGAAAAGCAAAGGGAAAGAGGCAGAGAGTGCTAACCCAGTGGTGGGAGTCTAGAGGAAAAGTGGCTGACGGGCATTTTAAGAACAGAAGCGTTTAATATTCAGTTTTAATTTGCCTGTCTCTGTCTCCTGAAACTAATAAAGTCAGTAGACACAAAAATACCTTGTGTGAACAGAATTGTGCATGTAAACCCTTCTTTAGACTCACATGGGACAGAACACATACAGCCTTATGCTATCCAGGTGATCCAGAAACCTCAAAAAGTGAAATTCAAAGGCAGAGATGGCCAAGAAAAAATGTAAGCCACTTGCTTCCTCCCAGAGTCCGTGGGCACATCAGGAGGGTTGTGGGACGATCCTCATATGAGGGATGTGATTGAACCAACTTTTCCTAATTCTCAAAGTGTATTGAACTTTCCTTGACATCTCATTGGCAATATATTGTCATTTCATTGCTTTAAGGGCTCATTATTTACTAGTCATCAATTGTACCTGTAGGGGAATGCCTCTTTTTAGAGACAAGAGACCAGACCTCCACAGAGGTAGATCTTGGAGATTGGAGCAGTTCTAGAATTTCTAACATTTCCCCTTACGGTCATCTTGCTAGGTTCTCTGTAACAAAGCCTGGTAGTTCAGAAATCAGGCTCCAAGAACGTGCCATAGATCAACCTGTTTGTGTGTGTGTGTGTGTGTGTGTGTGTGTGTGTGTGTGTGTGTGTGTGTGTGTGTATGTATTTGGGATCAGAGCCACTCAACTTCCTTTTTTTTTGAAACGGAGTTTCACTTTTTTTGCCCAGACTGGAGTGCAATGCTGTGATCTCGGCTCACTGTAACCTCCACCTCCCAGGTTCAAGCAATTCTCCTGCCTCAGCCTCCCAAGTAGCTGGGATTACAGGCATGAGCCACCACACCCAGCTAATTTTGTATTTTTAGTAGAGACGAGGTTTCTCCATGTTCATCAGGCTGGTCTTGAACTCCCGACCTCAGGTGATCTGCCCGTCTTGGCCTCCCAAAGTGCTGGGATTGCAGGCATGAGCCACCACACCCGGCCTTCAACTCAACTTCTACTTAGATGGTGGCAGTAGGAATCAGAGGGAGTGGGGCCCCTAGGGAAGAGCACTCCCATGGAAAAAGAGTAGAAACAAATTTTATAATTCCCTGGTTTTCTTACCCAGTTCTCCAACCTGCTAAAATCTGAAAAAGTTTCATACTTTAAATGAATGGAAGATCATTAGTCTCATAAAATAATATGACACTACTGAGCTGGCACTTCGGTGTATAGACCAGGTTCTATGCCAAGCACATTCTCATGTAATCTGAGGTAAGCACAGTTATATTCCCCATTTAATAGATTAGAAATTAAAGTTTAGAGAGACTGTAAGGTTAAATGACTTGTTCAAGGTTATACATCCTTAAGATGCCATCCTAAGAATAGAAACTGAAGTTTGACTATAAAGGCTGTGTGCTTAATTACCATGTAAATAAAGTGTATCCAACTGTTGGAGTTTTTTTCTACAAAAAGGTTCTGCTCATAGCAGATACATAGTCAATATTGACTGTGTTGAAGGCTGCTTTATTCATTTAAAATGTGGCACCTAAATCTGTTCTGTTACATCAGCCAGACAGTATTTTGGCCGGCCTTGTGTCCTCTTGAGTCATGGTTCATTGCCACAGCACTGTTGTTTCTCCTTTGTTAAGTATTTCAGAGGAAATTCTGGACAAAGGAAAGGTATATGGGTCTTCAAGTAGAGCAGGGATGTGTTCCAGTAGTTGTCAACTAGACTGAGAAAACTTGGATGTCTTACGAAACAATGTCAGAAATCCATTTCTGTGTTCTGTGACTTTCTACAAACACAATTTTTAAAAATCCAAATATAGCTTAGACCATCAGTAGTCTAATTCAGTGTTTCCCAGATTTGAGATTTCTTTTGGAACTTTAGAACGTCAAAATGAATCTTGGGACATTGATAAGATTGCAGACTTTTTATTTTATAAATTGATTAAGGATATTAAACTTGCCACTTTCAATATAAAAAATTAAGGAAGGTTATAACCTTTGTGAAAAACTTGCTACATAGTTATTTATCTCATCAAAGACCAGTGAAAACTTTCTCATAGACCAACACTTGGAAACTATCAGTCTAAATAACCAGTCTATATTCAAAAATTCAGTAAAGATTTCTTCACTTCTAATGCTCATTGACTTCAGTTATCTTATAGGTGGAAAGAAGTAGATACAAAAACAGATCTTGATTACAAAATTCGTTGATGACCTAGTTGACTCTTTCCCCAGTCATTACTAATCCTAACCTTTGGGAGCGAAAAATATCTAAATAAGTTCTGGTTTACAAATTTGCAAAATTTTTGTCAACACTTCAGAATTCAGAAAAAAACACAGGACATTTTTACTATATAACTTCCTAAGTTTATATGATATATCAAAAGTCAGTAAGGATTATACCATAATAATATTTACATTTCACAGGGAAGCAAAATACTTGGAGCCTCTCCTTGTCTTTGTCTAAAGATTTGTCATTCATTTGCATTCAAATAAATTCTTTGCTTTCATTCATCCAGAATGGTTCTCAATTTATTAGCTCATGAGACTACATAAATAGACTTGTATTCATACATTTTAATTTCAGTGTAAAATGGCTTTCCTCAATTTTTTTTTCTACTCAACTCTCCCAAAAGATGTCTAATCACTCCCACACTCAGTTACTTAAACATTTCATAATGTTGTTACTTCTATAGTAAAACAAAAAGTAATTTGCTTTTAATAAATCAGAGAGCCCTACTGTAGCAATCTAGAACTTTATTCTGGCGAGAGCAAATTCTCAAATTATATTTCCAGCCTCATTTGTGAATAGCTGATTTTCCCTGTCACAAAGCATTGTTAGGTAGGTACAGTATTTTTCTTTAGTTGGTAAACTACTGGAACTTACAATCCAATGGAGGTGACCTCTATACAATACCTGGGACGGTAATACCCTGAAGCGCAGGGTGTGGCTATTGCATGTGCCACATGCACATGAGGCCATCTGTGCGTGCTTGTTGAAAGAATGACATATCTTGGTGAGTAATATGAACATTAAAAGCTCTGCTGGATAAGCTCATAGAGGTGGGGTTCACTGCCTTCTGGGTGAGTGGGGAAGACTTTGTGAAGAAAGCAACAACTGAAGTAAAATTGAAGGATAACCAAAGTAGAAATGAGAATGAAAGGAAGATACTCCTGTTTGGAAAGAAAATACTAACAATATGTACAGGAAAATACAAGGTATACTTTGGAGATGACAAGTAAAAATTTTGCCAGGAGCACAGATGTAATAGCAATTTGAGAAGTAAAGCTGAAGGGTAGGATCCTGATGTAGAGAATGCTGGACCCAGGCTGAGCTTGGACTTTACATCAAGTAGAAGTGGTAGAGAAAGATTAATTGCCTCTCTGCATTGGACTAGTGCCATCGTCTTCCAAAAGCTAAAAAGAAGCACTTTAGGCCTTCAAGGGCTAGTTATCTAAAAACCACACTTGATTTGTTCTTAAGTCTCAGCTCCTGGGCATATGAGGAACTTTTTCTGGAGTTTTGGAAAATTCCTCATGCCCTCAGATCCTATTAAGACCTCTGGCATCTTTTTTTTTTTAATTATTTAATTTATTTATTTTTATTTTTTATTTTATTTATTTATTTATTTATTTATTTTGAGACAGGGTCTCATTCTGTCGCACAGGTTGGCGTGCAGTGGTGTGATCTCAGCTCATTGCAACCTCTGCCTCCCGGACTCAAGCAATCCTCCCACCTCAGCCTCCAGAGTAGCTGAGACTACAGGTATGCGCCACCATGCCCAGCTAATTTTTGTACTTTTTGTAGAGACAGGGTTTCACCATGTTGCCCAGGCTAGTCTCGAACTCCTGAGCTCAAGCAATCCGCCCACTTTGGCCTCCCAAAATTCTGGGATTACAGGCGTGAGCCACCGAGCCAGGTCAAGACCTCTGGCATCTTAAGAGACTTCCTATGAGTTCCTGCCTCCAAACTTTTTTTTTTTTTTTTTTTTTTGAGACAGAGTCTCGCTCTGTCGCCCAGGCTGGAGTGCAGTGGCGGGTATTGGCTTACTGCAACCTCTGCCTCCCGGGTTCAAGCGATTCTCCTGCCTCCACCTCCTGAGTAGCTGGGATTACAGGCACACACTACTACACCTAGCTAATTTTTCTATTTTTATTAGAGGCGGGGTTTCACCATGTTGGTCAGGCTGGTCTCGAACTTCTGACCTCTGGTGATCTACCCACCTCAGCCTCCCAGAGTGCTGGGATTACAGGTGTGAGCCACTGTGCCCGGCCTCCTGCCTCCAAACTTTTGCACAAACCATTCATGTTGTTTTTCTCTTTCCCCTCCAAAGCGTTTCTTCTCCCTCAAAACCTGTTTCCACACTCAACCTCCTCTAGAAGGACTTACCTGACTATGACTTAATGTAACTGCTCCATTACTCAGGAAACCTATGCTCAACATCTTGATGCTACATTTAATTTCTCTAAATGATAAAATATACAAATTCTTGTATATTTGTATGTCTAACCACCCTGCGACAGCCTTTAGGAAAGGTTCCACATCTGCCAACTCCTTTGTATCCTCCATCCAGAACCTGCCTCCCATCCCTACTTTACCCATCCACCTCAGAGACTTCATGGTACAGTGCAGTATACTTGGTGAGTGTTGATGGTTTAAGAGTGTGCCCTGAACAACGAAGGATTTCTTTGAGGCTGAAATCCTGTGGGATCCATGGAATGGGAGTTTCACCTGTCTTTGGCTTCTGCTCCTTTCCCCAGCATGTGTAGAGCTTCTAGAACAGTCCCCAGCAAGAGAGGATCACTTGGTACACCTCTTTCTTATCCTCACTGTCTCCAGTCTCTGCTGTAGGCCTGCTAGTGATGATCAGGATACAGGTTTTAACATGGCCAAGCTGTTAATAACCTGAGATTGGGCACCATGAACAATAAGCATTAAAAGGCAATAACAACAACAACAACATAACCTGTTAATTTTATGCAGGCTTAATTTTTTAAAGAACTATTTCTTCCTAACTTGCTTTTACTCTTCTTCATCTACTTTCTCATACCTATGACTGACAATGATAAGGACACCCACCCACTATACACACCTAATTCCATCCCTCCAAATTTGATTTCGTGTTCTCTAGAGCTGGCGTGTTATGTGACCTATTGTGGGGAGAGGCTCAGCTGAGGGACTCTGTGATGCCAAATGGACAAAGGCACACTTTTTTCTCCAGGTCCCAGCCTGGTGAAAGTCATAGCACCTGAGAATTTGGAGCTGACTCTCTCCTTTGGAAATTGTGCCTTCCAAAAATATATCTTACACTGCCTGTACCTGCATGCAATAGGTTTTGGTTCTTACCAACTGCAGCTTCAGTCTGAACTTGAGTTCTACCCTCATGGATGCAAATCAAAACAGCTCAGAATCAAGTCTGGGAAGCAAGTCGAAGTGGTTTGATTTGCATGGGGAGCTTTTGTCTCTGCATGAAGGCAGCCAAATTCCCTAGGCTCCCCAGCCCTCCGGAAATATGCTTTACAGGACCCGGGGGCCCAGGCCCAGTCGGGTGGGTGTGATTTGAATGTTCTCTGCTACAGCTGCTGCACCGGGCCCTGGTCACTGCTGTTGGTTTCGCTCCATTTTACTGCCTCAGAATCCCCCTGTGCATGTTAGTGGTTAATACAGCAGCCAGGAGACGCCAGACAGCTCTCGGCACCTGGTTCAAATTTAAGGCTCATTTACACATGATGTCACACACGCATTGTCAGCGCGAGGGAGGTCAGGATGGTTCATTTTGGGAAGGTTCACATTGTTGAGTCTTTACAACACTCACTGCTATTAATGCTTTAACCATCTGACTTGGATTTCGGTTTTCTGGCATGAGGTAATCCCAGGCACTAGATTTATATGCTGAATGGGAAGCCAGCAATGGTGGCTAATCATGCTGGTTTGCAGATCTGCACCTCTGGAGCCTTGGGATGGAATTAGAGGGCCACATGGCAAGTAGCAAATCATAGGCGTTTTGAGCAGGAGAGGAATTAGCCAGACCTGGAAGCAGGGGCCATAGATGGGGTGTTGTCTGAGCCAGGAAGTTTGATTGAAGAATGGAAACCAAGGTAAATTGGACAAGGATCTGGGCCCAGAGACCACAGGAATTATTCTACTTTGACCAGTGCTTTGGGTCATTGCTTGAACTGTCCTTTTGCTCATCACTCATAGAAATCCCAGACCCATCTTCCCAGGTCCAGCGTAAGTCTTTCATGTTCCATGAAGCCTTTCCTGACCACCCATCCCACAGCAGGGGCTGAGGTGGTTAGATCACCAGAGGTCAGAAGTTCGAGACCAGCCTGACCAACATGGTGAAACCCCATCTCTAATAAAAATACAAAAATTAGCTAGGCGTAGTAGTGTGTGCCTGTAATCCCAGCTACTCAGGAGGTGGAGGCAGGAGAATCGCTTGAACCCGGGAGGCAGAGGTTGCAGTAAGCCAATACCCGCCACTGCACTCCAGCCTGGGCGACAGAGCGAGACTCTGTCTCAAAAAAAAATTTCTCTCCTGAATCCCTAAGTACTTTTGTTACTGAGTACTTAATTTGTGCGACTAGCTCATTTTACCCTCACAATTCCAAAGGGAAGGCTTTATTATTTCTCTTTTACAGATGACAAGACAGGTTCAGAGAGGTTAAATAATGTATCCAGTGTCAAACTTTTAAAAGTCAGGATGGAATCCTGATTCCAAGCTTAGGTTCTGAACCACTGGGGTAGGCTGTGTAGTACTACATTTTCTGTGGAACGTGGTATCGGTAACATGGGAGAGACAGGCTGTGCCTCAGGAAGATGCCACATGGGAGTGCACAGCAGTGCTGTAGTGCCTCGTGTTTATGTGTAGTCCCAGGTGCCTGGCTGTAAACAACTGCAGGGCAGTGACCATCACCTCTGCTTTTCTGCATCCCCACACTTCCTAACACAGTGTCCCCCAAAGTGTGCATCAATGGATGGATGAATATTAGCACCCCCGCACCACCCTCACCTAAAACATACTGAAAAGTTTGAGATCTTTGGATAACCACCCCATCCCCTGCTGTTGTCTTCTGTCATACGGCTGAAATCGTAAAACTGGTCTGCCTGTCACAGCTCCAGTGAGCCTACTTACTCACTGGAAATTCAGAGAATGTCTTTAGTCCTGTTGACTGCTTTGATTTTGTTTTTTAACTTGTACCAAGACCTGTTGCCATGATGGGTCTCTGCAAATGGGCTTTCTTGTTCCATGAGTCTCTGTTTTAGTCAAGTGAAGGGCACACTCCTTTTCATTGGCCACCTCTTACTTTTCCTCCAAGAGGAGTACTCACTCCCAGAACCCTTTGCTGGGCTCTCATGCCGAGCTTAGGTGCCCCTTCAGTGTGCTTCTGCAGCACTCATTACCCCGTAGTAGCATTGTAGTTTAATTCCTGTTTGCTTGACTGAAGCAGAGACTCACCTGCAGACGCCTGTAGGTGCCTTCCACGTTGCTCAGATGAACAGTAGAGAAGGGTCAGGCCTGCCCTAGGTTTCTACCCCTCTCCTCAAGGCCCTTTCTAGTCACCACGCCACATCCTGCTCATGACTGCAGGGATCATGCCTCTGGGCCTCTGTCCATGCAGCTGCCTCTGCCTGCACTCCAGGACAGGGGCCTTCTCTGCTGTCCACTGGAGCCCTGTGGAAGGGACTCCTGACCCTAGCCTTAGGGAAGTCATCTCTAAAGGCTGTTTTATTACAGTGTTTCCTCAGAATGACCCTATAGACACAGTGTTTTCTCAGTGTCCTCTCACCTTTGAACATATCCGGGAATAATTGAAAAAACCAGGCAATCAAATGTGCCTCTCATAAATCACCATCACTTCAGAGCAGAACTTAAGAGTTTGGTTTGCAAGCCACACCAAATAGTTTGAGCTTGGCCCTCTACCATTTCCTCCTGCTCTGAGCCCAGAGGTTCACCTAGTGGACTGTAGCAATGGATTCCCTTGCCCCTGGCTTCCTGTTGGGTTCAGCCAGAGAGCAGCACCAGTGGGAGCCTACAGAGGGAGGAAAGTGAGGTCAAGGTGTCTGCTGCCTCCTCCCTGCCTGCCAGGCCACTGTGGGTAGACTACACCTCAGGTGGCCCTCCCCATGTGTAGCCATGCTTGCCAGGTTCTGGGTTCTGGAAACCTCCACCTCCTCTTGCCCCTTCAGTCATAGGGTGGTAGCCCCCTTCATTGCTATTAGCTGTTATGCACTCAATTGTGTTCCAACCCCAAATTCGTAGGTTGAGGCCCCAATCCCCAGGACCTCAGAATGCAACTGTATTTGGAGATAGGGTCTTTAAAGAAGTAATTAAATTAAAATGAGGCCATTAAGCCCTAATTCAATGTGACTGGTGTTCTTGTAAGAAAAGGAAGAGATACCATGGAGATGTGCACCCAGAGGAAAGGCCACGCAAGGACACAGCAAGAAGGCAACTGTTTACAAGCCAAGGGAAGAGGCCTCAGGAGAACCAAACGTGTCCACACCTTGATCTTGCACTTCCCAACCTCCAGAACTGTGAGCAAATAAATGATGTTGTTTAATCACCCAGTTTGTGGTATTTTGTTGTGGCAGTTCTAGCAAACTAATACAGTGGTACTTACTATTCCATGGGGATTTCCCTAAATGTTGCTTATTACAGTGTGTAAGTCCTTCTGGTAAGCTTTCCTTTTGGGAAGTCATCTGTTTCTTGTTGGGACCCTGATGGATATCCAGGCTTAGATGCCAACAGGAGGTTTTAGTGACAAAGGCAAGAAAATCTGTCACTGGAAGTGTCTCCCTGCTACCGGTGTCCCTCCCTATCATGTGAACCCACCTGGGTACCCTAGTGCTACTCCAGGGTATTTCCTTTTCTTAGAAGGTGAGTGACTTTGGACTGATCATTCCCTGTGAGCTTCAGTTTTCCTCTTCGTAAAGCATAGGTAACAAAAGCTGCCTTTTTGGGGTATTTTGAGGCAACATGTTGGATGCAGATATGAATGGACTGCGATAACCCAGTAAGGAAACAAGGTTGCTCTTCTATAGCAGTATTTGTAAACAATTTCATTGATACATACGCACAAAGCATTGAAATCTTTGAAGGCAAGAAAATGGTGATGTTTACTAGGGAAGGCAGCTCTGAGTCTAGCATAGGGGAGACTGTGCGATTTGCCCAGCAACTTTCTATGCCCTCCTCCCAAGTCCAGGAAACCTTGAAAACCACAGTGCAGCAGAGACAGAGACCCGTGTACCAACCTATTCTCAGTCAGGTTTTCATTAGCTCTTCATAAACAACCAGTCAATCAATTTCAACTTTTACTTCACAGTCTCCTGCTGTAGAGGCCCCATACATACAACCGGTGAATGGAGCATCTCTTTCCCTTCTTCCTTTTCGTTTGGGAATGAAGTCAAATCTGGAGGCCAGAGCAGCTCAGACACCTAAATAGGTACACAGTATGCAGTAAGATGAGATTCTGTTTCTGGCTCCTCATTCCTATTTCCAATAAATGAAGCTTCTCAACCATGTTATTTTCACCTGCCCAAGCTAAAACACAATCTTCACTGTCCCCATAGCTCCAAAGAGGGAAATCCTGACATAACATGGGGATGCTGCTAGAGTCTTTGCCCTCTCTGCAAGCTAGACTCGCTACTGGCCCTTCCCAGAGTGGGCCAAGAGACCAGGCTTATTCCTCAGTTGGACATCTGACCTTTCACAAAATAGAGTTCTCCCCTGGGAGGATGATGCCTCCAGGGCAATAGGAACACTTTTTTGTTAGCTTATTACTATCTCTATCCAATTCTACACCACAAGGCATTCTTGTGGGTGTGAAAAGCTATTGAGGAATGAAATGGCCCTGTGGGCTAGACAGGTGAAAAGAGAATAAAATCTCAGCATGTGAAGGTCTAGGAAGAGTGTCACTTAAACTTTTAAAAAAAAGCCAGACAAACTGCAAGTTTACTACTTTTTTTGGAGAGCTGAGGTCACAGGGCAGCCAATTAGCCTAAAAATCTAAGGACTGGAGGAGGCCTATGAAGAAGCATGGGACACAAGCCCTTGCTTACCTGGAGCAGATGTAGCCAACAGAAGAACTCAGCAGGAGTAGGTAAAGAATTGGTGGCGAATGAGTGAGGACTGGTGAGAGTATGGAGACCCTGGGGAATGCATATGTAGAGGGAGTTTGCACCTTCTTGGAGACTTTTCTCCATGGACTCCACCAGGCACTGTATCCCACCAGAAAAGACTGGCCAAAGTCCTGAGAAAGAATCCCTCACAGTGCAGGTATGGGGGAAAGGGAAAATAGCCACTGCAAAGGGGCATGAACCCCACCCTTTCTCCTTTCTAGAAAAAAAGCCTTAATCTACAGGAGAAAGGGAAAAATACTGTTTCCTTTAGTCTACTGGCAAAACTTAGGGAAGAACAGAACAAAATACCTCTCTGTCCCAAGGAAGGGGCAGGAATACAGAAACAAGAACTAAGAATGTATTGCCAATAAATGTACTTGAGAAGAAATGTTAAAGAAGTTCTTCAGGTAGGAGAAATGTGAAACAAGATAGAAATGCGTAACTAAAGACACAAAAATATGAAGAGCGCTGGAAATTGATTAAATGAAGGTAAACTAAGATACATGTAAAATGTTTAAATGATCCTAAAAGATAAATGACTGTCAAGAGTAAACATAGTAGCAATGTATTATGTGTGTATAGGATAGGTAAAAGTAAAATGTATCGTAACAATGATACAAAGGTTGGGAGGGAGGAATTGAGGAGAAATTATTTTAAGATCCTTACATTATGAATGAAGCAGTATATTATTTGAAGGTAAACTCTGATCAATTAAAGATGTATTGTGTAAATGCTAGGACAACAACTAAAAAATTTCTCAACTATAAATCAAATAATGGAGATAAAATGCAATCATAAAAAAGTGTTCATAAGAGTAGAAGTCAATGAAATTGAAAAACAGAAAAACAATAAAGTCAATAAAACCAAAACCTATTTCTTATAAAATATCAATAAAATTGATAAGCCTTTAGCCAGACTGACAAAAAATAGAGGAGATACAAATTACCAATATCAGGAATGAAAGAGGGAAACTACTACAGATCCCATAGACAATAACAAGATAATAAGGGAATGCTATAAACAACTCTATGACCATACATTGGACAACACAGATGAATGAATTAATTTCTTAAAAGATACAAATGATCAAAACTCACCCCAGAAGAAATATACAATTTTAATAGTGATATATATTAAAGAAATTGAATTGTACTTATAAGCCTCTGAAATATTCAACAGTTAACAAACAAGAATAGGTCTAGATATTTCAATGGAAAATTCTACCAGACATTTAAAGAGGAACTATCACTAATTATATACGATATATTCTAGAAAATAAAAGAGGGGGTAACATCTCAATTCATTTTATGAAGCCAGCATTACCCTGATATCAAGGCAGATAAAGACAGTTTCGAAACCTATAGACCAGTATCTCTCATGAGCATTGATGCAGAAATACTCAACAAAATATTAGAAATTATGAAAAGAAGAATACAACATGAACAAATGGGTTATGCTGGGAAAGCAAGTTTGATTTTTTAAATTAATTTTTAAATAATAAAATAATTATTCCATTATATTAACAGCGTAAAGAAGAAAAGCTGCATGATTATATTAATTTATGCAGAAAAGGCATTTGACAAAAGTCAGCATTCATTCATGATAGTTATTCTCAGCAAAATAGGAATTGGAAATTTCCTCAAGCTGATAAAGGGCATCTAAAAAAATGAAAACAAAAAACAACCCTACAGCTAATATTATACCTAATGCTGAAAGACTGAATGTTTTCTCCTAATATTAGGAGATAAGAATATCCTCTCATACCACTCCTGTTCAACATTTTACTGAAAGGCCTAGCCAGTGCAATAAGGCAATAAAAAGAAATATAGAACATACAGATTGGAAATGAAAAAAATGAAATAGTCCCTACTCACTGACAATAGGATTGTTTATGTAAAAAAAAAAAAAAATCCCAAACCATCACCAAAAAACCCGACCTAATTAATATGTGAATTCTTAATCATGACATGTTATGAATGTCCAGTTTTCCATGTGTGTGTGTTTGTGTGTGTGTTTGTGTTTGTGTGTGTATTTATGGAGTTATCATTCTTGCTTTCTGACTATCCAGCATTCAAACATTATCAGTATTGGAGGAGAATCTCAAAATATATGTCTTTACCAGCAAGCTAAAGGGACCAGATAGATATTTCTTCTCTCTATTTCATGGGAGGTATAACTATATGACTGAGTCTTGACCGATCAGGTGCTCCCATGCTGGGCTCAAATTTCAAGGAAGTAATGAAATTATACAGGTGGCTGTTGGAGATTTCTCATGAGGACAGCTGAATCAGGAGTCCCTCAATGCAGAGGTTTGTGTCCGGGGATGGTGGGATTTTGTTTATAACACTACCAGGCTGGACCATGATATGAGCTGGCTGTGTTCTTGGTTGCCTCACCACCCTTTGTTCCTGCCCTGTTGCCGACCCTAGTTCACCAGCCTTATTGTTGAGTCTATAAGCTACCTTCTAATAAGGCTATTTTCTACCTGATATCCAGAGTTTATTCCTTCTGTTGTTATCAACAATGTGTGTGTGTGTGTGCATGCGCGCATGTGTGTGTGTGTGTATGTATTAAAAAATGGGAATGGCATTATACTGCTTATATTGTCCTGTTACTTTATTACTTAAACATATATACTGTCAACATTTTTCCATGTCCATGATGTTGCTCTATTTAATCATTTTAATTATTGCCTGGCATTAACTTATAGGGATTTATTGTAATCTGTTTAACCAATCTCCCATGACTGGACATTTAGGTTGCTTCTAACATTTATTTATAATAAACAACACTGCTATGCATATCTATACATATAAATCTTTTGGATTTTAACTAATTATTTCCTTAAAGTTCTAGATGTAGAATTGCTATATCAAAGGGTAGGTACGTTTTTCAGGTTTTTGATTCATACTGCCAAATTTCTTAACCTCTCCCTCAAAAAACTTGTGACAATTTATACTACCATCAGTCATATGCCTTTATGACAATGTTGATTTCCAGGCATACTACCAACTTAGATTATTATCTTTGTGAAATTTTTGAGTTATTACTTATGTTCAGTGACTTTGTAAATATTTGTTAGCTGTTTGTGATTATTGCTTTGTGAGTGACTGCTATTGTCTTTTGTTCATAATTCTTTTGAGGGAAAGGAACATACTTTTTATTTAATTTATAAGAGCTCATAATTTTATTTATATTTATATATATAAGTATATATATATATATGTGTGTATATATATATATGTGTGTGTGTATGTATATATATATATATATATATATATATATATATGTGTGTGTGTGTGTGTATATATATATAATTTTTTTTTTGAGATGGAGTCTCTGTCTGTCACCCAGGCTGGAGTGCAGTGGCATGATCTCAGCTCATTGCAACCTCCACCTCCCAGGTTCAAATGATTCTCCTTTTATATTAAGGCATCTATCTGTCTAACATCTGTGGATCTATACATCATATATATTAAGGTATAATGGCCATGTATATTGCTATTTTCCCCCAATTTTTATTTGTGTTTTTGCTTTGTTTATTCTATTCTGAATTTTTTCCCCATTTGTATATAGTCTATTAAACAATGCTTTATAGTTTCTGTCTTTGGTTGATACTTCAAAATAACTTTCCCGTCCCAAAATGGTAACAGTATTTACATTTTTTACTGGTACTCTTATGTGTTTTTTTTTAATAAAATAATCATATAGAACTAATTTTGTTTTAAGGTACGAGGTACTAGCTAACATTTTCTTCAGAGTTACTAAATTCTTAAGTATGTTTGAATTTGTGAACTCTGTATTTCTGAACTTTTCTTAATGTCTCCTTAATCTATGCTAGGGCTAAATTACTCAATTAATTAAACAATTTCAAGATTTCAGAAGTTTTAATATTTAATGAGAAGTCTTCAGCCTTGGGGTAGAATGTTGTTGCTTGTTACTTAGTGCTGGGGAGTCAGGGGTGCGCTTGATCCTAGTACACTCTCAGGCTTTGGCAGGCCCTGTATGCCTGGATCTTAGGAGTAAGGCTTTCTCAGAAATCCTGCCCCTCCTCCTCCTCCTCCTGTGGCAGCTGAACCCTGCCTTGTGTCATGTGCAGGAGAGAATGTCTGGATCTGGGGCTCAGGACTGTTTCTTGCCCGTTCCCCAGGGATCAAGGGTGTTTTGGCTTTCCCCTTCCCCAAGCTGCAGTAGGTCTTCACCTGTGCCCTGACTGCAACAGGCTGTACTGTCCCTCCCCAGTGGCTTAGGTGGGAGGAGGGTGTGGCTGTAGCCTTATGCCTTTCCTTCAGCAATGTTGCCCCTCTTTCCTGGGCCTGCACTGTGCAGGGAGGCTTCTTTGCTCTCCCACCCTGCCTTCAGTCCTTTCTCAATCAGTAGGTGGAAGGGAGTGGAGAAGAGCCTGCAAGTGGGCACCAATTCCTCTTGTGTCTGCAGCCCCCAGGGGTGCTACACTCATGCTAGTCTGCTTCTGGCCTTTAGTAATTTGTTAAAAGCTTTAGATGAATTCTTTTTATGTTTTTGTATGGCACCCAGTGTTTCTTCCCATACTCAGCCACATCTCTTCTTGGGGACGCAGCCTTTCCTTAGATTTCAGGCTTTTGGGTTCCGTGTGATCTCAGCTTTCTGGTGGACTCAAGAAAAGGTATGGGTTTTTGGTCATCTGACTTTATTGTTGTTGTTAGGGTGGGAGAGACACTATTTTAAGCTTTCTTTATAGTAAGCAGGAGGGGAACTCCTGTGTTTTCATAGCTAATCAAGCATGGACCCTGCCCTTATTCTCTTTTTAAAAATTTTCTTGGCTATTCTCACATATCTGTTCTCTTAAATATACTTTAGAATCATTTGCTCAAGTACCTCAAACCCAAACACCTCCAAAAGAATTCCTTTTGGATTGACATGGTATCAAAATATGTAAACTGACTTCAGTCCCAGATGTTGTCGAAACTTCATTCCCAAGATCTGAATAGAGCAGTCAGAGCGGATTGTGATTGAAAGACCACCTCCAAGGCCAGCCTGCCTCTAAATCCCACCTGTTTTGTTTTGGTGTCTTGAAATTCCAGCATTAGAGTGCAGAAAAATAGTTCTAGGACCTTAGAGGATGAAAATGTATGCAGTTTGTGTTGGAAGGACCAGCATAATAACTAATGTGCAACCATCACTGCACTTACAAATTAAGGTCACAGATCTAGACAAAGTATTGTGTGAATTAAGTGAGTCAGTGAGTGAGTGAGTATGGAGAGGGACTCTGTTAAGAACAGGGGAGCTAGAGGGGAAATGACTGGATCTGGAACTGAGAGCACCCGAGTAGCTGAGAATGCGGACTCTAAATCTTCTGGGGACAAGAGGAGAGGAGCAAAAGCCCCACAGCCACCTCTGTGGTTGTCACACTTCAATCTGGCAGCTAGAGAAAAGCCCGAACCAGGCCAGGTAAGGCTCCCCTCAAGGACTATGTAGATTGTGTGCTACAGGCAAAAAAGGGGAAAACCCTCCAAGAGGATCCAGCAGTGATCACAGCTATTGATTTGTACTCCCACGGCCCTTGCGGCCATGCATCTCTTAAAATCAAATGAAACAACCATCAACAATTGTGGTAAGAATTTTCCAGTAGGAGAAATAGAGAAAGGAAAAAAAATTCTGAGAAAACAAAACAAAACCCTTCTTGATGTTTTCCACAGACTGCTTTAGAAAGAGAAAGACTGATGCAATCCAATCAAGGACAGTGATCCTCGGTTGACCCAGGATATTTCACAGACCCAGAATGCAGAAGGCACAGACGCCCACAAGCAGGCCTCAGTTTTGACTTCTTAAATGCAACCATTTTTTGTAAATTAATATTGAATTTTCAACCAACTCCAGCACCTCATTAAGGAGGGGCCTGTTCTTTGCCAAACTCTTCCAAGGGAACCTGCTGGGTTTGAGTGTAGGTGTCAGCAAACATTTCCCAGTATGTTCTAATGGGGAAATATTTATTTTGTAACACTCCTTCCTAACCGAAAATACAATTATGTGACATGTTTTATATGACCAAGGGGATTTGGGCTAAGATTTTGTATCCATAATGTGCCCTAATATTGAGAAATATCATTTTTAAAGTATTCTCTTTGGCATTGACAGGGGGCTACATTCTGGAAAAATAGCACTTCATGGGAATTTCCCTTTAGCCCTGAGAAAAAATAGTTTGGGAACACATAACAGTATATTTGGTTTGGGATGTTAAATCCTGCAGGGTCTCTGAAAGAGGCAAATGGGTGTGAGAAAGAATTAGTTACTGCAAGTTTATTTCATAATGGCCTATAAAAAATATACGTGTTCCATTTCTAAAGCTGCTATGCCCTTACTATAGCTATAGCTATTTTTTAAAACAAGAAAGACTTTCCACAAGTCATTTTCTACTTTGGGTGGGATAACATTTAGAGCAAGGTATAAAGGACCTTTGCCAGAGTAATTACCATTTAAGGCAAAGGTCTCCAAGATTTTACTTGGAGCTGAAGATCTTGGCGCAGCCCTGGCTCTGTGGAACACCACACACATCCAGTGACCATGGGAAAGCTGGCTCCCTGCTGGGTAGTGCTGCAGCATTAGTACAAGTCTCATGCTCTGAAGGGTGAAATGTGATGATCTGCTAAGTGAAGGCTCTGTCAGGAGAAGCCAGAGGAGTGGTAACAGCTCACCAAACCAAAATCCATGAAGTCCCAGCCCTTTTTCATCGTCACCATTTTTGCATATAGAACATGTCCCTATGGGGACATCCAGGGAGTGGGTGCCAGGACTCAGTGTGCCCAGCCCAAGGCCAAAGAGAGTTTATTAGCAGAAGGATCACTTACATGATTTGGAACCACAGGAGAGAGAGATGTGTGGTGGCTGAAAGCAGAACTTGGGCTAATGTTTATAAGAGAGACCAGCCAAGAAGCCTATGCATTAATTAGTGTTCTGCTGGTTGTTCTGTTAGGAGGCATCATTCATCACTTAAAATAAGACCTTTTATTTATTTATTTATTATACTTTAAGTTCTAGAGTACATGTGCACAATGTGCAGGTTTGTTACATATGTATACATGTGCCATGTTGGTGTGCTGCACCCATTAACTCATCATTTACATTAGGTATATCTCCTAATGCTATCCCTCCCCCCACCCCCCACCCAAAGACAGGCCCCAGTGTGTGCTGTTCCCCATCCTGTGTCCAAGTGTTGTCATTGTTCACCTCTCACGTATGAGTGAGAACATGCGGTGTTTGGTTTTCTGTCCTTGCAATAGTTTGCTCAGAATGATGGTTTCCAGCTTCATCCATGTCCCTACAAAGGACATGAACTCATCCTTTTTTATGGCTGCATAGTATTCCATGGTGTATATGTGCCACATTTTCTTAATCCAGTATATCACTGATGGACATTTGGGTTGGTTCCAAGTCTTTGCTATTGTGAATAGTGCCTCAATAAACATATGTGTGCATGTGTCTTTATATCAGCATGATTTATATTCCTTTGGGTATATACCCAGTAATGGGATGGCTGGGTCAAATGGTATTTCTAGTTCTAGATCCTTGAGGAATCGCCACACTGCCTTCCACAATGGTTGAACTAGTTTACAGTCCCACCAACAGTGTAAAAGTGTTCCTATTTCTCCACATCCTCTCCAGCACCTGTTGTTTCCTGACTTTTTAATGATCGCCATTCTAACTGGTGTGAGATGGTATCTCATGGTGGTTTTGATTTGCATTTCTCTGATGGCCAGTGATGATGAGCATTTTTTCATGTCTGTTGGCTGCATAAATGTCTTCTTTTGAGAAGTGTCTGTTCATATCCTTTGCCCACTTTTTGATGGGGTTGTTTGATTTTTTCTTGTAAATTTGTTTAAGTTCTTTGTAGATTCTGGATATTAGCCCTTTGTCAGATGGGTAGATTGTAAAAATTTTCTCCCATTCTGTAGGTTGCCTGTTCACTCTGATGGTAGTTTCTTTTGCTGTGCAGAAGCTCTTTAGTTTCATTAGATCCCATTTGTCAATTTTGGCTTTGGTTGCCATTGCTTTTGGTGTTTTAGTCATGAAGTCCTTGCCCATGCCTATGTCCTGAATGGTATTGCCTAGGTTTTCTTCTATGGTTTTTATGGTTTTAGGTCTAACATTCAAGTCTTTAATCCATCTTGAATTAATTTTAGTATAAGGTGTAAGGAATGGATCCAGTTTCAGCTTTCTACATGTGGCTAGCCAGTTTTCCTAGCACCATTTATTAAATAGGGTATCCTTTCCCCATTTCTTGTTTTTCTCAGGTTTGTCAAAGATCAGATGGTTGTAGATGTGTGGTATTATTTCTGAGGGCTCTGTTCTGTTCCATTCATCTATATCTGTTTTGGTACCAGTAACGTGCTGTTTTGGTTACTGTAGCCTCGTAGTATAGTTTGAAGTCAGGTAGTGTGATGCCTCCAGCTTTGTTCTTTTGGCTTAGGATTGTCTTGGCAATGTGGGCTCTTTTTTGGTTCCATATGAACCTTAAAGTAGTTTTTTCCAATTCTGTGAAGAAAGTCACAGATGGCATTGATGGGGATGGCATTGAATCTATACATTACCTTGGGCAGTATGGCCATTTTCACAATATTGATTCTTCCTACCCATGAGCATGGAATGTTCTTCCATTTGTTTGTGTCCTCTTTTATTTCGTTGAGCAGTGGTTTGTAGTTCTCCTTGAAGAGGTCCTTCACATCCCTTGTAAGTTGGATTCCTAAGTATTTTATTCTCTTTGAAGCAATTGTGAATGGGAGTTCACTCATGATTTGGCTCTCTGTCTGTTTTTGGTGTATAAGAATGCTTGTGATTTTTGCACATTGATTTTGTATCCTGAGACTTTGCTGAAGTCGCTTATCAGTTTAAGGAGGTTTTGGGCTGAGATGATGAGGTTTTCTAAATATACAATCATGTCATGTGCAAACAGAGACTATTTGACTTCCTCTTTTCCTAATTGAATACCCTTTATTTCTTCTCTTGCCTGATTGCCCTGGCCAGAACTTCCAACACTATGTTGAATAAGAGTGGTGAGAGAGGGCATCCCTGTCTTTTGCCAGTTTTCAAAGGGAATGCTTCCAGTTTTTGCCCATTCAGTATGATATTGACTGTGGGTTTGTCATAAATAGCTCTTATTATTTTGAGATACATCCCATCAATACCTAGTTTATTGAGAGTTTTTAGCATGAAGGGGTGTTGAATTTTGTCGGAAGCCTTTTCTGCATCTATTGAGATAATCATGTGGTTTTTGTCTTTGGTTCTGTTTATTTGATGGATTATGATTATTGATTTGTATATGTTGAACCAGCCTTGCATCCCAGGGATGAAGCCCACTTGATCATGGTGGATAAGCTTTTTGATGTGCTGCTGGATTCAGTTTGCCAGTATTTTATTGAGGATGTTTACATTGATGTTCATCAGGGATATTGGTCTAAAATTCTCTTTTGTTGTTGTGTCTCTGCCAGGCTTTGTTATCAGGATGATGCTAGCCTCATAAAATGAGTTAGGGAGGATTCCCTCTTTTTCTATTGATTGGAATAGTTTCAGAAGGAATGGTACCAGCTCCTCCTTGTACCTCTGGTAGAATTTGGCTGTGAATGCATCTGGTCCTGGACTTTTTTTGGTTGGTAGGCTCTTAATTATTACCTCAATTTCAGAGCCTGTTATTGATCTATTCAGGGATCCAACTTCTTCCTGGTTTAGTGTTGGGAGGGTGTATGTGTCAAGGAATTTATCCATTTCTTCTAGATTTTCTAGTTTATTTTTGTAGAGGTGTTTATAGTATTCTCTGATGGTAGTTTGTATTTCTGTGGGATCGGTGGTGATATCCCCTTTATCATTTTTTATTGCATCTATTTGATTCTTCTCTCTTCTTTATTAGTCTTGCTAGTGGTCTATCAATTTTGTTGATCTTTTCAAAAAACCAGCTCCTGGATTCATTGATTTGTTGAAGGGTTTTTTGTGTCTCTATCTCCTTCAGTTCTGCTCTGATCTTAGTTATTTCTTGCCTTCGGCTAGCTTTTGAATGTGTTTACTCTTGCTTTTCTAGCTCTTTTAATTGTGATGTTAGGGTGTCAATTTTAGATCTTTCCTGCTTTCTCTTGTGGGCATTTAGTGCTATAAATTTCCCTCTACACACTGCTTTGAATGTGTCCCAGAGATTCTGTTATGTTGTGTCTTTGTTCTCATTGGTTTCAAAGAACATCTCTATTTCTGCCTCCATTTCATTATGTACCCAGTAGTCATTCAGGAGCAGGTTGTTCAGTTTCCATGTATTTGAGGGGTTTTGAGTGAGTTTCTTAATCCTGAGTTCTAGTTTGATTGCACTGTGGTCTGAGAGACAGTTTGTTATAATTTCTGTTCTTCTACATTTGCTGAAGAATACGTTACTTCCAACTATGTGGTCAATCCTGGAATAAGTGCACTGTGGTGCTGAGAAGAATGTATATTCTGTTGATTTGGGGTGGAGAGTTCTGTAGATGTCTATTAGGTCCACTTGGTGCAGAGCTGAGTTCAATTCCTGGATATCCTTGTTAACTTTCTGTCTCATGGATCTGTCTAATGTTGACAGTGGGATGTTAAAGTCTCCCATTATTATTGTGTGGGAGTCTAAGTCTCTTTGTAGGTCTCTAAGGACTTGCTTTATGCATCTGGGTGCTCCTGTATGGTGCATATATATTTAGGATAGTTAGCTCTTCTTGTTGAATTGATCCCTTTACCATTATGTAATGGCCTTCTTTGTCTCTTTTGGTCTTTGTTGGTTTAAAGTCTGTTTTATCAGAGACTAGGATTCCAACCCCAGCTTTTTTTTGGTTTTCCATTTGCTTGGTAGATCTTCCTCCATCCCTTTATTTTGAGCCTATGTGTGTCTCTGCACATGAGATGGGTCTCCTGAATATAGCACACTGATGAGTCTTAACTCTTTATCCGATTTGCCAGTCTGTGTATTTTAATCGGAGCATTTAGCCCACTTACATTTAAGGTTAATATTGTTATGTGTGAATTTGATCCTGTCGTTATGATGTTAGCTGGTTATTTTGCTCGTTAGTTGATGCAGTTTCTTCCTAGCATCGATGGTCTTTGCAATTTGGCATGTTTTTGCAATGGCTGGTACCGGTTGTTCCTTTCCATGTTTAGTGCTTACTTCAGGAGCTCTTATAAGGCAGGCCTGGTGGTGACAAAATCTCTCAGCATTTGCTTGTCTGTAAAGTATTTTATTTCTCCTTCACTTATGAAGCTTAGTTTGGCTGGATACTAAATTCTGGGTTGAAAATTCTTTTCTTTAAGAATGTTGAATATTGGCCCCCACTCTCTTCTGGCTTGTAGAGTTTCTGCTGAGAGATCAGCTGTTAGTCTGATGGGCTTCCCTTTGTGGGTAACCCGACCTTTCTCTCTGGCTGCCCTTAACATTTTTTCCTTCATTTCAACTTTGGTGAATCTGACAATTATGTGTCTTGGAGTTGCTATTCTCAAGGAGTATCTTTGTGGTATTCTCTGTGTTTCCTGAATTTGAATGTTGGCCTTCCTTGCTAGGTTGGGGGAGTTCTCCTGAATAATATCCTGCAGAGTGATTTCCAACTTGGTTCCATTCTCCCTGTCACTTTCAAGTACACCAATCAGATGTAGATTTGGTCTTTTCGCATACTCCCATATTTCTTGGAGGCTTTGTTCATTTCTTTTTACTCTTTTTTCTCTAAACTTCTCTTCTCACTTCATTTCATTCATTTGATCTTCCGTCACTGATACCCTTTCTTCCCCTTGATCGAATCAGCTACTGAAGCTTGTGCATGCATCACGTAGTTCTCGTGCCATGGTTTTCAGCACCATCAGGTCATTTAAGGTCTTCCTATGCTGTTTATTCTAGTTAGCCTTTCATCTAATCTTTTTTCAAGTTTTTAGCTTCTTTGCGATGGGTTCGAACATCCTCCTTTAGCTCGGAGTAGTTTGTTATTACCGATCATCTGAAGCCTTCTTCTCTCAACTCATCAAAGCCTTTCTCCATCCAGCTTTGTTCTGTTGCTGGCAAGGAGCTGCGTTCTTTTGGAGGAGAAGAGGCACTCTGATTTTTAGAATTTTCAGCTTTTCTGCTCTGGTTTCTCCCCACCTTTGTGGTTTTATCTACCTTTGGTCTTTGAGGATGGTGACATATAGATGGGCTTTTGGTGTGGATGTCCTTTCTGTTTGTTAGTTTTCCTTCTAACAGTCAGGACCCTCAGCTGCATGTCTGTTGGAGTTTGCTGGAGGTCCACTCCAGACCCTTTTTGCCTGGGTATCACCAGCGGAGGCTGCAGAACAGCAAATATTGCAGAATGGCAAATGTTGCTGCCTAATCGTTGCTCTGGAAGCTTCGTCTCAGAGGGGCACCTGGCTGTATGTGGTGTCAGTCAGCCCCTAGTGGGAGGTGCCTCCCAGTTAGGCTACTTGGGGATCAGGGACCCAATTGAGGAGGCAGTCTATCCGTTCTCAGATCTCAAACTCCATGCTGAGAGAACCACTACTCTCTTCAAAGCTGTCAGATAGTGAGGTTTAAGTCTGCAGAAGTTTCTGCTGCCTTTTCTTCAGCTATGCCCTGTCCCCAGAGGTGGAGTCTACAGAGGCAGGCAGGCCTCCTTGAGCTGCAGTGGGGTCCATCCAGTTCGAGCTTCCTGACTGCTTTGTTTACCTACTCAGGCCTCAGCAATGGTGGACGCCCCTCCCCCAGCCTCACTGTCACCTTGCAGTTCAATCTCAGACTGCTGTGCTAGCAATGAGCGAGGCTCCATGGGCATGGAACCCTCCGAGCCAGGCACAGGATATAATCTCCTGGTGTGCTGTTTGCTAAGACAATTGGAAAAGCGCAGTACTAGGGTGGGAGTGTCCCGATTTTCCAGGTACCATCTGTCACGGCTTCCCTTGGCTAGGAAAGGGAATATCCCGACCCCTTGCACTTCCCGGGTGAGGCGATGCTCCGCCCTGCTTTGGCTCACGCTCCGTGGGCTGCACCCACTGTCTGAAAAGCCCCAGTGAGATGAACCCGGTACCTCAGTTGGAAATGCAGAAGTCACCCATCTTCTGCGTTGCTCACGTTGGGAGCTGTAGACTGGAACTGTTCCTATTAGGCCATCTTGGAACTCCCGCCCTTTTTTTTTTTTTTTTTTTTTTGAGATAGAGTCCTACTCTGTCACCCAGCCTGGAGTGCAGTGGAGCGATGTCGGTTCACTGCAACCTCTGTCTCCTGGGTTCAAGCAATTCTCCTGCCTCCACCTCCCAAGTAGCTGGGACTACAGGCACCTGCCACCTTGCCTGGCCAATTTTTATATTTTTAGTGGAGATGGGGGTTTCACCATGTTGGCCAGGCTAGTCTCAAACTCCTGACCTCAGGTGATCCTCCCGCCTTGGCCTCCCAAAGTGCTGGGATTACAGGCGTGAGCTACCATGCCTGGCCAAAATAAGACCATTTATTGGAAGCCAATTGTTTTTATAAAATAATGACCCTATGAAACTGGTCAGAGGGAAATAATTTATACATACTAATGAAAATCAAACTCCTCATACTAATGTAAATCAAACTATACAGACACAATAGGAAATATAGAAATGTAAGTTTAAACAAATATTTATCTATTGACTCATAGTCCATCAACATAGTCTTTTGTTTCAGGCATGATTGGTAGAGGCATAGCTGTCTGCCACAATGTCAGCATCATCAGTTTAGGAAGCTATCACCCTCCCCCAACATCCTATTTTTCTCTTATAATTTCTTATGATTCCTTCATCCACCCATTCCTAAACCAATCATCAACTCCCAGTTATCACTGTGTATGGAGTAGTACTTCTTTTTAACCTCCTACCCAATATGTAAAAAGTAATATTTCATTTTACTTATCTAAATTTACCTGACATCCAAGGTAGAAAGGACAAGTAATTTCATTATTTTGGAATTTGAAACCAACTCTCCATGTTTATCTTCTTTGTGTCTTTCACAATTTTATAACTTTATAGCTTTTTTCCCTTTAACTTTTTTTATCTTTCCCGGAAAAAAAAAAAAAGACATTTTTTTGCCTGTATAGAAGCCATTCCATTTTCTTGACCATATGTTGCATTTCTCTGGATGTCCTCCAGCTCCAATTTGCCTTCCCAGCAAAGATGTGTTTTTTAAAAAGCAGTTGAATTACCACATGCTTTATTATTTTTCCTACATCATCAAGCACCAGTTTGTTGTGCTAACAGCTGTTAGTAAAGCCAAAAGTTAGTTAAGTAAGTAAATATTTTAGTTTCAGAATAGAAATGTTGACAGAGACATAAATTACTAATTTGCCAATCCTTCTGGGACACACACACACACATATAGCTAATTTTGTACACACCCACCCACTTTCAGAATTACCCATAGCAGCCAATGATTAATAAATTGGTAAATTATGAGTGTATTGACACACATATGTATACAAACACCCAATAAGACAAGAAAGTGTGCAAGTAAATTACAGGTGTGATATGGTATGGCTCTGTGTCCCCACCCAAATATCATCTCGAATTGTAATCCCCACGTATCGGGGGAGGGATCTGGTGGGAGGTGATTGGATCATGGGGGTGGTTCCTCCATGCTGTTCTTATGATAGTGAGTGAGTTCCCATGAGATGTGATGGTTTAAAGTGTTTGACAGTTCCTCTCTCTCTCTTGTCTCTCTCTCTCTCTCACCTGCTGCCATGTAAGATGTGCCTGCTTCCCCTTATGCCATGATTGTAAGTTTCCTGAGGCCTCCCAAAGCCATGCAGAATTGTGTCAATTAAACCTCTTTTCTTTGTAAATTTCCCAGTCTTGGGTATTTCTTTATAGCAGTGTGAAAACGGACTAATAAAAGGTGCCCACAATACTAGCTCTTTAAGCTAGAGAAAGCTCCCAAATGTCACCTGAACAGACCCATTTTCCTAAATTTGGCAACATGTGAAATATCCAAATCAAACTCTTGTCTTTCTTGTAAACTCAAAATTATTTATTAGGTATTGACTGAGGCCAACACTGTGTCAGGCATCAGAGGTAGAAAGATTCCAGCTATAAATTTAGGGAGACACTTGGGTTGCTGAGACACTGGGTTATGGAGAGAATTAACAGGGTAATAACTGTGATCTGCTTAGAAGAGGGCCAGGCACATAGTGTTATTGTTATTTCAAAGGGTCTGCTTTTTAACTTTTGTGTTTTGTAATCAGAAGAAAATAGAGTATTTAGAAATACCTAATGAGAAGGACAACACTAGAGGTATGGATAAAGTACTGTGGGTGCATCAAGGAAGGAACCACTGGGCCTGCCTGTGGGAGCCGGGAACTGTGTCAGAATGAAGATTAATTTGAGCCTCGAAAGATAGAGAAGGTAGAGGAACAGCAAATACTATCTAGACCCATTCTTGCTTCATTTTGAGGCAATTTCCTCTTGTTCAGGATTTTGGAGAGAGAGAAAACCCTGATAAGAGATGCCCTGATAATAACCCATCTTTTTTGAGGGATGGTAAATCACCCATAATAAAACTTTCAAACCATAACCTGTCCAGTTCCCTTTCTCTTTCCTTGGGGGATTTATTTTCATGTTTTTTTTCCCCTTTGTTTGGGGAAGAGGAAGACAGGAGGAGCCTTAGCAAAATGATCAAAATAATCACAGTGTGTCTTTGCCCAGTGCCCCTCGCCCCCACTCCCACCTCCAGGGGATTTCAGTGGGTGGGTTCTCCCTGTGCTCACTGAACCTGGGCTCCCATTTTTCAGTGAAAAAGGAACCTGTGAGCTCATTCTCACTGGGCTGTCCCAGGCTTACCATGCAGGGTCTGCATCCTAAAATGCAAGCTTTCTGGGAATGATGTCTTAATGCAGAGGTTCCTAGACCAGTAGAATTCCCCCCAGTTTTGGTAACCTCTGACAAAGTGATACCTTTTTATTTTGCTAAGTGAGAACATTAAAAAGAAAATGCATTCCCACCTAATATTACCCATGCTTTCTAAAAGAAAGCATATTTTAACAATAATAAAATAGTGGGAAAGGATTTCAAATACAGTTTTTAAAATGGAATATAATTGGTTTATGAAAAATCTACTACCTTTATTCAGCTGCTGACCTGTGATGGTCTGCATTAACTCAAAGGGATGCATACCTAATGGTCGCAAGTCAGACACCAGCAGGGACGGAGTGGGAACAAATTGAGGAAGAAGAAACAAATAGTCTTGGTTTTCTGTGTGTCCTTGGCATGGACGGGGTGCTGCCTCCAAGATCTCTGCATGCTCTGTAGCTCAGCTTTGTCAGCCTCCAGCATGTAACCGTTGTCAGAACTGGGCCTTGGTCTCCAGGATGGACAGCCCAAACCATCCGAGTCAGGAATTGACCTGTATGAATCTTTTGTCTCCTTAATTTGCTATCCTCATGGTTTCAAAACATGAAGTCAAAACACATGCTTGACCACAGCCCAAGCCTTAAAGAGCACATTAGTCCTGGTGCCTATTTAGGTTTAGAAACTTAATGCATCAGGTGAGGCTAATGTGCTTCAAATATTAGACTCTCAAGCAAGTGCTTTTCTCAAGGAAACTGTCCCCTTTGAGGTACCTGGCATTTCAAGCCAACTTGGGACACATCAAGTGTCAATAAAGTTTGATACATCATAGCAGCCATCCCAGCCTTCTATCAAAAGTGTCATAGTGCTACTAGCATTAGGAAATGAAATATGCAAAACCTGCATTTCTATTTTTGGTCATGCTCTGCAGCGTGCTTCCTAGAATAAATTGCCACTGCACAGCAGGATTCAAGGAAACAGTGCTGACAGCCTCACTCTCCTTGCATTGTGATGCACAGAGATCAGCAGGCTGCCGATTTGTGTCCTGAATGAAAAATGGATTCCAGGTAGAAGAACTGTGGCTCCTGACCATTTCCTGGATCTCGCTCAAGAGAATGTACACAAGTATTTATTTATAGCTGCTCAACTCCTTTTCAGACACACTCTAAATTTATTATTCCTGAAATCGAATGAGTTGTAATCACTGATTATGGAAACATTGAGCAATTTCAAGGCAGGCTGGGGAGGAAACTTTTGTCATCAGACTCTCCTGCATTACATCCTGCCTGGCAGTGACTTAACAATTTCATTGTCTGTATTTTCACACTTGTGAAATGGGGAAATACCACTTGTATTGCAGAATTATTATGAAGATTGGAAAGAATAACCAAACAGTGCAGGACACAGAGTAGGCCCTCAAGAAATAGTTTTGGTTTTCATTGTTAAGACTTGTTTAGGGAAGGGAAGTGAGCTCCTTTAGCAGTTCAAGGTTTCCCTCCCACTCTGGGACAGGGTGGTAGAGGTATGAGAGTAGAGACTGCTGAGAGAATATGGTCTCTTTCATTGTGCTCTGTTTTCTCCTTTTGGCCTCATGGGGAGGCATGGACGGGTGTCATCAAAGGGTGACTTGAGGAAGTAGGAGAGCAAATGGCTTCTCCCTGGTTCTCAGAAGTCTAGGTCCCTCACCTGGCTCTTATCCACAATGCCTGTGCTGTTGGTAATAGTTCACGTGCACATGTCTCCTCCAGTTAGGTTGAAAAAAATCCTGCTGGCTCGCACTCCAACATGGGCTGCTTTGTATGTCTCCCTGGCAAGGCACACAGCAAATATTGGTTGTTGCCTTTGGAGGCCAGGTTAGCACAAAGCAAATAGGGCTTGGGTGGGCTCAGGGACAACTAAAGGGGTTGGATGACTAACTCCCTTTTCTGTGACCATCCCTGCCTCTTGTTTACTCCACTGAAAAAGGGCGTAGGGAGGTCAGTTGCCGCTGCTGATCTGCACAAAGGTCAAAGGCAGAGCCACCGAAAGTAGTCTGCTCCTGTTTTTGAAGCTTTCTTCTGTGGGTAATATTGCACTTTGTAAACACTTGGTACTCAATAAATTCCAGCACACATATGGAAGCAATGGTGCCAACTAGCTGGATTGAAAGTACTCGATACCCAGTGTCCAGAGCATTGGCTAATGGAGAGGAAGAGGTTCCCTCCACTTCTGACTATGGGTGTGCGGCACAAGCCCCTGGCGGGCCTCACACACCCTACTTAGCACCTGTCAATCTCCTGTCCTCTGTGAAAGAGCCTGCATTTCTCCCTGTTGGGCCCGCCACTTCTCCAGGATTTTTTCAGTGCTGTCTGTCCAAGTCTTTCTTCTGCTGGAAGTGTGGGAATGGGAAGTCAGCTCTAGCCATGGCTACAAATAATTCACCTTTCCAGCAGCCTGCGGGTTTTCTTCTTACCGGTACAACAGTGAGTCTCATTCTCAGAATCTCTGAGGCCTGGCCAGTGAGGCCCCTATTCTTCTTCCCCTGGCAGAGGCCAGCTCTGATGGTGTCCCCACCCAAAGGGCAGACACCCATGTGATTTCAGTGGTTCGGAGGAATAGGAACGGAATGGAAGGGTGAGGTCTTTTCTGCTGAAGCTCAAAGCACTGTGGATACAGGCCCATATGCGTAGCCTGAATCAGGGGCACTGAGTTCACTCTGCTCAGTTTGCTTATATGTTAGTTTATGGCAGCTGTGGTTGCAAATAGGATCAAATTGTGCAGTTTTTAATTCCGTGTAATGCTGCTGTGAAGATGGACTTAACTGCTTTTCAGTACAGTCATTATGACTCTCTTAACTTCCCTTACTCATGAAACCTAGCATGAGTCATGGCTGGAGAATCTCACTCCACCCCACGGCCCCCACTGTCCCGAGAAGCAGAAAGGCTGGGTTCCTGGGGTTTTTCTTCCTGGCAGTAAACCCCCTCCTCCCTGCAGGACTGTTATAACTGATCCACAGTTAGAACATCAGGGAGCCCATAACCACGCAGGGCGGGGGTTTCTCCTTACCAGCTTGCTCCCCATGCAGCAGGGAAGCGGGTGTCTGCTGCAAATCTCCCCGTGTGGGGGGATGGGAAGAACAATGAGGCTGAACAGACACAAAGGGAGCTGTCCTGTGCCCAGACAGCCCCAGTGACATCTTCAGGCCCAGCCAGGATCCTCCCTTCCCAAAATGGAGCCTGTTTGCTCCCAGTATTAGTAGGGCTCTTTCGATTGCAAAGGACAAAAACTCCTCACTTAGGCTGCTATATTCGTTTGCTAGGGCTGTCTTAACAAAGTCCCACAGACTGGATGGCTCAAATATGGATTGTCTCACAGTTCTGGAGACTGGAAGGCCAAGATCAAGTTGTCTGCAGGGTTGATTCCTTCTGAGGCCTCTCTCCTCAGCTTGCAGAAGACTGTCTTCTCTGCAAATGCATGTGGTCCTCCATCTGCATATGTCTATGTCTTCCTCTTTTAAAAGGACACACTCCTGTTGGATTAGGCTCCACCCTCGTGACCTCATTTAACCGTAATTGCCTCTTTAAAGACCCTATCTCCACTTAAGGTCACATTCTGAGGGACTGGGGGTTAGGACTTCAACATGCCAGTTTTCTGGTGGGAGGACAAAATTACTTGGCTTCCCAGAGCAAAAGCCTGTTTAAGGATGTTGATGGCCTGGAGCTGAGCAAGGCCAATGTGGGGCAGCCCCAGACAGCTTTCCACTTCTGTCTCCACAGCCTTTCCATTCCCTCTGGTTGAAGTCAGGTGTTTCTGTTATATGCACTCCTAACACCCCTCTGTTTTCCACATGGATTTACCACCTCTGTATTTAAATAATGTGTTGTGAAGTCATTTGGTTAATGTCCATCTTCCTGGTTAGATGGAAGCATCAGGGCCGCTAGACGAGTCACCGTCTTCTTTGCAGCAACCCTAGTACTTGGCCCAGGCTGGGCACATAAAAGATGCTCAATTCATAGTTGCTGAATTGAAAGTCCTTTGCTCTTGGTGCTTCTGCTCCTCTGCCTCCTTACTGGCCAGTCAACCCCACAGTAGCCTTGATCCACTTGGCCAGCATTTCAGACAGTCACATTCCATTATTTCACTTCATATAATTTATACTACAGGGGAGATGATATTTCTTTTACACCCATCACTAGGTTCATGGCCAAAGCCCCTATAACAAACGACAGATTAACAAGAGAAAAGCAGACAAATGTATTCAATGTAAATTTTATGTGACACAGGAGCTTTCAGAAATAAAGAGCCAAAGAAACAGGGAAACCTGTGTATTTTTATGCTTAGGTTTGATGAAGTGTGGATATCCGGTCATGAAGAAGTATGACTGGAGGACAAAAAGTTTTGATCTAATGGGAATCAACAGGGAAGGGGGACTTGGCAAGGCCCATTTGCTCATATTCTCTGTGTCCCAGTGTCTTCAGAGATAAGGACATTCATTTCCTCTGGATATAGGGAAGGCATCTTTCAAACGGTGGTCTTATGACCTTCTTCAAGGGAGAGAGATGGGAGAAAGTCTGACGGTGACTTTCCTGCTTCTGCTGTTTCCTCAAATACCAAGGTGCCGTACTTTCGTGTAGTGTGTCCTGACCCCCATCAGTACTGTAGTGTACTTAATATTCTCCTTTACAAATAATTCATGCTTTTACTTAAATAACAGATTTCAGAAGGAAATATTGTATCATAGGTTTGACATCCTGCTTATATTTAAAAATTAAAAGTTGTTAAAACAATCACATAGCTATTAAAATACATGTTTGTGTAACTGTTAAAGTTATCTCCTCAGCTGCTTGTGGGCTGCCTGTCCTCAACAGGTCCTGGAGGGAGTTAGTCTACCTGGCTTAGCTAATGATCTCTCAGGTGGCATTGAATAGAATGCTCTTAGCTGCAAGTAATGGGAATCCCACTGATGCGGACTTAAAGAATTAGAACTTTGGGAGGCTGAGGCAGGTGGATCAGCCTGGGCAACATGGTGAAACCCCATCTCTACCAAAAAATATATATATATATATATGTTATATATTATATTTTATACTTAGTGTATTATATCTAATTATATGTAATATATAATTATATTAATATAAATAATTTAATATTTAGCCTATTATATATACAATTAGAACACTGATTGTCTCACAGAACTGAAATATTGGAATAATGTGGTTTGAGGGCTGGTTGTTTTAGAGGCTATATTATCTCATCAAAGACTGACATTCTTTCTCCGTCTCAGTCCTGCGAGCATCAGGTTTGGCTTCATCTTCTGGGTAGTAGCAAGATGGCAGTAGCAGCAGTCATAGGCATCATATTGAGACACATTGTTCAGAGGAAGAAGACGGATTGTCATTCTGCTTTCAAAAAGCACCCAGCAGACTTCCCTATACATTTTTTTAAGTATTTATTTATTTATAGAGACAAGGTCTTGCTCCATCACCCAGGCCAGAGTGCAGTAGTGCGATCATAGCACACTGCAGCCTTGAACTCTAGGACACAAGCAATCCTCCCCCCTCAGTCTCCTCAGTAGATAGTCCTATAGGTATGCACCACCACACCTGGCTTATTTTTTTATTTTTTATAGAGATGGGATCTTGCTCTGTTGTCCAGACTGGTCTTGAACTCCTGGCCTCAAGCAATTCTCCCACTTGGCCTCCCAAAATGTTGGGAATACAGGCATGAGCCACTGCACCTGGACTCCCTGTAAATTTCTTTGGCCAGAATTGGGTCACACACTCACTCCTGAATTGGAAAGGGAAATGAAGTGACTATGCAGGTCCTCTGGGGTGAAAACCATGCTGGAGTGGAGGCTGCGATGCCCACCACACACATCAGTGGCCAGCCTATGGATAGATTGCAATTAAGGTGCCCTCTGCTGGTGCATACAGGGGTTATCCCCAGCCCCAAACCCGCTGAGGCCAAAGGCCAACTTTGACCTGGCATGGCAGGTGCCAGGACTGACACATCTGTGCTCTCCTCAGGCAACAATTTCTGTGGCCCTCAAGCTATGCCTGGCCTCAGACTGAAGCATCAGCTTCCAAAATGATGCATTGTTCTCCCTGACTCCCGCACGCTCTGGCTTACAGAGGACCTGAGCAAGCAGAGCCGGCACCCCACCCCGGTGTTGGCCCCTGAATCGGGGAAGGGAGACTCTGCCTGAGTCTGCTTTTGATGGGGCTTCGCCAGCCCCGCAGGGCTCATTTTCTCTGTCTCCTGCTAAATTCCCTGGCTGCTCCTCCACTGTCAGGTTGCCAAGCCCCGAGTGTCTCCTGGCTCGTCTGCAGCAGGAAATGGGCCTGACAATTGCTCTTCCAGAGCCAGTGATTTTTCAATATGTAGTTGCATGGATCCCACCCACGCTTCATCTCCAAAACCCCCACTTGTGTTCAGCTCTGATTTACTAAGCACGTACTACAAGCCTGGCTCTGTACTCAGCACTGCAGGTCGGGGAAGCAGGCAGGGCACAGAGGAGGCATCTGATGTGTTCTCTGCTCTCGGCCTCATACTCCAGCCATAGTTGATGGCCACACACTTGGAAGTGAGCTTCCTAGCCAAGGTGGCCCTGGCGGACTACGGGGCACACAAGTGGTCCAGATTAAAAAACAATACTGTGTGGGTTCAGAGAAGGGCAAGGTTGACACAGGCAGTACGTGTGCTGATTATTCTGTCTGCCCCCTACTCACCCCTGTGTCCACTTTTCCCTGCCATGTGTCCTGGATGCAATGGCTGCAGGCTGCAGCAACAGGCCCTTTGCCCCAGCTTCCAGTGGCCTTGCTGGTGGAGCAGTGGGCAGGAGGTCACAGAGCAGAGGAAAAGTGAGGCCGGGGTTTATTTTCCCTGCTTCCTCCCTGTTTTGCTGTGATTCTGGCACTGGCAGGTTCCTCCAGAGCTACAGCTCTGGCAGGACTAGGGGAGCTTGATGGCTTCCTGCTGTTGCTGGTCCCCATTTCCCTACTGGGTTCCCTGAGCCTCCCCACTCTGGAAGCAGCCCCTTTTTTCTTCAGAGTTGTCTTGAGGTTGTTTGCATGATGACTGGCAGACAATGTTTAGGAAGTACTTCCTGCAGGAGCAGCACCCGCATCTGGGCTCCTGAGATGAGCTGAAGCTGGATAAGCAGAGAAGAGGAAAAAGGGCTTTGTAGGGGCAGCACAGCCCCAGCAATGTTCACGAAGAGATGAAGTGAGCACTGGGAGACACTGCCTAGGCAGGGAGGGAAGGTGGAAAACAAGGCGGAGGCTCCCCGTGGAAGCCCTTGACTGCCAGTCCAGGGAACTTGGCCTTTGTCCCATAGGCTACATGGAGCTGCTGGAAGAGTTGCTTGGTGCTAATAAAGCGAAAGTTTTGACTTTGTTATTAATGGCTTTGTTTTGGTTTTTATTTCTACTTTTTCCTTGTTATTGATTTTATTATCATCATTAATAACTACTATGTATTTAATCCTTACTGTTATGGGTTGAATTGGGCCCCCTTTCATTCGTATGTTGAAGTCCTAACCCCCAGTCCCTCAGAGTGTGACCTTAACTGGAGACAGGGTCTTTGAAGAGTTAAAATGAGAATGGGCCCTAATCCAATATGACTGGCGTCCTCACAAGAGGGAGAAATTTGGACATGGAGACACACATAGAGAGAAGATGATGCAAAGGGAGAGGAAGACGGCCACATCCACAAGCAAAGGAGAGAGGCCAGGAAGAGATCCTGCCCTCACAGCCCTCGGAAGGAAACAACCCCCCAGCAGCTTGATTTTGGACTCCTAGCCTCCAGAACCATGAGACAGTAAGTTTCTGCTGTTTAAGTCTGTGGCTTCTTATGGTATTCCGAGGAAACTGACACATTCATCGTGGAACCGTCCTGTGCTGAGCAGTACATCATCAGACGTGTTCTCACTGCAGCTGCAACTTGTGGGCAAAACCTCTGGCCTATCTGTGTCCCAGCACACTCTCATTCTGGCCATGGCACCTAGCACTCCGACACTTTCCCTTGGTTATTAACATATTTGTTTACTGAGCGCCTATCATGTGCCAAGCACCATTCTGTGTTCTGGGGAAACAGACAAAAACTCTTGCCATCTTGGAGCTGATTTTTGATGATTCTGTATTTATTTCCTGCCTGCCTCCACCAGAGGAAGAACCACTCGTGAGGGGGGCTGTGTCTGTTGCACTTACCACGGTGGAACACCTGTGGAAAGCATGCTAAGGAAACTAAGAGTAAAACCTTGACTCCCCTTGCCCATTTTGGATTCAGTCACGTCTGAAGACCTTACTCACTTAAAAGACCCCTGGGCCTGTTGATGAGGGCAGCTGCGTTCCCAAGTAATAGTTGGTCCAAGGCCCTCTGGCCATGGTGTGAGGAACAGGGCTTGGTGGCCTCGGGGGAAGAAGGCAGCTGGTGTGTGGTGTGGTGGACTGCTGTCACTACCCTCCTTGCTCAATTTGCAGCCCTGAAATTTGAGCTTTCAACTGCACTGTCTGCTGGAGGCAGGAAGGAAAGGAAAGATGTTACCAGCTTTCTGGAGGCCCAAGTTGTGGGACATAGAAAGCAGGTTCTAGAGGCTGAGAGAATCCTTCCACCCCATTTTCTGAGAATTCTCACAGACATTATTTCCCCATGCTATCCTCTCTTGTTCCTCCCAAAGTCCTAAGACCCTTCCTGCCAGCCCCCTTCTCTGCCTCATCTACTCTCTGTGTGGCCTGACAGTGCAGCTCCATTTTCAGGTCTCATGCCTTCTTTTGAGCCCTGTGATCCTAAGCCTGGTCACCTTGACAGTGTAATTATACCTGAGTTACTCTGAACCCTGCCAGATGTGGGATTTCTCAGCCCACAACAACCAGGGGTGAAGAGAGCTGATGCTCACATAAGTTAGCGGGGACACCAGCTTCAGGGTGATGTGCTCTCTTCCCACACCCACATGCCAGACCCTGAAATTTGGACAGCCAGCCCTGCTGACCAGGGATCAAACACAAGCCCTCAGCAAGCTCGATGCTAGCTGTGGGTATCTTTCTCTGCCATGAAAAACCATGTCCCAGTAAAACCATGGTCCCATGTAAAAGTCATGTCCCTTCTGGCCAAGTATGAAAGTCTGTGAATGATTCATACACTAAGATTTTTTTAACTAGAGTGGATTCTAAGATACCCCATAATAATGCCTGTCACACTCACTTTTATTCCGATTTGCTTTCCTGGGTGGGAAAGAAAAAGAGTAGGAGGCAGCTGTAGGTGGGGAATTGTGCACAAGAGTGGGCTAGTCCACAGAAGTATGCCACTCTTATGACCATCGTCATCTTGTGTGTTGTGGCAGAAAACATTGAGAACCAAACCTCTTTCAGGTTGTTAAGAGATGGACTTCTGGAAGATCCGTTAACATAGTGCTTTGGAAACCAGCTTGGAAAATGTGACACGTTGTCACTTTGATCTGCTAAGCAGCTTACAAACATCCTCCCGCTCCTTCCCTCCACTCTCTCCAACTTCGCTTCAGCCCCACCATCTGAATTTTCCAAGTGAGATCACAGACCCAGAGTGGGTTGGCTTCAGACTCTAGGAGAGTGTCAAGGGCAGATGTGAGATTTGGGGACAGAAACCATCAGTCCTCCAAAAAGTCTCCCATGTCCCTTGATCTTTAGCAATATCAAAACCCAGCCCATCATATGGCAACTAACTCCTCAATTACTCAGAGCTCCAACATTGTCTGTGGGAGCAATTATAGAAAGTGTGGTGCGGGAAAGACTCAGAAGCCTCCTGGCTGGTGGGGACGTGGTCTTTCCCTGGGCTGAACTCCTGCCCCTCTAAGAATGTAGATGAACTCAGGCCACTTTGCCAGAATAAAAATAGGCCCCAGGGGCCAGGGGCCAGGGACCAGAGCTGCTTCCCTGGCGGTTTCGAATGTGCACTGTGAAATGAAAAGCCCAACTCAGGCTCAGTCTCTTTTCTAGGAAGTATCAGCAACCCCTTCTAATTCTCTGTACTGCAACTTTTGTTGCCATGTCTGAGAGTAAAATCTTAGGTTGCCCAACCTTCCCCCAGTGAAGCAGGAAGTCTTTGGGGGACACATCAGGATTTATTTGCTAAGGCCCCCAAATGTGTGAGCTTAGGCCCCCATCCCTGTGCCTGGTAGCCGTGGAGTTAACGGTCCCATTTTTATTTGTGTCTCTGCTGCCTGTCATGCAAGAGGCATGATGAATGCCCTGGACCTCCCGTGGTGGGCGGAGGCGGTGGGAAGCGGGGGTGAAGGATGAACTGAAGCGGGAAAGAAACGCAGGGCAGGTTCGTAAATAAACAAGGGTTGAGTCGGAAGACCCGGGGCCTCGCTCCTGCCGCGGCTTTCCGGGCTTCGACGAGGGGAGCTCCTGAGGCTCCCTCTGGAGCAGGCTGGGGGAGGCAGTCATTGTTTTTGGATTTCACTAAGATGAACGCCAGATGATTTTCCAAGGGCTGATTTCACAGCACATTTGCCCCATCTGAGCAATCACTCTCCGCAACAGTTGGATTTCCATTTGGCGTTTACCTCGTGTGCCCGGAATCAGGACTGTCTGCCTCCTTGGGGTCGAATCGTTTTATTTTCTTTGGGGCTTGGCCAAACCCTTTCCGTTGGCCTTGGTTCCATCTAGCCATTTCTGTTTGTGTGCAGACAAGACCAGACCAGGTTCACAGAGGTTTCCAGAGTGCAGTGACAGTGCCCAATCCTGGAAGAATATAAAACCTGGGGAGAGAATCCACCAAACTGTTTTAATTTCAGAGACAGGTACTTAGCTACAATGGAGGATGAAAGCCAGACCCATAGTCAACTGGGTAAGTGCTATCTTCTCTGCCAGGGCACTTCCCGAGTGGCGAGGCCGGGCCTCCGGTGGGTGTATAAAGGCCCCTGTGAGGAGGAACAGGTTGACAGGTAGTCTTGCACACAGCAAAGGGAAGCCTAGAGAGTTGCAAGGGGGCAAGGTTGCAGTGCAGTGGGGATGGGGGCCTTGGTGCAGCCCCATTGAGCTGCTGCTTTGGTGACAGAGTGCCTAAGACAAAGAATCGGCAGACTTTGCAATCAGAAGCTCTGTGTCATTGTCCAGTGAGTTGCACCAGAGTCTCATGGTGTTTATTTCTATTTTCTATGTCACAAATTTTTCAATATTTACTTTTGTAGTACAAATGAAACCACCCAAGCAGCCTGAACGACATAGTGAGACCCCGTCTCTACAGAAATACAAAAAATTAGCCAGGCATGGTGGTGTACACCTGTAGTCCCAGATACTCTGGAGGCTGAGGTGGGAGGATCGCTTGAGCTCAGGAGGTCGAGGCTGCAGTGAGCTGTGTTTGCACCAGTGCACTCAACTGCACTGCGCTCCTCACTGTTTGAGACAGAGCTTGACCCTGTCTCAAAAAAAAGAAAAAAAATGAAATGAAAACCAGCCCAGATGTTACTCTGCACACCATTGTGTTACTCATGGAAAGATCTGTGCCCGGCCTTTGTGCACAGGTGACTTTAACCTCAGTGTCTAAAGTGTTTGTTAAAGTGAACAGCAGCATGTTCCCTGTGAGATGTACTGATCATGCTGTGCCCCATGTTGCCTGTCCTGGAGCGTCTCCTCAGCCAGGATGTGTGTTCTCCACGGGGCTGTCCCCACTCCCTGAGCAGGGCCCTGGGAGTCCTCCTGCTCCACACAGCGGGGCCCCCAGCTCAGCCCCTGGGCTGCCCCTTTCTCTGCCCTCATCCAGCCTCATTCACACAGCTGAAGGACTACTTGCTTCTGTTCCTTCGTGCCCTCCTCAGTGCTCAGCATGGGGACAGAGTCTCAGAAGGTGCCTGTCATTCACTGCCTGGTTGAACACACTCCTTTATGGCAGCTTTCCCCTTCCCATTCCTCCAGCCCCTCTGCAGCTGGCTCTGTTGCCCTTTCTTTCACTTCTCCAGGGCTATTCAAGACCTGAGGTCGATGCCCCAGCCCAGGGCATCCACCCTTGCAGATGTATGAGCCCAGGCTCTGGAATCACCTGGACTCCAGGCCTGCCTCTGCCATTTATCACCTCGGTACCCTTAAAAATGTTTCTTAACCTCTCTGCACCTCAATGTTGTCATCTGTAAAACTGAAGATGGAGGCCAGGCAAGGTGGCTCATACCTGTAATCCTAGCACTTTGGGAAGCCAAGGCAGGCAGATCACCTGAGGTCAGGAGTTTGAGACCAGCCTGGCTAACATGGCGAAATCCCGTCGCTACTAAAAATACAAAAATTAGCCAGGCATGGTGGCAGGTGCCTGTAATCCCAGTTACTTGGGAGGCTGAGGCAGGAGAATTGCTTGAACCTAGGAGGCAGAGGTTTCAGTGAGCTGAGATCGCGCCATTGCACTCCAGCCTAGGCAACAAGAGTGAAACTCCATCTTAAAAAAAAAAAAAGTGAAGACAGTTAGTGCTTCTTTGAGTTTTAAGTTGTATATGAAAGAATCTAGTGTTCTTAAAGGGCCTTGAAATTTTAGAGAAGTGTGGAAGAAGGAGTCCCTCACCACTGGGCTTTGTTTATTTTACAGTCAGCAAGCCTTAGGGACCCCTCACTGAAACTGTTTCCTTAAAGGCCTAGGATTTCACTGAAACCAAGAGGAACTTGCATCCAAACTGGATTCTAGAAGAAAAGGAGAAGTAAGGAAGCTGAAGAGTGCCAGTCCCTTGGGGATTGAAGCACTTGAGCAGTTCCATTTGCTGCAATTCTCTGTGTCTCTGGACCGTGGGGATCGATTTTAATCCCTCAGTGAGTAAGCCAGCTGCTCCTTCCCTGACTGTGCTCTTCATTGTGCGGGAGGTCTCCCTGCTGTGAGGCGGCCTTCTGAGCCTGCACCTGCTGCCTCGGTGTGTCTTGGCTTTCTTCCTCTACTCAGGCCTTGTCGTGAACATGGCTTGGTCTTCCCCTAAACTCCACTTCTCTGTTTGCCAGCACTTTTCTTCTGACTCAGTGCTCAAAATCCTAACTGTAAAACCCCAGGGAGATGATCTTAGGCATTTGAGGAAGAATCTTAGTTGGTAAACTAACTTCTCTATCTTCATTCCTCAGGTCTCTCCACTGCCTCCTACTCACTACCTCAAGATCCTTGATTGGAAAAAGCAAATGAGGGTCTGGAAAGAGATCATTTCCTCAGAAGACCTGAGGAGAAAATGCATGATTAGAATAGGTGTCTGTTTTCTGAGAATGTGAGCACCATTATGCTTAGGCATCATTTCCAAGCAAAAAGAATCCATGTTCGAAATGTCGAGGTTGTTGTCTCCCAGGAAAACACAGCTGCTGAGTGATGGTCCAAGGCCAGTGGAAGTGTAGCAGCACTGGTCGCAGACAAAACCTGTCAGACACTGGTTTTACGAAGAGGCTTTAGTCAGCTGGGAGCATCGGTAGACTTGCGTCTCAAGGTCCAAGCTCCCTGAACTCAAGATTCCTGTCCCTTTTAAGGGCTTACAACTCTAAGGAGTCCATGTGAAAGGGTCGTGATACATTGTGCAAGAGGGGGCTATGTGATGGGGGCTGCACGCACCAGTGATCAGAACAGAACAGAACTGAACCAAACAGGGAGTTACACAATGCTTCCTCATACAATGTCTGGAATCTATAGATAACATAAGCGATTAGGTCAGGGGTCGATCTTTAACTACCAGGCCTGGGATGTGCTGCCAGGTTGTTTGACTATTGAATTTCACTTCTGCCTTTTCTTTAACTCCTACTTTTTCTTTTCTTTGAGGCAGAAATTAGGCAGAAGACAATATGAGAGGTGGTCTCCTTCCTTATTCCCCACTTTGAGAATCTCACTTATTAGTGGGAGTTCTCATCTTCATCCTCACTATCCAGGTTTTCTTGTAAGACAGATCAATAGTAATTCATGTAGTACACTTGTGCTGAAGTATTTTGATGGACTAAGGTAGTAACAAAACTTTTCATTACTTGAAGGAGCAAGGGCAGCACACAGGGAAGCAACAAGCAGGTTCCTATTACTATTATAATTCCTATTATAAGAGTTTTAAATCCTCCTAGCACTGGAAACCATTTTCCAAACATGGACTCAGGATCAAACCCATGCCACACCTGCATGGGCACATGTGCCAGCTTTGTATATATCTTTATGTCTTCAACTACTTGCCCTTGGTCGTCTGTATGCAGACAGCAATTGGTTAGGTTAAATTTTCCACAGACCCCTTCTTCAGCTGCTAGCAAGTAGTGTAAGGCTAATCTATTTTGATAGATGGCATTTCTCATTTGGGTTTCTTGATGGGCTAAAACAGTCAAAGCTCTGCCCGTTTCATTAGTGATTATTTCTAAGACAGCTTGTAACCATATAATCCGGTTGAGCATGTAGATGGGGGTTCAGTATCCCTATGAGCTGTTTTGTGCCCATGTGGCAGGACTATAGTACTGTGTGATTCTTTCAGGGGGCCGCTCATCATCTTTCCAGTCGCCAATGGCTATGCTCTTTTCTCAGGAAGCGTAGACAGGGAAGCCTAGGAGCTCACCTGTTTTTATGGGCAGTAGGAAAAAGGATGGCTTAACGGTCCTAACGACACAACTACCTGCCCGTTGGTCAGGTAGCTTAGTGTAGGCTCTATGCCCGCATATCCAGTATAGTCCAGCTGGAGCTGCCCAGTCCCAGGGAGATTTTGGGTGGGCCTAAACAATTTGCAACTTAGGAAACTTACTAAATGGATTCTTTTTAGTATGGTTTAGACCTTACCAGGTGACTGTTCTTAATTTGATTTTTAAAACTGTGACCATAGGGGGCTCAGATGGGTTATAACACACATCAGGCTGGTCACTTCCTGGGCTACATACCTTGTACTGGGTGGCATTATACAAACAAGTCCTTTTTAGAGCTCCAGCACATTTATAATAACTATAGAACAAAAAGACAGTTTTAACTTTTTGACCTAACTTAGTGACCTGATGTATACACTGGTAACAGTCCTTAGTTTGCGGAAGGTCAGTTGAAGTCCCTACTGTACAAGTCCAAAATATAAGGAAAATAAGTCCCATGGTGAGTTTCCTCATGCTTCGGCCATGCATGGACCAGTCAGCTTCCGGGTGTGACTGCAGCAGGGCTTGTTGTCTTCTTCAGAGTCACTTTGCAGGGATTGTCCAGGCTTGGTCTCGCCTCCCAGGTCTCAGGTGCTGTGGGTTTCATGCGGCTGTAGTGGATCCAGGCTGGGATTCCTTCTACTTTCACGGCTGTGGGAGTGGTCAAGACGACAGTCTGGGGTCCTTTTCACTGTGGTTGCAAGGGGGCTGCATTCTAATCCTTGATCTACACCCGATCGCCTTTGCTGTCTTCTGTACCAAGTCAGCGACAAACGCTGGCCCGTTGTCTGAGCCAATTCATAAAGGCAGTCCAAACCTAGGGATGAGATCTCCACATTTGGGTATCTCGGTGAAGTCTACTTGGAGATCTTCAAAGGAGGCTGCTCCATAAGCCTGTATACCAGGCAGGACGGTTGGACCTTGCCCAGCATTGTGCTGCCAGGAGATGACACACTGCTGCACTACTGTTTTGGCAAGGGCTGACAGACACGAGATGTAGAAGTACTGGCCTAACAACTTTTCAAGTGACTCTTGGCCTACGCGGGTGGTCTCATGCACAGCCAGTACGACTGTGGTTCCTAGCACTTGTGGCATGGCTATTCTTCTGTCCGATAACTGGATCCATCCTTCTTTTATTACCTGCCCTCCCTCTGGTTGATGAAATGCCAGGGTGAAAGGGATAGCCAATTGGACTAAAGCACAAGTGCCACTCCAGTTATTCGGCAGAGTGTCCAGTAAAGGTCCACCATGATACCACCACACATCCACTTGGGGATGAACAAAGGGTTGACTTATTGGTAAGCTCTGGAAAATTCTTAAGCTCACTGCATCCCTTCAGGTCTCCAAGGAGTGCTAAGTTTCCTCCCTGTCATGAGAGACACGAAGTGAACTTAGTGTTGGGAGACAGAAGCTGGATGGCCCTCAGGGGCGACCCGCAAGGTGCTGAACTTCGGGATATAGCAGAGAGAGCTTGGCATGACTTATTACTCCAGGCTGTAGAATCCTGGAAAAGAGCTACCATGCAGTCCATGCCTGGCCAACTGGAGGACCACCTTAGTGGAAAGGGGACAGTCTGGGCCTCTGGCCTGCCATGTGCACAAGCATAACAATTGCTTTTGTTTAACATGCGGACAGAATATTTGATCCATTCCAACCAGGCATTTGCATCTTGGTATCCTGTCTTAATTGTCAAAGTTTGTTTTAAGTCTTTAACTTCTGTGATCCTCTAGTGAAATGAATGTATGGTTTTAAGAAATTACAAAAACCAGTTGGGGCAGTCCATCCTTGCTCTTTAGTGGTCCACAGAATATTGGACCAACTATGGCATGAAAGCTCTACACTGGGGGGCAAGACTCCTGGTTGACACTGGAGTCTTTATCAAAATCTCCTCAGATTAAATGGTCCTAATTTACTATTGCCTAGTCTGAGGAGAGTCAGGAGGGACAGAGGTACTTTTCTGAAGTAGAGAGCTGTCTTTGACTTGGCAAGTCCCCACAGGGTATAACAAGACAAGCATTAAATGCAATAGTTTGAGGTGAAATTGACTTGGTTATGTCTAGATGGTCAGCAATAGAGCAAGGAAAGAAAAAAGAGTAATACAATAGATGAAAGAGTTAAATTTTTCTTAGCTTTAGTTTGGTAGGGTTTTCCCCTGGGACTATGGCCCACGACTCTGAAGGGGTTGGTGCTTTCTCGACTCGGATGTGATGAGTCCATCCCTTTTTGCTGTAGGAACAGCAGTCTCGGTGGTTAGCAGCACAAGGTAGGGTCCTTCCCAGGCTGGCTCGATTTTTCCTTCTTTCCACCTTTTGATGAGAATGTGATCTTCAGGCTGGTGCTGGTTTACTGGAAATTCTAGGGGTGGTACATGTGCTAAAAGCCTTTTAGTTTTGAGGGAAAGGAAAGTGGAAAACAAACCAAGTATATAATTTATAAGAAATTGACATTTTGTTTTAAATGTGGGGACATCGGCAGTGGACTTTATAGTCCTTGGTGCCTTCTTACTGAGAAATTTCCTTTAGCACCTATTTTTATTAGTTTTTAGACCAAAGAAAGCCAAACACCATTTTATATTTGACAATGCTTTCCGTATGATTTTGTACCAGATAAGCTAAATTTCACCTTTATATTAGTGTTATTAATGTTAAACTTAGTTTTAATAAAACTTTGTAGACATATTTATTCAATTTTTAATGTCTGACCATAAGGTAAGATTTTTATAGACTCTTTTTAACCTTTTATAATTTTTGTTAAAGAGCAGGTCAGTGCTTTAAGAAAAACCCATCGTGTTTTTATTTTGATGTCCAGTTCACAGAAAAACTGGATGATACCCCTTTAACTTTAGCCAATATATTGACACACAGAATTTTCGTTACGATTAATGTTTTAAAACTTGCTTAAACCTTCAAAACAAAAATTTGTTTTTAACCTTTTAATATAGGTAAAAATCCACATTCTTATGTCTCCTTATAATCCTTTTACTAAAAGTATATTTTACTTTCCTTATACACCTTGCACATAAACTTTCTTCAATAGTTTTACATTCAGGAGGCCTAATTACTTTTAAATTATACAACATTTCTTGCATAAATTCCTTTTTATAACACATTTTTTTCTTTCACGACTTTCACAGACAATTCTTCGACATGCCTCAACTTTCTGACTTCTTGCAAACATCCCTTTCTTTAAATAACCAGTTATTTTAGGAAAATAATTTACCATATAACATTCTTTTACATAAATTCTCCTCCCCCCTCCCCCCGCCTTTTTTTCCCCTAAAGATGATAACCATTCTTTTCCAAAGTGAACTTTCTTCATGTCTGTGGACTAGACTGCCTAAGGCCGTAAGATTAGAAGTTAGGATAATACATGTTACACTGTTAACTTTTAGCAAACTTTACTTTTGTTGAAAACCTTGTAAGTTTGGGATTTCAATTATCCTTTGCTGTTAATAAGCCCTTGTTTAGTCCAAATTAACTTAGAATTGGTATAGATGGTTCCTTCCTGGTTCTATAAGTACTTTAAGGCCTGGCTGGGTGGAAACAGCTGGCACTTTGAGCAGACCAATTATTAGGCAAATTTCCTAACTCTGCTTTTACAAGAGTTTCCCTATCAATTACTAAATACCTATTGTGTCTTTTTCCCTCAGTCACCCGGGAGGAACCATCTATCATCCAGTCCTGAAGGGAGTTCTTCCTCCTAGGTCTAGTCAGACCTTTGGTAATTAATTAAGATTGAGATCCCTTATTAGGAAACATGCTGGGTTAAGGGAATTATCAGTGGTTAATGTTAAATCATCTTTTTCTAACAGAAAAGCCCCATACTTGTAGATTTTTGAGTTAGTAAGCCACCCATTTTTTTTTTTTTTTTTTTTTTTGACTTAGGATAGTTCTGAACTGGTGAGGTGTGCTCACAATGAGGTTTCCTCTAAAAGTTATTTTTCTACTTTCTTCTGTTAGCAAAGCTGTTGCCGCTACAGATTGAATGTATTTAGGCCATCCAAGGGGTACTGGATTAAGGATTTTTACAGGAAGGCTACGGATTGTCAGTGGCCTCAGTGCTTTCGGGCTACACCCTTGTTTACACTGACAACAAGGTAGTATTGGAGTGTTGTAGGGTCTCAGAGAAGACCTTTAATTATCAATTAAAGTTTCTAAATTTACCTTGGCTTTTAAACGAATAGGGTAAACTGTTGTTGTTGTTTTAACTATTTGTATATCTCTTTCTTTCTTTCTGTCTTTGACTTTCTGTCTCTCTCTCTGACTTTCCTGTTGTCTTTGTCTCTTCCTCTCTCTCTGCCTCTCTTTCTCTCTCTGTCTTTCACTCCTTCTTTGTCTCTCTGTCTCTTGTTCTCTCTCTCTTTTTCTCTCTCTTTGCCTCTTTGCCTCTCTCTCTCTTTCCTCTCTTGTCTACTCTGGGTGGTCTAGGGGTGTGTGTGTCCTGTGGAGGCTCAGGTGCTGTGGGCTCAGGAGTGGGGAGTCTCTCTTCTCGGTAAGGGGGGGCACCACTGGTGCCACTGCCTGCCATGCATCCTGTGATGTTGGGTCAGACAGAACCTTAGGAGCTGACTTCTCTCAGCGGGTGGAACGAGATCCCCCTCTTGGCTATCTGTCCCTTTGCCACTAACACTGCTGCTGCCTGTCCTCTCAACCACTGTGGGGGGTCTAAAACTCACTGCAACCAAGTATCTATGTATGGAAACTGATCTGGGTGTCCTGATTTACCAGTTACTTTGTGCCATACCTTTGAAACTAGGGACTTGTCTAGACTTCCTTCTGATGGCCATCCCACCTCTAATGCCGGCCAATCTATCTCACACAAAGCCTTAAGCTTTCCAGGTGTCATAGCAATTCCATAGTCCCCATTGGATCCTTTCTTGAAATTCTTTAACACAGTTCCTAACGGAGTAGGCTTATTCTGTGTTTTACCCATTTTCCTCTCTCAGCAGACAAAACAACACTCTTACCACAAAGAGGGAAGGGAAAAGGGGCAAAAAGTCACTCACTCACCAACCAATTCACACCAGATCAAAATTAAATCTAAAACCAAAGGACGGATAAGGAGTTACTCATTCATCAAGCAATTTGAGCCGAGTCAGAACCGAAATCAAAGCCAAAACAGTTCAAATCCAAAAGTCAGAACTGAAATCAAAACCAAAACATTTCAAATCCAGTCAAAATCAAAACCAAAACCAAAGTGCTGATAACGGCACACCGTGGGTGATCAGGCCATGCTTCCACTCAGATGGAGTGGGCAAGTTCCAAGACCGGTCTTACCATGTTCCAGATGTCAGGACTCCAAGCACGGATTCCTTCCCAGTGTTCAGCCGCTGTGTTAATCCTCCATGGGGGTCTGCCGCGCACTGCTCTGGCAAAGCATTCCACCTGGGCGATGGCCTACTGGGAGTGCTCTCAGGATCCGTGTCACAGGGCTGGAGTCCCCCACAGGGATGCTCCACAGGACAGGCCTAAGCTGCCTAAGGGGCTGCCTTGACCATCCGTTAATCACCTCACTTCCCGGTCAGGGAACTAAGAAATGTAGCGTGAACTAAGAAATGTAGCAGGACCAGTCACAGACAAAACCTCTCGGATACCAGTTTTAGGAAGGAAGAGGCTTTAATTAGCTGGGAGCATTGGTAGACTCATATCTCAAGAACCAAGCTCCCTGAAGTCAAGATTCCTGTCCCTTTTAAGGGCTTACAACTCTAAGGGGTCCACATGAAAGGGTCGTGATACATTGTGCAAGTGGGGACTACGTGACGGGGGCTGTCTGCACCGGTGGTCAGAACAGAACAGAACCGAACAGGGAGTTACACAATGTTTCCTCATACAATGTCTGGAATCTATATATAACATAAGCGATTAGGTCAGGGGTTGATCTTTAACTACCAGGCCTGGGGTGTGGTGCCGGGTTGTTTGACTATTGAATTTCACTTCTGCCTTTTCTTTAACTCCTACTTTTTCTTTTCTTTGAGGGAGAAATTAGGCAAATAGGCAAAAGAAAATATGAGAGGCGGTTTCCTTCCTTAGAAGGGCTGAGCAGGGATTACGAAATCTCAAATGCCAAGATCTTATGTGCAAACCATGCCCAATGCTGTAAACATTATTAAGCCCTACCAAAGGCTATTTACTTGAATCCTACCAAGAAACATTAAGCATTACGAAACTTCTTTTAAAATATTGTTTTGCATTATAAAATAGAATACAACATAAAAATATTTATGTTAAATAATTATAATAAACTATGCAAAATGAGTAATAAGGAACAATATAGCATAAAGTCATGTATATAATGTTTACAATATTTTTATAAAGTAAATAAGAGGTTCTTGTCTGTTCCTCTAATATTCTTTATTATCACTGAGTTTTGTTTTTCTTCTGGAAAGAGGGGGCAGGCAGAGGGAGATGGCTGTGGGGACCTCTGCCAAGCCTGAGTTGGGCCACAGTCAAAAAACGTTTGAGGGCATCATTCAGAAAAATAAGCCTGCAAATAATTTTTCTCAATTTCCTGTCTTTTTCCTGAAAGATGGTTTGAAGATGAATGGCTGAGTAGAAAACACTTTCAGATCCCCACATAGGCAACGGCAGAAAAGCTCCAAGTGTGATATTACAAATATGTATTGTCATCGAAGACAGAAATATTTGCCTTGTCCACCCAAAAGCACAATGATCGTATGGGTTGATTGTATTTTCTTCTCTATGTATTATGTGCAGAATTTCCCTTCAACAAAAGAAGGGAGGAAAGAAAACTAACCCTGCATTGTAGGCTTCTGCTCTATTTTAGGAGAGGAAAGATACTCAAAGACAAAAACCAGCAAGAAATGGCATTTGACTTGCAAGCCTTTAGGAGATGTGCATAAACAGAGAAGCTCAAAGGGAGGCAGAGAAACCAGGATGCCATCGTTGATTATGTCCTTCCAGCAACTGCAACCGTGCCTCAATTTGCAGGGAAATACATTCCTCTTCATGGACCCTGTTCTGGGACCCATAGCATGCTCCAGGCTGCAGCCCAGACAGGAAGGTGTCCAATATGTCTTTGAGTTCCATCTTGGGGATCTCATGTGATCTCTGGTGTGTTAGTGAGTGGGCAGGGCCCCTGGATCCCAGCACTGACCTCAGTTACATGAAGAGTCTGAGTCCATGGCAGGATCTGGGCCCACAGTCTTCTCACCAACCCAGAGGCAGAAACAGACTCTACAAGCAACATGGAATGGCAGTGCTTTGTATCTACATTTATTAGTTTTTAAAAAATTATAAAATCTGGCTGGGTACGGTGGCTCATGGCTGTAATCCCAGTGCTTTGGGTGGCCAAGGTGGGAGGTTCCCTTGAGCCCAGGAGTTAGAGACCAGCCTGGGCAACATGGCAAAACCCTGTCTCGACATGGCTAAATAAAAAAATTAGCCAGGCATGCTGGTACACACCTGTAGTCCCATCTACTTGGGAGGCTGAGGTGGGAGGATCACCTAAGCTCAAGAGTCCAAGGTTACAGTGAGCTATGATTGTGTCACTGCACTCCAGCCTGGGCAACAGAGTGAAACTTTGACTCTTAAAAAAAAATTATAAAATCGGTGTTTGTTTTACAAGAATTTGAAATTCTAAGCTATATAAAAAGGAAAATAAATATCACCATAATCCCACTGCCAGGGAGTGCCACGGGGTACTGGCACTGTTCCTCCAGCCCTGTATCTGTATATGCCTATATGCCCATTTATACCCATGTTGGATATCAGTAAGGATTCCCCAGCCTCTCACACTGTTGGAGAGGCTCAACCCTGTTCCATGCCCTCTAGAAGTCTAAAGTCCTCCCCAAGCCTTCTGGAAATTCCATGGGGTCTTCAGTCCTCAGGATCACCCCTGCCCCCAAGCATGGATTTCTATAGCTAATTTCCTGGTGTTGTTCCGTTTTTCATGAACACAGATGGAGAGTACGTCTTACCCTGGGTTTCTACCCTAAATCTGCACTCACACAGATCAATTATTGATGGGGTGGACTTCACTGAAAATTTTAGGAGGGGGTGGAGTTGGAGTTAGTTTGAAACCACAGTAGCAGCCAAAACACCAGGCATCTTTGTGTCCTCCAGGCAGCTACCAGGCAGAGTATCTGTGACTTCTTCACCCTGGGAGGCCTCAGACTCACACCTCCAGGCTCCTGGCTTCCCCCTTGGTTCCATGCCCCTCCCCCAGCCCTCCCCACCAGCGGCCCCCAAAGCATCTCTTCTGTTTCTTTGCCCCCCTCCCCTATGGTCTTCCTTCTAATGCAAGGAAGTTGCTTATAAAGGACTTTGTTTAAATAAGGACCGTTCTTATAGCAACTGTTACAATAACAAAAATCTTGAGATCATACTCTACATACATTCTTTATTCTGCCTTTTTAAATTGAGCGTTACACTTTTAGCACTTTCCCATATCATTAAATATTTAGCAGCACTGGATTTCATCAAAAAGATGCACCATCATTCATTTCTCCATTCCACTATTTTTGGATATTCTTTGCTTTGGGGAAATTTACAAAGCAGAAATTATTAGCTCGAGGAGTGTGAATATTTCTAAGGTCCCATACTAATTGCCAAATTGTCCTCCAGAAAGGTTATGTCAATTTGCACACTCTGAAGCTCTAAATGAGAGTGTTGAGTGACTTTATTCTTTAAACAGTTTGCTAACTTGACATTGTCTGTGGAAGAGACTATTTTAGGTCAGTAAAATATCTGGTCAGAGTCACAGCCACAGAGAGCCCAGGGTGTGAGGGAGCTTTTGGCCTTGGGGGACTCCAGGGCCCTGGGGCAGTTGATAAACCTCCCAGGACCTCCGGTGCTTCTCCGTAGCCTGGCTCCCACTGGCTCCAGTGCTCAAAGCAAATTCTTCCCCCAAGCCCTGCAACTTTCCCTGGGGTAGCTCTCATTCCACCTCTATAACCAGGAAGGGCCCCTTGGGTAGGCACCCCTCAGCAAATACCCCTAGCTTGTCCTCAGCAGATGTGGTTGGCGGTGGGCAAACTGGCCTTCTCCCCTGCTCAGTAGGGAACTGGACTTCTGGACCCACCCAGACTCATTTCTCTCTATGTCATTGTGTCAGAGGTGTTTGAACCAGAGGAACTCCATCTTAAATAGGAGCTGGGTAAAATGAGGCTGAGACCTCCTGGGCTGCATTCCCAGATGGTTAAGGCATTCTAAGTCACAGGATGAGATAGGAGGTCAGCACATAAAGACCCTGCCATAAAGACCCTGCTGATAAAACAGGTTGTAGTAAAGAAGCCAGCTAAACCCCACCAAAACCAAGATGGCCAAGAGAGTGATCTCTGGTCATCCTCACTGCTACACTCCCACCAGTGCTATGACAGTTTACCAATGCCATGGCAACATCAGGAAGTTACCCTATATGGTCTAAAAAGGGGAGGCATGAATAATCCACCCCTTGTTTAGCATATTATCAAGAAAGAACCATAAAAATGGGCAACCAGCAGCCCTCAGGACTGCTCTGTCTATGGAGTAGCCATTCTTTCGTTCCTTTACTTTCTTAATAAACTTGCTTTCACTTTACAGACTTGCCCTGATTCTTTCTTGCGTGAGATCCAAGAACCCTCTCTTGGGATCTGGATTGGGACCGCTTTCCTATAACAGTTGGAGTTTGGAAGAGATGAACAGCCTCCATTTCCCCATCCCCCCATCCCTCCAGCAGAGAATATAGGGTCACTTTCCCCCTTCCTAAAGGCTACAGAGGCTCACAGCAGCAGAGCCTCGAGTACTACCCCCCTTTCCTTTTCTGAAATGAGAGATGTCCAGGGAATCGGGGACATCTTTCCCTCTTCTCTCTGTTAGGATGCTAGTGAGTTCTGCTTTTCCCACTTTGTGAGCAAAGCACACATGTGCACAGCTAACAAGCCAGATGATTTCTAAATAAACTAAAAATACTGCCTTATCTCAGAGGCCTGTGCTGAAGGAGCTTGTTTAGAGTATCGGATGAACATTTACAAATAGAAAATCCTTCCGAGTTACCTGCTGTTACACCCCATGGCTTCCTCCCCTGGAACACAGCAAAGGACCTGGGGTGACTGGAGCAAGTGGCCATCAGGGTTTGGTGATACTGCGTCTGATTTGTCCTCTCCTCTAGACTCGAGACAACTCCAGGGCAGATCCTGGAGCCTCAGCCCCAGTCCAGGGTCTGGTACATAGAAGGCGCCCCACAAGGGTTGGTGGTTGGTGGGAACACAGCAAAGTGGGAATTCCTTGGCTGGTACTGTGCAGGTGATTGAAGCCAGCTGCCTAGGGTTAAGATATCCCATTTCCCAGTCTGGGTAGGAGAAACCCAGGTACATGTTCACACATGTCCACTCTGTTTGCCTCTCCCTCCCATCCGGAGTCCTTCCACAGTGTCCCCTCCTTGGGACATCTGCTTCCCCAGCATATGCCTCTGGGGCACTTTGCTGCAGAATGGAAGAAGATCAAGTGCTCTCCTGTTCCAGGTCAGGCACTTTGGATTTAACCTTGAGGCAGAGGCTCAGCTGCCCTGACAACCCACAGCTCATTTCTACAGCAACACCTCCTGCAAAGGTAGCCCAGCACGTCCTTGGCCACCAGCTTCCTGCGGTGATAAAAATAGCTGAGGCCCCGCAGCTGCTGAATGATGAATTCTGGAAGGAGATGATTGATTCTCACAGCTGAGTCTCGGGGTCAGCGAGTGTTGTGCAAGTGGAGACGCCGGGGTGAAGGATGGGGGTTCTGCTATAGATAGAACTGTTGACAGAGTGATCCTGGGCTTCTCCCCACCTGAGGGGAACATAAACTGAGCTAATTAAAAGGAACTGCAAAGGGCTGTTGGAAATGATGCAGACGCGTGCATCCTTTGCTTTCAGACCATCTTTGACCTTTTTGGAATGTGCAGTCATTTCCCCTCCTTCCTTCTGGCACAAGATTCAAAGTGGGGAGAAAGTGTTCATTTCCAGGGAAGGCAATGGGGTGGTAAAGTGAGAGGAGTGCCTGCTTTCCCTAAAACAATGGTGAGGAACTGTCAGGGCTTATGAAACACCACAGGGACACCAATGTCAGGCAGCACCTAACAGCCTGGAATTAAAATCTGCTCCCCGCTTGCTCAGGCTGGAGGAGTGCTCCTGCTGGCCTTGCCAGGGGACTAGCCTGTGATCTACCATGGCTGCACTCTGATTAATCACAGTGATCTAAGGTTAACTGTGCACATGAAGCTCCTGACCAGCACCAGAGTAGCTTGTAAGCCAGTGCCCATGTCATAAAGC